>NC_000017.11:20491111-20817295 GCF_000001405.40 Homo sapiens | reverse complement strand
GACAGCAACTGTATTAGTCCATTTTCATACTGCTATAAAGAAATATCCAAGACTGGGTAATCTATAAAGGAAAGAGATTTAATTGACCCACAGTTCTGCATGGCTGGGGATGCCTCAGGAAACTTACAATCGTGGCAGAAGGGAAAGCAGGCACATCTTACATTGCGGCAGGAGAGAGGAAGCGAAGAGCAAAGAGTCCCTTATAAAACCATCAGTTCTTGGGAGAACTCACTCACTATCACGAGAACAGCATGGGGGAAACCACCCCCCTGATCCAATCACCTCCCACCAGGCCCTTCCCTCAACACCTGGGGATTACAATTCAAGATGAGATTTGGGTTGGGACACAGAGCCAAACCATATCAGCAACTATCAATTAAGTGTGTCAACATGAAGAACTTATGTTTTTCTCCAAGCAATGATAGTGGCATCTTAACCAACTTAGCCACTCTCTTATCTGGTCTCTGGTGCTCAGTTGATGCCATTGAGATGGAGCTGCAATGGGTCTAGTAAATATAGTCTTCGAAAAAAGGTTTTCTCTGACCAAAACAGAAACTGAACTACAAGAATCACCATAATCTCTAAGTAACTAGCCAAGGCTAGAACAGAATAGGCCACGATGTATTGGGAGGTGGTGCATTCCCATCACTGCAGGTGATCAAACTCATGCTGGGCAATCACTCATAAAACACATAGTCAAGGAGATACAAATGTCCACTGGGGGCCTAAACTATTGTATTGCCAAGATGATGCCTGCAATGTGGGCTTTTAAAATAGTAAAGATATTCAAACATATGCATATAAACAGAAACATGATATTCTAGGAATTAAATTGACTGTGTTGTATAGATTTGCCTCCAACATTTTTGGAAGCACAAGAGTGTGACGATGCTTTCCCTTGCAGGGAAACTGAATTGTGATACCAGTATGTCAAGATTATCAACCAGATTCCAGGATGGTTTTCTTCACAATTTTGAGATAGTCTATTTCTTCGTGCATTATGTTATTTTTATGTCACTAATTTAAAATTTTAAGAAGCCTCGTCCCATATATTTTCCCCTTATAGCCATCGGAAAAGCACATACACAACACAGTGACTAATTTTTGTTGTCATTTATGCCTTTCACTTCACCAATTTGTTTACAGATTTATGGTTCATTGACTTTCACAGTTGGAAAATTAATGCTAAATCAATACTTTGTATAAATTTATTATGATTTTACTGTAAGTTATTTTGCAATAGATTGCTTAACTGACATGGTGTAAAATGCTATTGTATATAAATGAAAACATTAAGCAAGTTGAAGGCATAAAATCAGCTAGCACCCTAATATAGTAGCTTTTGAGTGTTAAATTGTATTTTTTTAACGTTACGGATATCATAAGTGTACAGCTCAATGAATTTTCACAAACTGAACATATTCTCAGCCAGATCGAGACACAGAATGTCACTAGCTCCCCAAAAGCCAGCCTCATATTTGCTCTTAGTCACTAGCCACGCCCCCTAACTCCATATCCTGACTTCTAATTGATAGGTTAGTTTTGCCTGCGGTAAACTTTATGTAAATGGGATAGTACATTAGGACCTTTGTGAATGACTTCTCCTACTCAATTTAGGTTTGTGAAATGTAGCCATGCTTTTGCATGTAGCTTGTTCCTTCTCATTGTTGTAGACTATTCCATTGCTTGATGTACCACAATTTATTTGTCCACACTACTGTTAATTGAGCATTTAGTTGGTTAGATTTTGACTATTACAAAAAGTGCTGCTGGCCGGGCGTGGTGGCTCATGCCTGTAATCCCAACACTTTGGGAGGTCGAAGCAGGTGGATCACTTGAGGTCAAAAGTTCAAGACCAGCCTGCCCAACATGGAGAAACCCTGTCTCTACTAAAAATACAAAAATTTGCCAGGCATGGTGGCACACATGTATAATCCCAAATACTGCGGAGGCTAAGACAGGAGAATCATTTGAACCCAGGAGGCAGAGGTTGCAGCGAGCCGAGATCTTGCCACTGCACTCCAGCCTGGGTGACAGAGCAAGACTCTGTCTCCAAAAAAAAAAAAAAAAAAAAAATAGTGCTACCATGAACATTCTAGAACATGCCTTTTACTGAATATAAGTATGCATTTATGTTGGGCATATACCAAAGTACTATTTTAATCCTCCAGCGGTATGGTTAAAATGTCTACCTGTTATCTAATGTGTGCTCAGCCTCATGAACAATGACATATTTTTTCTAGTCATGATGTTAAGAAGGCAGCTTACAGTTTTTCTGGTACAAGAAAGATATGATATTTCAAAACATCCTAGTAAAACATTTGGAATGTATTTAGATCTTCATATACTTAAAGCCTTAACTCAGAAGTGTAAAAGACTAACTTTTATTTTTATATCACCACACTTAATTTCTATTTTGAGTCCCCATTCTGCCCAATGGCAGAAACTTAATCTGAGTGAATGCAGAATGCCTCCTCCTGCCTTTCCTCACTGCACCTAAGTTCCAGAGGCCAACGTGATGCTGGGGCTGCTAGTTGCCATTTATCTGGGCCACCATGTGCTGAGACCCCACCTGGCTCCTGGGGAGCCTTCCTGCTGGCTCCTGGGGAGTCTTCCCGGTCCTGGCTGCAGGGCCTCTTCAGATCTGCTGGTCCCTTTGCTGGGGCAGGGTGGGCAGGCAGCCTCTGCGCCCTCTCTCAGGGGTGTGGCCTGCACGCTGCATGTCCACGCTCGTGTACTCTCTTCCTTTGTGCCCACGTCTTGCTGGGTCCAGAGACACCCCTCAGTCCAGATTGGAGTAGGTAGCCTGGATCTCCATCTGTTCCTCCAAATCACTGTTGATGGCATGAACTTTATACCATGAATCTTCTAGGCCTTGGGTATGTGAAACTCAGAAGCCCAGGTTGGTTCTTATAACACAGAAGATTTTCACCTCTATCATCCTTTCCTTGAAGCAGTGAATGCTGATGGCTACAGGGGAATGGAGGTGTAGACGGAAGAGAATATCGTTCCATCACTTAAATATACCTTTTTCTTTTTCTTTTTTTTTTTCTTAGATGGAGTCTTGCTCTGTCTCCCAGGCTGGAGTGCAGCGGCTTGATCTTGGCTATTGGCAACCTCCACCTCCCGGGTTCAAGTGATTTTCCTGCCTCAGCCTCCTGCGTAGCTGGGATTACAGGTGCCAGCCACCACGCCCCACTAATTTTTTTTGTATTTTTAGTAGAGATGGGGTTTTGCAATTTTGGCCAGTCTGGTCTCAAACTCCTGACCTAAGGTGATCGGCCCACCTCAGCCTCCCAAAGTGCTGGGATTACAGGAGTGACCCACCGCACCCAGCCCTTTCATTCTGTAACTTCTTTGAACTCCTTTCATAATTGCTTAATTAATTTTTTTTTTTTTTGAGACAGGGTTTCACTCTGCCACTCAGGCTGAAGTACAGTAGTGTGATCTCGGTTCACTGCGACTTCTGCCTCCCAGGCTCAAGCCATCCTCCCACCTTAGCCTCCCAAGTAGCTGGGACTACAGGTGTGCAACCTCGCGCCAAGCAAATTTTTGTATTTTCTGTAGAGATGGGATTTCACCATGTTGCCCAGGCTGGTCTTGAACTCTTTAGCTCAAGTGATCTGCCCGCCTTGGCCCCCAAAGTGCTGGGATTACATCAGTGAACCACTGCGCCCGGCCGTAACCCTTAACTTAAAAAATAAACAAACAAAAACGTTTTCACAATACTACTTCAAGTTTGCCATGATTGCAACTTGATTTACATCAGATTGAATTCAGTGTAGTCTTTGGTAAAATTCACAGCCCTTTGTTATTTCTAAAATAGTTTCAAAATTCTAGAGAAAAGAAAATTCAAGAATAACAAACTATTATTAGTTTCCATGTATTAAGCACAGTTTATGCCAGGTGCATTGCTATCAACCCTATATATATATTCTTATTTAATGCTTACAGCAACCCAGTGAAGGAAGGCATTAGCTCCTCGGTTTTTTTGCTTGTTTGTTTGTTTTTGAGATGGAGTCTCATTTTGTCGCCCAGGCTAGAGTGCAGCGGCATGATCTCGGCTCACTGCAACCTCTGCCTCCTGAGTTCAAGTGATTCTCCTGCCTCAGCTTCCCAAGTAACTGGGATTACACGTGTCTGCCACCACACCCGGCTAATTTTTTGTACTTTTAGTAGAGACGGGGTTTCACCATGTTGACCCAGCTGGTCTTGAAATCCTGAACTCAGATGGTGCCCGGCCTATCTCCTCATTTTATATATGAGAAAACTGAGGCACAAATAGGTGAACTGGCTTGCTTGAGGTCACAGAACTACGCTGTGAACCCATGCAGCCAACAACTTGCTGTGAACCAAGAGTCAATGTGAATAACCACCATGTTACAGGACCTCAATGCAGAGAAAGAACAGGATCTGGCAACTTTGTTATTACTTTCTCCTTTAAAACATTAAAATCCAGGAAGAAGAGCCCTTTCAGACAAAAAAACTGATAGCTCCTTCCTACTGCTTTCTGAATCTTGGTTCCCACAAATTAAATAAACTAGGCTCTATTGTGTAAATAGCAGAGTGAACTCATTTAATTATCTGTTACAATTTCTAAGGTCAATTTGCAACATCTAACATTATATACAAGCAGGCAGTCATTGAAAATGTTTGCAGAAGGCTTATGAACTAAAGTTGATAAAAAGTATTAAACAATTTGTGGACACACACACACATATATCCACCCTACATAGCAGACAATCCCAAGTGCTACAGTGCTTGAGCAAATATCTTTAATGAAACTTAAGTTGAGTTAATGCCTTCCAAAATAAAAGCAGCTGCTTGTTTTAATATTATCAATGAGAAAGCTGTGATCTAAACTCATCAGGTGGAATTAAAAGTCATTTTTATTTCACTACTTTAATCCCTAGTCCTGAAATAAGGGAACAAGCCCCACAGTGTTACATTTC
Source organism: Homo sapiens (assembly GCF_000001405.40). Taxonomy (NCBI): domain Eukaryota; kingdom Metazoa; phylum Chordata; class Mammalia; order Primates; family Hominidae; genus Homo; species Homo sapiens. Next base: position 20,812,343 of record NC_000017.11, on the reverse strand, counting down.
ATTTCCTAGTAACTAAAGGAATGTATACTCATAACAAAACTTTCTAACCTTACGGAAAGACACAATAGAGAAAATGAAAGTTCCCCAGAAAATTTTCTCTCCAGAGATTATCATTATCGACGATTTTTACTTCTTCAGATTTTTTTTCTATTCATATATGAGGTCAGTCTCTATCTGCAGATATAGATTTTATAAAACACAATAACAACTCCAAAAGCCTTAGAGAGCAATGGAGAACTTCATTGCAGCTTTGAGAAAATGAATAACTGAAAATTACACTGCATGTCACAATAAAACTTCCAAAATGTCCACGTTAGCCATTTTCCCTCTATCTCACAAAACTGCCCTTTCTCTCTTTCTTCCTCCAAACTCATAGCTACATTGTCTCAAACCTACTTCCTCTTGTTTCTTTTCCTTTTATGTTTTCCTATTCATAAGTAAAGCAGTATATAGGCATTTTCAGTTTTCAGCCTAAGTGACCTCATGGTTGGACAATTCGTCAAGTAAATGAAGACTGCTTCCCCCTTAGAAAGGTCCCCCAAGGGAGGACAGAAACAGCAACAGAAAACACTCATAATTTAATGTTATTGTCCTTTTCACACATATGTAGCTATATCTATTATATTTTATTTTACTTTATTTTATTTTAATTTTTTGAGACAGAGTTTTGCTCTGTCACCCAGGCTGGAATGCAATGGTGCGGTCTCAGCTCAGTGTGACCTCTGCATCCCAGGTTCAAGCAATTCTTCTGCCTCAGCCTCCCGAGTATCTGGGATTATAGACGTGCACCACCATGCCTAGCTAAGTTTTGTATTTTTAGTACAGATGAGGTTTCACCATGTTGGCCAGGCTGGTCTTGAACTCCTGACCTCAGGTGATCCACCTGCCTCAACCTCCCAAAGTGCTGGGATTACAGCACTTTTACAGCATGAGCTGCCATGCCCAGCGTATTTTATTTTATTTTGTTTTATTTTATTTAGAGACAGTCTTGCTCTATCCCCAAGGCTGGAGTGCAGTGGCATGATCGTAGCTCACTTGGCTAATTTTTAAACTTTTTGTAGATATGGGGTCTGGGTATGTTGCCCAGCCTGATCTTGAACTCCTAGGCTTAAGTGATCCTCCTGCCCTGACCTCCCAAAGTGCTGGGATTACAGACGTGAGCCATCCTGCCCAGCCTGTATCTATTATATAAGTTGGTTTTTTTGATTACTTTAATGCAAATGAGATTATACCAAACTCTCTTCTTTGTCACTTCCTATTTTCATGTAATTTATGTTAGACATCTGTCGATGTCAGTATAAATAGATCTAGATCATTTTTTATAGTAGTATAGCTTTCATTACATGGATGTTTCACAATGTATTTAGCTAACTACCTATTGTTGGACATTTGGTTATTTCCAAATTTTTGCTATTTTATATAATGCTGCACTTATATAAAATATAATTCTATATAATTATGTTTAATTATGTACTACCACTGTATCTGACAACTGACTTGTATCAAGAACATACAAAGAATTGTTACAAGTTGCCGGGCAGAGTGGCTCATGTCTGTAATCCCAGCGCTTTGGGAGGCCAAGGTGGGCGGATCTCTTGAGCCCAGGAGTTGGAGACCAGCCTGGGCAACATGGGGAGACCCCGTCTCGACAAAAATACAAAAATTAGCCAGGCATAGGGGCACACATCTGTAGTTCCAGCTACTTAAGAGGCTGAGGTGGGAAGACTGCTTGAGCCCAGGAAGTAGAGGCTGCAGTGAGCCAAGATCACACCATGGCACTCCAGCCAGCGTGTCAAAGGCCCTGTCTTAAAAAAAAAAAAAGGAAGAAGGGGGGGCGGCAAATAAGTAGAGTATAAGCCACCTCATCCAACCTTATTGGAATCAGTAGTTGACTGGTTGATCAGTTCAAGCAAGGAATCATAAAAATTGATGCATGTGCTGGGCGTGGTGGCTCACGCCTGCAATCCCCGCACTTTGCAAGACCGAGGCGGGCCGATCACCTGAGGTTAGGAGTTCGAGACCAGCCTCGCCAACATGGTGAAACCCTGTCTCTACTACAAATACAAAAGTTAGCCATGCATGGTGGCACATGTCTGTAATCCCAGCTATTCAGGAGGCTGAGGCAAAAAAAAAGAAGAAATGCTATGTGAAGCCTTTTTATAAGGGCATTAATTTCATTCACGAGGGCAGAGCACTCATGACCTAATCACCACCTTGAAGGCCTCACTTCTTAACATCATTGCATTAGGTCTTAGGTTATAACATGAATTTTGGAGGACTCAAGAAAAAAAAAGGTGAAAGACAACCCACAGAATGGGAGAAAATACTTGCAAATCATATACAAAGTAGACCCACTTTATTTGTGGAAAATATGTAGCTGGACACAGTGGCTCATGCCTGTAACCCCAGAACTTTGGAAGGCTGAGGTGGGAGGATCACTTGAGCTCAGGAGCTCAAGACTAACCTGGGCAACATAGAGAGACCCTATCTCTAAAATAAATAAATAAAATTACCCAGATATGGTGACATGTGCCTGTGGTCTCAGCTACTTGGGAGGTTGAGGTGGGAGAATCACGTGAGCCCAGGAGGTTGAGGCTGCAGTGACCCAAGATTGCATTAATGTACCCCAACCTGGGCAATAGACCGAGACCCTATCTCAAAAAATATATAGATAGATAGATATAGATATAGATATTTATCTAGATATAGATATAAATTTATCTATATATCTATATGTAGATAAATATATCTATAGAGATCTATATCTATATATAGATAAATATATATCTATCTATATCTATATCTATATATCTATATATATAGATAAATACATATATCTATATATAAATATATATAGATATAGATATAGATCTATATATAGATATATAGATATATAGATATATAAACATATATTTATAGATATAGATATATAGATATATAAACATATATTTATAGATATAGATACATAAATATATAGCTATACATAAATACATATTTATAAATATATAGATATATATACATAACAAAATATGTTCCAAGACCTCCAGTGTATACCTGAAACTGCAGGTAGTACCAAACTCTATATATACTATGTTTTTTCCTATACATACATACATACCTATGATAAAGTTTAATTTATAAATTAGGCACTGTAATAGAATAACAACAAAAACTAATAATAAAATAGAACAATTAGAATATATATATTTTTTTGAGATGGAGTCTTGCTCTGTTGCCCAGGCTGGAGTACTGTGGCGCCATCTCGGCTCACAGCAACCTCTGCCTCTGGGGTTCAAGCGATTCTCCTGCCTCAGCCTCCCAAGTAGCTGGGACTACAGGTGCCTGCCACCATGCCCGGCTAATTTTTGTATTTTTTATAGAGACGGGGTTTCCCCATATTGGCCAGACTGGTCTCAAACTCCTGACCTTGTGATCCACCCACCTCAGCCTCCCAAAGTGCTGGGATTACAGGTGTGAGCCGCCGTGCCCGGCTAGAATATACTTTAATATAAGTTACATGAATAGTTTTTTCTCTCTCTCAAAATACTGTAATATTTGGGATTGCAGCTACCTGCAGGTAACAGAAACTGCAGAAAGCATAAGGGGGACTACTGTATCTGACAATGGACTTGGATCTAGAATACATAAAGAACTCTTACAACTTGATAATAAAAAGGATATAACCCGATTTTAAAATGGAAAAAAGATCTGAACAGATATTTCTCCAAAGAAGACATACAAATGGCCAATAAGGGCCAGGTGCTGTGGCTTATGCCTATAATCCCAACACTTTGGGAGGCCAAGGCAGGTGGATCACTTGAGGCCAGGAGTTTGAGACCAGCCTGGCCAACATGGCGAAAACCCATCTCTACTAAAAATATAAAAATTAGCCAGGCGTGTGGCGCATGCCTGTAGTCCCAGGTACTCAGGCAGATGAGGCACAAGAATCACTTGAACCCGGGAGGCAGAGTTTGCAATGAGCTAAGATTGTACCACTGCACTCCAGCCTGGGCAACAGAGCAAAACCCCACCTAAAAATAAATAAATAAATAAATAAATAAATAAAAATAAAACAAAGAAAATAAATCACCAATAAGCACAAGAAAATACACTCAATTTCTGTCTTAGTCTGTTTGTGCTGCTATAACAAAATACCTGAGACTGAGTAATTTAGAAGCAAAAAATTTACTCCTCACAGTTCCGGTGGCTGGTAAATCCAAAATCAAGGTAATAGCATATTTGGCATTTGGTGAGGGCCTATTCCATTGTTCCTGTTCTCACAGTGGCATCTTCACATAGCAGGAAAAGAAAGGAAAAAAAAGAAGAAATGCTATGTGAAGCCTTTTTATAAGGGCATTAATTTCATTCACGAGGGCAGAGCACTCATGACTTAATCACCACCTTGAAGGCCTCACTTCTTAACACCATCACATTAGGTCTTAGGTTATAACTTGAATTTTGGAGGACACAAACATTCAAACCATAGAAACATTATTAGCCATCAGGGAAGTGCAAATCCAAACCACATTAAGAAACCACTTCACACTCACAGGAATGGCTATAATAAAAAGACAGATAATAACAAGTGTTGGAGAGAATGTGGAAAAATTGAAACACTCATATGTTGCTGGAGGGAATGTAAAATGCTTTGCAATGAAGTTGGAACTGCTTTGGAAATAGTCTGGCAGTTCCTCCAAAGTTTAAACATAGAGTTATCATATGACCTGGCAATGCCAGGCTTCATCATATTCCCAAGGGAAATGAAAACATGTGTCCACACAAAAACTTATATGTGAATGTTCATAGCAGCATTATTCATAATAGTCAAAAAGTGGAGACAGCTGGGCATGGTGGCTCCCAACACTCTGGGAGGCCAAGGCAGGAGGATCGCTTGAGGTCAGGAGTTTGAGACCAGCCTGGCCAACATAGTGAAATCCGATCTCTACTAAAAATACAAAAATTAGCGGGACATGGTATACGTGCCTGTAATCCCAGCTACTCGGGAGGCTGAGGCAGGTGAATGGCTTCAATCCAGGAGGTGGAGGCTGCAGTGAGCCAAGATCACACCACCGTACTACAGCCTGAGTGAAAGACTGAGACTCCATCTCAAAGAAAAAAAAAAGTGACAAACAGATAAATGAAATGTGTTGTATTCCTACAACAGAATATTATTGAGCCATAAAAAAAAAGGAAATAAGTACTGACACATGCTATAACATGAATGAACCTTGAAAACATTAGGTTACTTGAAAGAAGCCAGTCACAAAAGACCACAAATTGTATGGTTCCATTTATATGAAATGTCAAGATAGGCAAATCCTATCCTAAAAGAAAGTAAATTAGTGGTTGCCTAGGACTGAGGGATGGAGGAAATGGGGAGTGACTGCGCATGGGTATGGGATTTCTTTTTGGGAGAAATGAAAATATTCTAAAGTTGATTGTGGTGGCCGGGCACGGGGGTTCATGCCTGTAATCCCAGCACTTTGGGAGGCCGAGGCGGGTGGATCACCTGAGGTCGGGAGTTCAAGACTAGCCTGACCAACGTGGAGAAACCCCCTCTCTACTAAAAATACAAAATTAGCCAGGCGTGCTGGTGCATACCAGGCTGAGGCAGGAAAATCGCTTGAACCAGGGAGGTGGAGGTTGTGGTGAGCTGAGATCATGACATTGCACTCCAGCCTGGGCAACGAGGGAAACTCGGTCTCAAAAAAAAAAAAAAAAAAAATGACTGTGGTGATGACTGCAAAACTCTGTGAATATATTAAAACCCATTGAATTATACACTTTTAATTGGTGAACTGCCTGGTTTGTGACTTAAACCTCAATAAAGTTGTTACAGTTTTTAAAATCGCTATATGTAAGGCAATGTTCTAGGTGTTGCAAATACAGAAATTGTCATATGTCTTCTGTTTACCTTTCTAGACCCACTCTTCCCCCATCTCCACTCTGCTCTCAGAGGCTGACCTTATAATCCACATCAAAAGGGTTCCCATGTCTTGGTTGGGTTTGGCCAACTGGTAATCCAGGCAGGAAATTAGAGTGGAAAGGAAGGTAGGCTCAGGATACTTACTGTTTCATCTCCCTCACTGAGAGGGGACCTTGGGCTGGCTGTGTCTCTCCAGTGAAGGCCACTGCTCTTCCAGGGCAGCCGATTTTACACGCTGACTCTTTTAGGTTCAACTGACCACTATTCCCCTTGCCATTTTGGGTCTAAAGATGGTAACATGGCAGCTGCTACTGGCTCCGGGATACTACACTCATTTTTATGATTCCTCTACCCTTTTACATTTGTAAATAACCCTTTACTAAATAAAATAAATACTGTGTCAATAAACTTTACAGTTGAGCAACAAAAAGGAATGAAATACTGACACATGCTAGCACATGAATGAGCCTTGAAAATGTTATGCTGAGTCAAAAAAGCCAGTCACAAAAAAACACGTCACATAGTGTATGATTCCATTTATATAAAATGTCCAGTAATTATTCTGACTGTTCCATCGTTTTTCTGTTGAGACCCTTACTGAACCAGACAAAGCCTTTGCTATCTTAGAGCTTTTGTTCAATGGTCAAAGAAAAGGGGAATAAGAATGTTGGCCGGGCACGGTGGCTCATGCCTGTATTCCCAGCACTTTGGGAGGCTGAGGCGGGTGGATCACAAGGTCAAAAGATCAAGACCATCCTGGCCAACATGGTGAAACCCCATCTCTACTAAAAATACAAACATTAGCTGGGCATGGTGGTATGCTCCTGTAATCCCAGCTACTCGGGAGGCTGAGGCAGGAGAATCGCTTGAACCCAGGAGGTGGAGTTTGCAGTGAGCTGAGATCGTGCCACTGCACTCCAGTCTGGTGAGAGAGTGAGACTCCATCTCATAAAAAAAAAAAAAAAAAAAAGAATGTTTCAGGCAAAGGGAAGAGAAGTGCCATGGTGCTATTTCAGGCAGAAGCTTGTCAGGTTTGCTGTGATGTGGCCAATGTGGAAGGACTCAGTGGGAAGGAAAAGAGATGAGGGCAGAGTAGTGGGCAGGGCCAAGATAAAATAAAGCCATATGCATACTGCTACATTTTTTACTTGTCTAATATATTTCATTAAATATAGACAAAACTTATTATAAATAAAGATATAACTTTTGATGTTTGTAAGGTCATCTGTTATTTGCACTCCTTTTTTTTTCTTTTTTTTTTTTTTTTTGAGGCAGGGTCTCACTCTGTCACCCAGGCTGGAGTGCAGTGGTGCGACCACAGCTGACAGCAGCCTCGACCTCCTGGGCTCAAGCACTCCTCCCACCTTAGCCTCCTGAGTATCTGGGACTACAGACACATGCCACCGTGCCCCACTAATTTTTTATTTTTTGTAAAGACAGGGTTTCTCCATGTTACCCAGGCTGGTCTCAAACTCCTGAGTTCAAACAATCTGCCCACCTTGGCCTCCCAAAAAGCTAAGATTACAGGCATGAGCCACTGTGCCTGGCTTGTTATTTGCATTTGTGATTTTAAAATTCCATGTTTTTTATCATAAGATTGTCAGGTGCTTTCTGGACAGGAAATGACTTAATTTATGACTCAAAATACAAACAAATGTAGGTGATCAAATGCATATCTATGTCTTCAATGGAAATATATATACATATAAGTCATTAATGAAGACAAATGAGAACATGAAATTCATGATATATTTTCTTTTCCATCATCTAGCCCCCTAAAGGAGAGATCTGTTTCATTCAGAGCCCTGGGTTTTGTTTTGTTTCATGATTTGCTTTTTTTTTTTTTAAATAAGAGTTTATTTATTTATTTATTTATTTATTTGAGACAGGGTTTCACTCCCATCAGCCAGTCTGGAGTGCAATGGTGTGATCTCAGTTCACTGCAACTTCTGCCTCCTGGACTCAAGTGATGCTCTTGCCTCAGCCTCCCGAGTAGCTGGGAGTACAGGCACGTGCCACTGCATCCAGCTAATTTTTTGTAGAGACAGGGTTTCACCATGTTGGCCAGGCTGGTCTTGAACTCCTGAGTTCAAGCGATCCGTCTGCCTCTGCCTCCCAAAGTGCTAGGGTTATAGGAATGAGCCACCGTGTGGCCAAAAGAGTTTATTTTTTAAAGAAAATTGACTTCTTTGAAAAAGTAGAAATGAGGCCGGGCGCGGTGGCTCACACCTGTAATTCCAGCACTTTGTGAGACCGAAGCGGGTAGATCGCTTGAACTCAAGAGTTCGAGGCAAACTTGGCCAACGTGGTGAAACCCCGTCTCTACTAAAAATACAAACATTAGCCGGGTGTGGTGGCAGGTGCCTGTAATCCCAGCTACTTGGGAGACTGAGGCAGGAGAATCGCTTGAACCCGGGAGGCGGAGGTTGCAGTGAGCCAAGATCGTGCCATTGCACTCCACCCTGGGCAACGAGAGCAAAACTCCATCTCAAAAAGAAAAGAAAAAGTAGAAATGAGGAAGTGGCCAGCCTGTGTGGGGATCTAATCAAACAAATCTTCCCTTGATGAGGGTAGTGCTTAAGTTGAAAAAAAATTTGCCTATATAATAAATATTGCAATACTTTATTTTATTATTTTTTTTTGAGATGAGGGTCTCGCTGTGTTGCCCAGGCTAGTCTTAAACTCTTGGGCTCAAGGGCTTCTCCTGCCTCAGCCTCCCCAGTGGCTGGGCTAATAGGCACACACCACCGTGCCCAGCTCTACATACTGCTTTTTTTTTTTTTTTTTTTTTTTTGAGACTGAGTCTCACTCTGTCGCCCAGGCTGGAGTGCAGTGGCGCGATCTCCGCTCACTGCAAGCTCTGCCTCCAGGGTTCACACCATTCTCCTGACTCAGACTCTGGAGTAGCTGGGACTGCAGCCTCCGGAGTAGCTGGGACTACAGGCGCCGGCCACCGCCTCCGGCTAATTTTTTGTATTTTTTAGTAGAGACGGAGTTTCACCGTGTTAGCCAGAATGGTCTCGATCTGCTGACCTCGTGATCCGCCCGCCTCGGCCTCCCAAAGTGCTGGGATTGCAGGCATCAGCCACTGCGGCCGGCTCATCCTGATTTTTTTTTTTTTTTTTTTTTTTGAGACTGAGTCTCGCTCTGTCGCCCAGGCTGGAGTGCAGTGGCGCGATCTCGGCTCACTGCAAGCTGCGCCTCCCGGGTTCACGCCGTTCTCCTGCCTCAGCCTCCCGAGTAGCTGGGACAACAGATGCACGCCACCACGCCCAACTAATTTTTTGTATTTTTAGTAGAAGACAGGGTTTCACTGTGTTACCCAGGATGGTCTCGATCTCCTGGCCTCGTGATCCGCCTGCCTCAGCCTCCCAAAGTGCTGGGATTACAGGCTTCAGCCACTGCGCCCGGCCCATACTGATTTTTAAATTAAAAAAACTACATTCTATATTCCCATCATAGCTTCTCCCTAATAAAATCTTTGTGAGTGTTTATGGGACTCCTTCCCTGGAAAATCTGCAAGCAGCCTGGTAGCTTTATATACATAGGAAAGCCAAAGGACAAACTAGGAATTATGTCAGAGATGGGGAAAGACTAAGGATCTTACCCAAATCAGTTGAAAATCAGCTTTAAGTATAAATGGGCCAGGTGTTGGTGGCTCACACCGGTAATCCTAGCACTTTGGGAGGCCAAGGCGGGCAGATCCCTTGAGGTCAGGAGTTCGAGACCACTCTGGCCAACATGGCGAAACCCCGTCTCTACTAAAAATACAAAAATTAGCCAGGCGTGGTGGTGTGTGCCTGTAGTCCCAGCTACTTGGGAGGCTGAGGCAGGAGAATCGCTTGAACCCCGGAGGCAGAGGTTGCAGTGAGCTGAGATCACGCCACTGCACTCCAGCCTGGGCGACAGAGCGAGACTCCATCTCAAAAAAAAAAAAAAAAAAGTATAAATGAAGTACAATTAACATTTTATAATTTTATAGAGCAAAAGTTCATAAAAATAAATATTCTAATTAAGTCTTTCTCCTACATCCTATAAACACTATTGCCGAACCCATTTAAGATTGTAGATAAATTATATCATGCCATGGGTAAAGATTTTCAATAAGGAGTTGCTGGGGTAAGAGTCAAAATTATCCAGCATAAATTCACTGACAGGGATTTCTGTTCAATCTTTTTAAAATTCTAATACCCAATTTATTTCCTCTAGAGAATAACTGATGTAGAATCATAACCTCTTTGGTGGACCTTGATTTTTCCATCTGTAAAAGTATAGAACTAGCTTGGTTTTTTTTTTGTTTGTTTTTTGTTTTTGAGGCGGAGTCTCGCGCTGTCGCCCAGGCTGGAGTGCGGCTGCGCGATCTCGGCTCACTGCAAGCTCCGCCTCTCAGGTTCGCGCCATTCTCCTGCGTCAGCCTCCCGAGCAGCTGGGACTGCAGGCGCCAGCCACCACACCTGGCTTTTTTTGTTTTTTTGTATTTTTAGTAAAGACGGGGTTTCACAGTGTTATCCAGGATGGTTTACAATCTCCTGACCTCGTGATCCGCCCGCCTCGGCCTCCCAAAGTGCTGGGCTGACAGGCCTGAGCCACCCCGCCCGCCCGGCTACAACTAGTTTTGAACTTAACAGTCAACAAATGCCTACCCTCTCCGTATCTGTCTGATTAGAGCGCCCTCATGTGTGCATTTGTTGTAATGTTTTAGAAATCTGAAAAAATATTAATCTCAGCAGTAAAACAATAAACAATGTCTTCATTTGCACATTTATGATAGCTTTAAGTATTACTCAGTAAATGCTAAAGGCAAATGCTGTAGTATGTTAATCTTACTGTCGTTGGCTATCAAACCTTTCATATGCCAATTTTATTCTAAAACAGTCAAGTGATTGTTTCGGTTTAAATTTTAATTTAATGACAAAGGATTTTTTCCCTTAAAACTTCTAAGTATTTCACTATAATATTATTTCCTCATTAGGCTTAAAGGAAAATATGTGGTCAATTGAGTTGTTATTTATTATACATGATAGCTTGACGTCATCATTTTAGGGAGAGAAAACAGCTCCAGGGACCAATTCTAACTCAGTTTTTTGATGTAAGCATTTACTTGTCGGCCAGGCACAATGGCTCACACCTGTAATCCCAGCACTTTGAGAGGCCGAGGCGGGTGGATCACGAGGTTAGGAGTTCAAGACCAGCCTGGCCAAGATGGTGAAAACCCATCTGTACTAAAACTATAAAAATTAGCCAGGTGTGATGGCCGGCACCTGTAATCCCAGCTGCTCGGGAGGCTGAGGCAGGAGAATCACTTGAACCCTGGTGGCAGAGGTTGCAGTGAGCCAAGATCACGCCACTGCACTCCAGGCTGGGCAATAAGAGTGAAACTCCATATCAAAAAAAAAAAAAAAAAAAAAAGAATTTACTAGTCTAAATCATAACAATGTAATTTCTTCCTACTCAAAGAGAGTACATTGGAGGAAGCCAAAAGAGAAGGTTATTTATTTATATACTTTACTTATTTATTTATTTATTTATTTTTGAGATGGAGTCTTGCTCTGTCACCCAGGCTGGAGTGCAGTGGTGTGATCTCGGCTCACTGCAACATCCGCCTCCCGGGTTCAAGTGATTCTCCTGCTTCAGCCTCCCTAGTAGCTGGAATTACAGGTGTATGCCGCCACCACTAGCTAATTTTTGTATTTTTAGTAGAGATGGGTTTTCACCATGTTAGCCAGGCTGGTCTCAAACTCCTGACCTCAGGTGATCCACCCGCCTCAGCCTCCCAAACTGCTGGGATTACAGGCATGAGCCACCAAGCCCAGCCTAGAGAAGCTTATTTTTTAAAAGAAAATACACACAAAAAAATCAAAATCTCCTAAGTCCAATTGTAATTTTTTTTGGCTTTTAAAAAATGTTAATGCCCTTAAATATTCTCCTATCCAGTCATTGTATTTTAAATGGCATTCCTCCAACAAATATTTGTTGAGCCTCCACTACGTGCCAGGATTGAAATTTCAAACTGAAGGAGGCAATAGCTACTGAAGTAAAGCAAAAAAAAGTACTGGTTGTTTTTCCTTCTATAAAATGACCTAGAAATAACCGCTTTACCCAGGAGAGTTGCTGTAATGATCTAATAACATGATATATATAACCACAATTTTAAAAGAATGAGGTGTTATTAAAATGTTTGCAAGAGAAACCCTAGTAATTCCAAGCACATATTTTAGGAATGGTTTCTTGTGTAGAAAATCCTTGAATGTGAGGCTCTGCTGATTTTTTTAATACATATTCTCTGCTTGTGCATGCAGATTTTTTTTTTTTTTTGAGACAGAGTCTTGCTCTGTCACCCAGGCTGGAGTGCATTGGCACTATCTTGGCTCACTGCAACTGCCACCTCCTGGTTTCAAGTGATTCTCCTGCCTTAGCCTCCTGAGTAGATGGAATTACAGGCGTGTGCCACTACACTTGGCTAATTTTTGTAATTTTAGTAGAGATGAGGTTTCACCATGTTGGCCAGGTTGGTCTGAAACTCCTGACCTCAGGTGATCCTCCTGCCTTGGCCTCCCAAATTGCTGGGATTACAGGCATGAGCCACCATGCCCAGTTGAATGTGTATACTTTAATTAAAATTTTTCTTCAAATTTTTCATGACAGGACAGAAAGTGGAAAGACAGAATTATGTCACCTAAGAAAAGAAGTCTGAACTGTTCTTTTCTTCATTGCCTCTTATGGTCTTTCTCTTAGCAAGGCATGGCACGAATTGGTTGGAGATGATACCAGTTGAGCCAAGAGGTCAGACCGGCTATACCAGACTAGACAGAAGGGAGCAATGGAAAAAATTCCCTGAACCCAGACACCAGCAGTCCTTGATATTCAAATGAAGGCAGCATATAGATTATCTTAGTGGCTCTGTGGTCCTAGGGCCCTGAGGAAAATGGAACAGACCGTGTTGGTTTCCTCCCATCATGGGTTGGAACCCACTTCCTATTCTCTGCCTCTTCTTTCCTGTCTCCCACATATCCACAGCCTCCCTTCCTGCTGTCCTCAACCCATTCAGAATCCTCCACTGTATTCCAGAAAAGTTTCATGCCCCACAATTCTGTCTTCTCCATAACCCAGTTTAAATTGTCATGTTTTCATATGGCCTATTGTTCAATTATCCCCAACTTTTTAAAGTGTGATGACCCCCTCCCTGCCCTTTAAAACTTATTATGGAAATCATTTAATATGCCAAAAGTAGATAAAAATCTAACAAATTCCTAGGTACCCATTATCTTGCTTTAACTACTAGCAACATATGAGACCAGGCCGGGCGCCATGACTCACGCCTGTAATCCCAGCACTTTGGGAAGCCGAGGTGGGTGGATCACCCGAACTCAGGAGTTCAAGACCAACCTGGCCAACATGGTGAAACCACCATCTCTACTAAAAATACAAAAACTAGCTGGGCACAGTGGCACATGCCTATAATCCCAGCTACCCGGGAGGCTGAGGCAGGAGAATTGCTGGAACAATGAGCCAAGACTGTGCCACTGCACTCCAGTCTGGGCGACAGAGCAAGACTCCAATTCAGAAAAAAAAAAGTTAGCCAGATGTGGTGGCACACGCCTGTAATCCCAGCTACTTGGGAGGCTGAGGCAGGAGAATAACTTGAATCCAGGAGGTGGAGGGTGCGGTGAGCCGAGATCATGCTATTGCACTCCAGCCTGGGTGACAGTGAGACTCTCTCAAAGACAAAAAACAAAACATATGAGACCAGCAGTTTGACTAGGTTAAAACACAGCATGAAAGTAGGTAGTGATTAGGGAATCAAACAACTTTTGAAATGAAAATTATTATAATAAGGTTGGGTGCAGTGGCTCATGCCTGTAATCCCAGCACTTTGGGAGGCTGAGGCGAGTGGATGACTTGAGGCCAGGAGTTCAGGAGCAGCCTGGCCAACATAGTGAAACCCTGCCTCCACTAAAAATACAAAAATTAGCCGGGCGTCATGGCGCAGGCCTGTGGTCCCAGTTACTCCGGAGGTTGAGGCACAAGAATTGCTTGACCCCGGGATGGGGAGGTTGCAGTGAACTGAGATCGCACTACTGCACTCCTCCAGCCTGGGCGACACAGTGAGACTCTGTCTCAAAATAATAATAATAACAATAATTTTTAAAAATAACACCTGATTTTGGGAGAGGCAAAAAATTTAAAAAAAGAAAATTATAATATTTGAAAGTAGAAAATCAATGGAAAGATTAAACAGATGAATAGTATGAATGAATAATTTGTGACCTAGAAGATAGCCCCAAAGAAGTTACCCAGAATGCACAGAGACAAAGAAATGGAAAGCGTGAAAGATCATGGGTCATGGACGATAGAGTGCAAAGATCCAATGTATACCTGGATTTCCAGAAGGAGGAAATAGAGAAAATGGGGCAGAGGCCATATTTGAAAGGTTATGACTGAGAATTTTCAAGAATTAATGAGACCCAAATTCTTAAAGAAACTCAGTGAACTGCAATCCAGAAAAAAAAAAAGAAATCCACATCAAGACACATCATAGTGAAACTACAGAAAACTGAAGAGAACGATCCTAAAACAGCTAGAGAGAAATATATCTTACCTACAAAGAAACAAATGAAAATGACAGCAGATTTCTCAACAGAAACAGAAGAAGCCAGAAGATAGCAGAATAACACTTCTAACGTCTGAAAGGAAAATCATTGTCAAACTGGAATTATATCCCAGTGAAACTATTTTTCAAAAGAGATCTTGAAACAATGATATGTTTTTCGATTATTGGGTGATGGAAGACACCAGCAGCCAGGAGTTCACATACCCTATAGGCAATTCTTGAGGTTTCTAATGAGAAATTCTGAGGAACTGGGGTTCGTAGAAGTGGCAAACACTCATAGGCTGAGAACATAAAAACACTCAGGAAACAATGACTCTAACCATAACCACCATCAACCCCACCTCAATTTTTAATCTCTGTAGCCCTTTGGTGACACTAGAGATATATGGTTCAACTTTGCAGATCTTGGGAGAGAGCACTTCTGCTCCATTTCCCCAGGACTACCGCCCCAAAAAGACTTTCCTAGGCCCCTCAGCTCCTAGGAGGAGTGGTTGGTTAATATGATTGGTCAGAGTTCAAGGCATTCCTTGGGCCTTATTTATTTCTCTTTTGTTCTCTTATAGAGGCCTCCTCTGCAGTCTGTGTCATGTTAGTTTCAGGGAGAAGAGAGAAAATATGGAACATAACAGAGCTGCATAGTGGGAGGTACTGGGTTTCCATTCCTTGTGTATACCTCTCTGTAGCTTCCTCGATCTAGAACGCCAAAGAGAAGAGGGCACCCAGGGACCTAGGCATTGCTTGGTCCCTAGATCAATACCATAATAATAACCTCAGAACCTCATCCATGTCTTCTAATGTGAATGCTCATCCCAACTCTGAAGTAATGAAGACTACGAGCTGCTCTCCCTGGGGAAAGTACAAGAGCCCACATCCGAACGCATGAGAAATAACTTACCTTCTCTCTCTCTCTCTTTTATTTTTTATCTATTTTTTATTTTTTGAGATGGAGTTTCGCTCTGTTGCCCAAGCTGGAGTGCAGTGGTGCGATCTCGGCTCACTGCAAGCTCTGCCTCCCAGGTTCAGGCAATTCTCCTGCCTCAGCCTCCTGAGTAGCTGAGATTACAGGTGTGCACCACCACACCCGGCTAATTTTTGCATTATTAGTAGAGATGAGGTTTCACCATGTTGGCCAGGCTGGTCTCAAACTCCTGGCCTCAGGTGATCTGCACGCCTTGGCCTCCCAAAGTGCTGGGATTACAGGTGTGAGCCACTGTGACCGGCCAATTAACTTACCTTCTCTAGGTTCACTTTTCTTATCTCAAAATGGAAGAAAAATATGGAATTCACAGGGAATTGAACATTAAATATTTTGATGAAATCACTTAGCACTCCAAAGATGCTAAATGTTTATTGTATTCATATAGAAACAGAACAAATTGCAAAAATGAAAACTGGATCCAAATACACACTGAATTCATGATATGATAAAACTAGAATTCCAGATCAGTGGGAGAAAGGTGGCTTATGCAGTAAATGTAATGAGACAACTGGTTAGACTTTAAAAAAAAGACCTAAATCATCACTTTATGCCAAAATAAACTACATATGCATCAAAAATTAAAGATAAAATATGAGACCAGAAAAGTACTAAGGGAAACATGGATGAATATTTTTCTAATCTTGGAGTGGAAAAGGCCTTTTAAAGCACGTGTTACCAAATTCAGAAGCTATAAGGAAAATTTTTTCTATAAATTTGGCTACATAAAAATTCAAGACTTAGACCTTTTCTAAAGACCTAAAAATCATACCTTTAAATGAAGGAAAAATATTCTATGATTTTGAATAGGAAGAATTAATATCATAAAGGTGCTAATTCTTTTATTAAAATATAAATGTAACATATAAATCCAAATTAGCATATAAGTGAAATTAGAATCAGAATACATCAATTTTTTAAAAAGCTAGACAGTAATTTTAACATTCATATAGAAGAATAAATGAGATGGTCAAGAATATTTGGAAAGGAAGACCAGCAAAGGAGACCTGTCTTATCATATATTAAACTTAAAATGAAGCTATGATAAATAAAACAGTATGCTGTCGGCACAGGAATAGACATCTAGATCATTAGAGAAAATAGCACAGTGGCTCATGCCTGTAATTCCAGAACTTTGGGAGCCCAAGGCGGGAGGGTGGCTTGAGGCCAGAATTATTTATTTATTTATTTATTTATTTACTGAGATGGGGTCTTTCTCCGTCACCCAAGCTGGAGTGCAGCGGCATGATCTTGGCTTACTGCAACCTCCACCTCCCAGATTCAAGTGATTCTCCGCCTCAGCCTCCCTAATAACTGGGACTACAGGCACCTGCCATCACGCCCAGGTAATTGTTGTATTTTTAGTAGAGGCAGGGTTTCACCATGTTGGCCAGGCTGGTCTCGAACTCCTGGCCTCTGGCCCACCTCATCCTCCCAGAGTGCTGGGATTACAGGCCACCACGCCTGGCCTGAGGCCAGGAATTCAAAACCAGCCTTGACAACAAAGTGAGACCCCATGTCTATAAATATTTTTTAAATTAGGCCGGGTGTGATGGCTCATGCCTGTAATTCCAGCATTTTGGGAGGCCAAGAGGGTAGATCACGGATCACTTGAGGCCCAGAAGTTTGAGACCACCCTGGGCAACGTGGCAAAACCCCATTTCTACGAAAAATAAAAATAAAAAAGGTAGCCGGGTGTGCTGGCATGTGCCTGTAGTCCCAGCTACCCAGGAGGCTGAGGTGGGAGGATTGCTTGAGCCCAGAAGTTTAAGGCTGCAGTGAGTTATGATCATGCTTGTATACTTCCAGCCTGGGCAACAGAACGAGACTCCATCTCTATTTTTTAAAACAAGAAAAATAGAACCCCAAAATTGATCGAACTACATGGCAATCTAATAAACGACTGATGTGGTTTGGCTGTGTCCCCACCCAAATCTCATCTTGAATTGTAGTTCCCATAATCCCCACATGTCGTGGAAGGACCCAGTGGGAGGTAATTAAATCATGGGGGCAGTTACCCCCACGCTGTTCTAGTGATAGTGAGTGAGTTCTCACAAGATCTGATGGTTCTATAAGGGGCTTTTCCCCCTTCGCTGGGCACTTCTCCTTCCTACCACCAGGTGAAGAAGGATGTGTTTGCCTCCCCTTCTGCTATGATTGTAAGTTTCTTGAGGCTTCCCCAGCCCTGTGCAACTGTGAGTTGATTAAACCTCTTTCCTTTATAAATCACCCGGTCCCGGGCAGTACTTTATAGCAGCATGAGAACAGACTAATACAAGGACCAAGATGACTTTTTATTTATTTATTTTATTTTATTATTTTATTTTTTATTTTATTTATTTTACGTTTCTGGCATAATTGAGTATACAACTAGAAGAAAATAAAGCTAGCTCCTATGGCAGACACCGCTAGTTCCCTACCCAATTTTCATTCAGAATCTTGATTTTGTTTAGGGCAGCAATGTGCCCAGACAAATCTATTTACCACCCTAGACTCTCTTGAAAATAAGAGTGGCCATGTCCCACTTGGTGAGACACAATTAGAAGTCTAATGGGTACAGTTTCCAGGAAAGCTATTGTTTTCTTGATAAAAAGAAAAGAAGGGTGTCCTTCACCCTATATTCTTCCTGCCCGTAACATGTAAATATGACCCTTTTAGTAAAGAAACTGGCTTGCCTGAAAAAGAAAATAATAGGCTGGGCATGGTGGCTCGTGCCTGTAATCTCAGCACTTTGGGAGGCCGAGGTGGGCAGATCACTTGAGGTCAGGAACTCGAGACCAGCCTGACCAACATGGCAAAACTCTTCTCTACTAAAAATACAAAAATTAGCCGGGCAAGGTACAGGTGCCTGTAATCCCAGCTACTCGGGAGGCTGAAGCAGGAGGATCACCTGAACCCGGGAGGCAGAGGTTGCAGCGAGCCAAGATCGCACCACTGCACTCCAGCCTGGGCGACAGAGCGAGGCTCCATCTTAAAAAAAAAAAAAGAAAGAAAGAAAGAAAAAAGAAAAGAATGATCCCTGAGTTGTGGAACCGAAAGGGAGAAGATGTCTGGATCTTTGATGGCATGGTGGAGCCACCACACCTGTCCTGATCTTTTACTTCTATTCTTCTTGTTATATGAAAAAACAAACCAAAAAAAAACTTTTTTTTTTTTTTTATTTGGAGACAGAGTTTCACTCTTGTTGCCCAGGCTGGAGTACAATGGCGTGATCTTGGCTCACTGCAACCTCCGTCTGCTGGGTTCAAGCGATTCTCCTGCTTCAGCCTCCCAAGTAGCTGGGATTACAGGCATGCACCACCATGCCCAGCTAATTTTGTATTTTTAGTAGAGTTGGGATTTCTTCATGTTGGTCAGGCTGGTCTCGAACCCCCGACCTCAGGTAATCTGCCCACCTCGGCCTCCCAAAGTGCTGGGATTACAGGTGTGAGCCACCATGCCTCACCCCTATTTGATTAAGGCATTGTAGTAGAGATTCTATTTTATAGAGTTGATTGCAAATTTGGGTCAATCAGCCACTATGTTATATCATGTAAGATAATATAACTTGAAATGCATTAGATATCTAAGTATAAAATAATAAAAATAAAAGTGAGGAGGTGTGTATGAAGAGAACTTGATTAAGAGGAATCATAAAGGAAAGTTAAGTTTTTTCCATGGTGAGAGCGTAAACGAAATTAAGAAAAAAACAATAGATTGGGGAAAATATTTGTAACACATATGAATGAAAGTCTGTAACATATAAATAGTTTCTACAAAGTAATTAGAAAGAAACTAATGACAAATAGAAAAATGGACAAAGGCTGCAAATAGGCAAATTGCAGAAGAGGAAATTCAAATGGTCAATAAAAATATAAAAAGATACTGTTCAGCCTCACTATTCAGGAAAAAGCAAATTAAAACAAGAAAGAGATGCCACTTTTCAGTGACTGACAAAAGTTATAAAGAGTAACCATATCTGCATCAGGCACGGTGGCTCATGCCTGTAATCTCAGCACTTTGGGAGGCCAAGGGAGGCAGATAACTTTGAGCTCAGGAGTTCAAGACCAGCCTGGACAACATGGTGAAACACCGTCTCTACAAGAAATACAAAACTGGGCTGGCCATGGTGGCTCATGCCTTTGGTCCCAGCTACTTGGGAAGCTGAGGCTGGAGGATCACTTGAGCCAGGATTAGAGGTTGCAGTGAGCTGAGATCATGCCACTGCATTCCAGCCTGGGTAACAGAGCGAAAGAAACCCTGTCTCAAACAAACAAATAAAAAGAGTAATCATACCTCATACTGAAAGCATGAGTAAAGGACACTCATACATGCTGGTGGGAATATAAATTGCTAAAGCCAATTTGGAAAATAACATTTGAGCTAGCAGTCTGTTTGGGAAATCTATCCTACAGAAATAAAAGCATCAATATGTAACCAAGTAGCTCAGCTTCAAAATGCGTTTTGAAACTTTTTTCCTTTCTTACATTTAGCCTTGAAACATACTTTAAAATTATTTGTTGGCTGGGCCTGGTGACTCATGCCTGTAATCTCAGCACTTTGGGAGACCGAGGTAGGTGGATCACTTGCGGCCAGGAGTTTGAGACCAGCCTGGCCAACATGGTGAAAGCTTATCTCTACTAAAAATACAAAAATTAGCTAGGCGTGGTGGTGCAAGCCTGTAATCCCAGCTACTCGGGAGGCTGAGGTAGGAGAATAGCTTGAACCCAGGAGACAGAGGTTGCAGTGAGCAGAGATCATGCTACTGCACTCCAGCCTGGGCAACAGAGTGAGACTCTGTCTCGAAAATAAATGAATAAATAAAGCTCTTTGTTTCTCTCCCTTCCCACCAGATAGATACTCTTGTGCACAGTGCTCGCTTATCTAATTATGCACATATTTAGAAACTCCAGGGGCTAATTTTGAAATACATCAGGCATGAAGACCCAACTGCTAAATACCAGAGATCACCTCAAGGCAGTTAATCTACAACCTGGCCATTGTTGAGATGATGAGATGACAGCAGCCCACGTCAGGGGACCGTGACTCAAGATAGCCCTGGAACAAGATACACAGGCCTCGTACCCAGCACCACTCCCGCATGGTCTCCATTCCAAGTTCCCCTTTTTATCTATCTATCTATCTATCTATCTATCTATCTATTTATCTATTTATTTTTTGAGACAGAGTCTTGCTCTGTCACCCAGGCTGGAGTGCAGTGGCATGATCTCGGTTCCCTGCAATCTCCACCTCCCAGGTTCAAGCGATTTTCCTGCCTCAGCCTCCCAAGTAGCTGGGATTACAGGCATCCACTACCACCACCAGGCACGGCTAATTGTTTTGCATTTTTAGTAGAGATGGGGTTTCACCAGGTTGGCCAGGCTGGTTTCAAACTCCTGACCTCAAGTAATCTGCCCGCCTTGGCCTCCGAAAGTGCTGAGATTACAGGCGTGAGCAACAGTGCCCGGCCAAGTTCCCCTAAATTCCTGAGTTTACAGGCTTGAGCCACTGTGCCAGGCCATATTATGTAATTTATTTATTTATTTATTTATTTATTTATTTATTTATTTATGAGACAGAGTCTGGCTCTGTTGCCCATGCTGGAGTGCAGTGGCGCGATCTCTGCTCACTGCAAGCTCCACCTCCCGGGTTTTTGCCATTCTCCTGCCTCAGCCTCCTGAGTAGCCAGGACTACAGGCGCCCGCCACCACGCCCGGCTAATTTTTCTATTTTTTAGTACAGATGGGGTTTCACCATGTTAGCCAGGATGGTCTCAGTCTCCTAACCTTGTGATCCGCCCACCTTGGCCTCCCAAAGTGCTGGGATTACAGGCATGAGCCACCGCGCCCAGCCCATATTACGTAATTTTTAAAGCCAGTGTTATGGTCCTCATCTGTTAGTTCAGAGCAGCGAGGTCCAGTGGAAATATAACGTGAGCCATATGTGTAGTTTAAAATTTTTAGCAGTCATATTAAAAACAGTAAAAGGAAACGGGCTCACATCCCAGATAAACACCCAGGTCTTTTTAAAAACTCAAGCGTGGCTGGGCACGGGGCTCATGCCTGTAATTCCAGCACTTTGGGAGGCCAAGGCAGGCAGATCACGAGGTCAGGAGTTCGAGACGAGCCAGCCTGTCCAACATGGTGAAACCTCATCTCTACTAAAAATACAAAAAGTAGCCAGGTGTGGTGGCACGTGTCTGTAATCCTAGCTACAGGAGATGCTGAGGCAGGAGAATTACTTGAACCTAGGAGGCGGAAGTTGCAGTGAGCCGAGATCGCGCCATTGCACTCCAGCCTGGGTGACAGAGTGAGACTCCATCTCAAAAAAAAAAAAAAAAAAAAAAAATCAGGTGTGCTAACAAGGGCTTGTAGTTCCAACTATTTGGGAGTCTGAAGAGGAGGATCATTTGAGCCTAGGAGTTCCAGCCCATAGCGTGCCATGATTGTGCCTGTGAATACCGTAAATAGCTAGTACACTCCAGCCTGGGCAACATAGTTTTTTGTTTGTTTGTTTGTTTGTTTTTTTAAAGAGACAGGGTCTTGCTCTGTTGCCCAGGCTGGAGTACAGTGAGTGGCATGATGATAGCTCACTGCACCTTGAACTCCTGGGCTCTAGCAATCCTTAACATTCAGTTTGTTTGTTTGTTTGTTTGTTTGTTTAGATGGAGTTTCACTGATGTTGCCCAGGCTGGAGTGCAATGGTGCGATCTCGGCTCACTGCAACCTCTGCCTCCTGGGTTCAAGCGATTCTCCTGCCTCAGCCTCCTGAGTAGCTGGGATTACAGGCACGCGCCACCATGCCTGGATAATTTTTGTATTTTTAGTAGAGACGGGGTTTCACTACGTTGGTCAGGCTGGTCTCAAACTCCTGACCTCAGGTGATCTACCCTCCTCGGCCTCCCAAAGTGCTGGGATTATAGGCATGAGCCACTGCACCTGGCCAACACTCACTTTAAAAAATACCTCAGCCTTCCCAGCAGCTGGGACTACAGTCATGTGCCACAATGCCCAGCTAAAATTAATTTAATAACATGCTTTATTTAACCCAATATACCCCTAAACATTACCATTGCAACATGTGATCAATTAAAAAAATTACTGGTGAGATACTTTACATTCTCTTTTATGTTCTAACTCTTAGAAATCTGATGTGTATTTTACATTTACAGCATAATTCAATCCAGATTAGCCACATTTCAAGGTTTTGTTTTATGGTTTTGTTTGTTTGTTTTTTGGATTACTTCACTTTTATTATAAACAAACACAATCTCAGATTAGTACAATTAGCTTCAGAGTTGATGTTAATAGAAATTATTCCAAAATTATTCTTGTCACAAGTAACTACTATGTCCCACATAAAAAGGGAAAAAATCCCACCCAATCACAGAAAAGGCATCCTCTGTATGTTTCCGTGGCAATGTGTTTTTTATGCATTCTCAAATTTTGTCTGGCTAGTTAATCCACTGCTTCTCCAATGGATTCATTCAATTTTTTGGAGAACCATATAGACTAATGACAGCATCTGGGACACACGGACATATCAAGTTGATGGTGGACATTGCTATTATAAAAAATACTCAGGTCTTGAGAATCCCTGTGCTGAAGGATCCCAAAATGCTTTCTAAAAAGCATTAGTCACGCCTCAAAACTGCCCTTTGAGGTAGGTCAGTATTATCATCCCCATTTTAACAGAAGGAAAACTGAGGCACCTTATAGTTAAGTGACTTGCCCAGGGTGACATAGCAAGTCAGTGGCACAGTGGTAGGAGAGGCCCTGGCCTTAACCACCAGCGTAACATGGCCACCTCACTTTTTTAACCTTTCATGATGACCTATTTGAGCTACACTTAGAGAGAATACACCCAAGATACTAGCAAACCGAGGAGAAAATTTTCCATTTTAAATGCTACAACCATCTTTTAACCTTAAAAATATATATATATATAAATCAAATACATTCAAATTACTTCCACCCTCCATCAAATGTGGGCACTTAAAAGCAGCCCTAACAAAAGTTTCCAGAATGAAGCCCAGAAGGGAATCCTGCAAATCGCGATACTGATAATCCTTCACTCAGGCCCCTTTTTCTACCAGCCACTTCAGTAGGCTCTCAGGTGCAAAGGGATTCCACAGAGGGAGTGAGGGCAGGCTCATATGCAACACTATGATTAGAAAAGATGTAAGGCACCCGAGTTAAGTTGCCAGCACAGCCCCGAAGCAAGGACTGTTAGAAATCCAGACTCTTGATCAGATCTGAGTTTATCATTAATGTGTCACTTGAATTGAGCTTTAGAATCTTGAGAATAGTGTTCCTTACTCAGCAGATACACCCACACCCACACCCACAGCCACACATACATTGGGGCCCTCAGCCTGAGGGTGCCATCCAGCCTTATGTAGGGTCATGGTACAGATCAGATCCATGGCACACGATTACAATAGGAAGAAGTGAAAGTTGTTTTTATCGTTCATATATCATCAAGAAGGCATCTTATGACCTGTGGAATTAGAAATAACAGCAGACATTTCCAAGGGGTAGGTGCACAGGTCAACAGAGCTAAACTACAGTGATCTTCCCTTAGATTCTTTTCTACTGAGGTGAATAGCTCAAAACACAAGGATGCCTTTAGTCCAGGCTAACCCCTGTAGCCTCCATGCAATTAACACAGGAAGAAAGGCCCTCCTTCCTTCCAGCACTGGGGCTCAACAGTGGACTGAGTGTTTGGTAGTGTACATTTCCAATCTTAATAGAGCAAAGCCAGGCTTCTGCTTTGATGACTGAGCTACAGGGACAGGAGTAGTCCAAGGTTCTCAAAACACTGATGTTCTGTTTCTGTTTTTGCCAGACTTCTATACTATTCCCTAGGCTATAGGGAATGCTGGTTAGTTTGCTGAACAGACACTCTGTTCAGCAGGGTTTGTGGTATCTCAAATCCCAGGTCTCAGCCAAAGGTTTGCAGTTCACCCTGACTCCAGGGAACAGGGCCTCCTTTTGAGGTGAGGCACTTGGGTTCTTGCCCTTGCTTCTTCCCAGTGAGAACTGTTTCCTCCTACTTCTACAAGCATTGCACTGCCAGCTGAGAGCACTGATTCAGGTGGGGCACCCTTACCGAGCAAGCAGAGGGGCATTCAGCATGCTCTCTGGTTCTGATCCAGAGAGAGGGGACTGAAAATAAACCCTCGTTTGCTCTGTGGCAGGCCCACTGGCTCATGAGCACTTGGCTTGGCTGTGCCTCATGAGAGAGGGAGGGAGAGAGAGGCTTTCTGGGCCAGAGACATTTCTGGGAGGGTTTGCCAGCCTTGTCTTGAGCCATCAGTGTGGCGGGGGAGCACAGAGGTGTAGGTGGAGACACTCCGGAGGCCATGCGAAAGTGGCAGCTAGCTCTACTTTCGGAAGAGAAGCAGTGGTTCAGTGACCCTGAGCATTCTGTCTGCAGGAGGGAGCTGCCTGGACAGCAAGTCATCACTGCCTCTGAATACACCCAAAGGAGGCTGCCTGTCCAGGGAAAGAAGAAAACGTTCAGGGAAGAGAAAGATCTAGTAAAAGAAAAGGGACAGACAGGGTAGAACCAGGAATCAAGAATCAGGGTAGTGAAGAGATTCCTAACCCTGCCCCCCAGGCAGTTCTATACTTAGGCTAGATGTTAACAGAGCCCCCCACCCCGCCAATAAAAAATGAGTGAAGGGGCACAACACTGTGGGGAGAAGCCTTCTAGTTTTTACTCATTTCAAGGAGAAACTGGAACTAATTAATGAATGGACCTAATATCTAGTTTATTTTATTAAGACTCCCAATAACTCACTCAGTAACCTTCTCAAGCCCCCGGCAATGTGTTCTCAGATCCCTTCCTGTGTGAAGTTTGCTCTTAGAAGCTGCCTATAGATCCTGTCCCTCAACCTCCCCATCTCATGTACAGCAGTGGAGAGGAAATTGGCATCCCAACTAATTCCTCCTCTCCTTCAGAGTTTTTTCAAACATCCCTCTTTGGGAGGGAAATACTCTAATAGTTTAACGTTCTAAGCAATGTATATATGTATATATATATTTCTTGTTTGACCCGACTCCACCTCCTAAAATCCTTCCCTTTTTTTGGATGGTTGGAAATGCCACAGCCATCTTATTACTATGAGGGGAACAACCAATATCCTGAAGATGGCAGAGCAGAAAGAGGAAAGAACTGTGATGAGCAGCTCATGGAATACTCAAAATTCTGTGAGCTGCTGTTTTTACCAATTATGGAAACACCCAACTTCAAGAATTCTTGATACATGAACTAAGAAATCTCCTTGTTATTAAAGAAAAAAAGAAAAGAAAACCCTTCCCCAGCAGAGACCACTTTTACTACAAACTTAAAGTGTCTCTTCTTTATCCTTGGCCTAAACTATATGTTGCGGCATTGAATTAGCATTGCCAAACACCACAGCCACTTCTTACCCCAAGCCAGGAGAGAAAGGAAGCATGCTATGTGGTGGGGCTTGAAGTCCTCACTAGGTAGGCAGCTGCATGTCTGATCATGGCAAGAGGTTCCTCTTGCTTCGCTTCCCTCATCCTTACATTCATACATGCTAACTCTCTCCCCCAACAATTTACCTGCTTTAGAAGCTTTGTGTCAAATGAAGTTGCTTTTCCATTCCATCTAGCAAAAGCCTGGGCTGAAGATAATTAACAGGGGACTACCCAGAAGATTCTGTTTTATCTCTAGCTCAAGCCACCTACTTCAAAGCTCACAACAGCTCAAGGAAAGAGAGTTATCTGGAGCAGAGACCATTCGTTTTAGGCTACAGAAAGGTTGTCTAGGCTTTGGAAGCTGGACACTGAACAAAGACTGACCAGCTGCTTGCCTGGGTGGCAATAAGAGAAAGGAGGATGATAGCAACAAAGTGAAAAGGAGGACAATGGGCCTAGAAGAGAGAGAGGATAAGAGAAGAAATAATGTCAGTTTAGCATCATAAAGGCAGAGTTGTTGGCTTTCAATACTTTCGAATTTTAAAAGAATACTGTACTGGAATGGGTTATCATCATCATCTTTAGCATCCTGGTAGCATTATTCAGTAGTTAATAAACAGACATTAAAACCTCTGCCTGGCTGGCTTTTGAAGAAGGAACCTGAGGGACCCCAAACTCAGCCACTCTTGTAGTTTCCCTCTCCGGTTCTTTTAATCCTGGCCAAGATGGCGGCCTTGGAGACTTTCTTCTGGTCGTAGGCCAGACCGAAGGCGGCCATGCAATCAATGAAGAATGTGGTGAAGTTGATGTGCCAGCGGTACTCACTGGCAGAGTAGTCATAGGGAAAGGAGTGGTGGTAGTTGTGAAAGCCCTCACCCACAGCTCCAAGTGAAACCAGGATATTCTCCCGGAGGCTAATGTTCTTGTCATAAGGACGATATCTGAAGAGGTGGGCAGCACTGTTCACCAGCCACGTGGCATTAAGCACCACAGCATATCGCAAGAAAGTGGCAACGAACACGCTGTTTTGAAAAGTTTCACCCCAGAAACACCAGGGCACAAGCGTGGGCAGGATGAAGCACATCAACAGCAAGCCGGGTTTGTAGTACCTCCTCTGGAACATCACCAGTTTCTCGGCTTCTAGGTCAGACAAGTCTAGCGTACTGCCCTTCTCTTTGACAGTTGGGTGTTTGCGCACAAGCAGCCAACCCACGTGAGAGAAGAAAAAGCCACGTCAGGAATTATGAGGATCAGCATGTGTTTCTGAAAACTTGTGGTGGGCACGGTGGTCGCGAGCCCATTCATAGACATCATTCTGGAATGCCATTGTGTTGGCAATGATCAGAAAGAGCCACAGGGACAGCCGAGCTTTGTAAGATCAGTGGCTCCACAGAGGATGAGCTCCTGCTGTTATGCCCAGGGCACTGATAAAATAGTAGAATACCCCCCAAAGCCAGGTGTATAAGTTGCAGGTAGGAATCAAAGTGATCCCATACAGGGCGCCCAAGTGTAGCAGAGACATAAGGATGATGTTTCTCCAGACATATTCAACCTTGGGGCTTGGGCCTTCCTTATCCTTGTAGGTGAGGTTATATATATCATCTTTTATATCAGGGCGAATGTCTTCTTCCAAGTAGAGGGGCGTCGTCTCCAACTTATCTCCTCCATTCTGCGGGACCCTGGAAGGAGGCGCTGTAATGGTGGTGGTGGTGGTGGTATAGGAGCTAGAGATATCGTCCTGCAGCAAGTGGGCCGGCATCTTGGCTCTCGGATGCCAGGATCACTTTCCAGGGGCTGAGGCTCCGGGGCGGAGTTCGGGGTCGCCGGAGGACTGCGATTTCGAAGCCCGCCGGTGCGCGCTGAGCCGCGGCGCCTTGCACGCTAGCTGGGTGTCGGCGCTAGCCGCGGTGCGTGGAGGTGCCCGATCCGGGAATTTAAAGGCTAGAGCTGGCAACGGGTGACCGTGTCCGGTATTTCCTCAGCCCCCTTTTATTGGCTGCCAAGCAGGGGCAACGTGCGCGGAGTTGACTGGCGCGAGCGGTCCCGCGTGGAGGTGAGGGCTGGAAGGGGAGGAGACAGAGGCCGAGGCTCGCGGCGACCGCAGCAGGGCGCCGGGGATGCTGCCGACACCGACACCACACCACCCGGCCCCTGTTTGTTTGTTTTTTAAGACAGGGTCTCACTCTGTCACCCAGGCTGGAGTGCTGTGGTGCCATCATGGCTCACTGCAGCCTCGATCT
The DNA here is from genome assembly GCF_000001405.40 of Homo sapiens. Taxonomy (NCBI): domain Eukaryota; kingdom Metazoa; phylum Chordata; class Mammalia; order Primates; family Hominidae; genus Homo; species Homo sapiens. The sequence continues at coordinate 20,784,163 of NC_000017.11, read as the reverse complement.
TCCAGGCTGAGATGATCCTGCCGCCTCACCGTTCCAAGTAGCTGGAACTACAGGTGCATGCCACCACACTTGACTAATTTTAAAATTTTTTGCAGAGATGGGGTCTGGCTGTGTTGCCCAACCTGATCTTGAACTCCTGGGTTTAAGTTATCCTCCTGCCTTAGCCTCCCAAGTGCTGAGATAATAGGCATTAACCACCATGCCCAGCTTCAAGTTTTCAATAGCTACCTGTGGCTAGCGGCTACTGCACTGGACGACACTAGTCTAGTCTAGGGCAGAGTCCATGATACATGGACATTACAGATGCAAACGTATGATTTCCCTCCACTTTTTTTTTTTTTTTTTTTTTTTTTTTTTTTTTTTTTGAGACCGAGTCTTGCTCTGTCACCCAGGCTGGAGTGCAGTGGCACGATCTCAGCTCACTGTAACCTCTGCCTCCCACGTTCAAGCAATTCTCCTGCCTCAGCCTCACGAGTAGCTGGGATTACAGGCACACGCCACCACACCAGGCTAATTTTTGCATTTTTAGTAGAGACGAGGTTCCACCATGTTGGCCAGGCCGGTCTCTTAACTCCTGGCCTCAAGTGATCCGCCTGCCTCGGCCTCCCAGAGTGCTGGGATTATAGGCGTGAACCACCGCGCTCGACCTCATCAATCTCTTAAAGAGAATCCAGCTTTATTACTGCCAGTACCTGACCAAACTGCTTCTATATTTGCCCTGGGAAAAATGGACAAAGGGAAATACTGTTAATTCATGAATAAAAACTTTGCAGAAAATTAGCCGGGTTTAATTTTCAAAAACTTCCCTCTTTGTTTGGTAGATACCAGCTACTGATGACTACATATACTAGGGAAAGTTTAAAATTAGGAAATGCCGATTTCTCACATTATGAATTTCTAAATCCTGTGAAGAAAAGCTTAAAGAGCTTCTGAATATACAGAAGTTCCACTTAAGGACTAGGTCGTCCTTGTAGATGCATCAAAATACTACAAATTCCAAATTGAGACTTAATTCTTAAGTGTGTTTTACTTGTTCTAAAACAATCTGTCCACAAACATAAAACTATAAGTAATAAATTGTTATTTTCCCACTGTGGGAATCTTTAGTGTGAAAAAGTATTCTATGAAAAGAATTTTTTAAAAAATAAATTATACAATAAAAAATATGTACAAAATGGGTTACAGAGGACAGATTTGTATACGCATAGATAAAGATATGGAAGGTAACACACAAAACTGTTAACAGGGCCAGGCATGGTGGCTCACGCCTGTAATCCCAACACTTTGGAAGGCCGAGGTGGGTGGACTGCTTGAGGCCAGGAGTTCGAGACCAGCCTAGCCAACATGGCAAAAACCTGTCTCTACAAAAAAATACAAACAAACAAAAAATTAGCCAGACATGGTGGCACACGCCTGTAGTCCCAGCTACTTGGGAGGCTGAGGTACAAGAATCTCTTGAACCCAGAAGGTGGAGGTTGCAGTGAGCCAAGACCGTGCCACTGCATTCCAGCTTGGGTGACAGAGTGAGACCCTGTCCCCTCCCCCCTCCCAAAAAGTGTTCACAGTAGTCACTACTGAAAAATGGGATTTAAGATGAACAACAGAATTTTACATTTTTAAAAATTCCCTACTAACTTGAATATTTTTATAATAAATATATATAACTTAAGAATAAAAGTAAAAAAAAAAGAGGTATCATATTCAGATAGAGTCTGAGTTTTCATTAAACTATTTAATACATGAGTTCAATATTTGTCTAAAAAAGCAATCTCTAAAATTATGCATCATAAGGTTGGATGCAGTGGCTAATGCCTGTAATCCCAGCTCTTTGGGAGGCCAAGGCAGGCAGATCACTTGAGATCAGGAGTTCAAGACCAGCCTGGCCAACATGGTAAAACCCCATCTCTACTAAAAATGAAAAATTAGCCGGGCTTGGTGGCCCACACCTGTAATCCCAGCTATTCAGAAGGGTGAGACAGGAGAATCGGTTGAACCCAGGAGGCGAAGGTTGCAGTGAGCCAAGATGGCACCGCTGCACTCCAGCCTGAACAACAGAGCAAGACTCTGTCTCAAAATAAATAAATAAATAAATAAATAAATAAATAAATAAATAAATAAAATGATGTATCATAAAAGTAACTTTAGGTGTATCAATTAAAGACTTCAGGCTGGGCACAGTGGCTCAGACCTATAATCCCAGCACTTTGGGAGGCCGAGGCAGGAGGCTTGTGTGAGCTCTTGAGAGTTCAAGACTAGCCTGGGCAACATAGCGAGACCCTGTCACTACTAAAAAAAATAAGCCTGGCGTGGCACTGCCTGCCTGTAGGCCCAGCTACTCTGGAGGCTGAGGTGGGAGGATTGCTTGGGCCTGGTACTCAAGGCTGCAGTGAGCCATGGTTGCAACACTGCTCCCCAACCTGGGTGACAGAGCAAGACCCTGTCTCAAAAAAAAAAAAAAAAAAAGATTTCATAAACTTTGCTGGTTAGACAGTATTAAAATTATTTTGTCAAGCTTTTAAATAACTACTCTCCATCAGTCTAGGAATTTAAAAAATCTTTGACTTTAACAGATTAAAACGTAAAAAAGAAATATAAGCAATAAAAATATTAAAATAAAAAAAGAAAAAACAACAAAAAAATCCAAGAGTGCTTCCAAGTTTAGCTTGCCTTCCACTCAGGTGGGAGAAAGTTCAAATATTGCTGATCTACACAAAATATCAATAATTAGTATGTTTTCATAATTTACTCATTTTAATTCATAATAAGCAAGAATAGGAGTTCATTTCCATTAATTGACTATGATTATTTAGCAGTCTGCGGTGCTAGAGAAAGTATGAAAATCCAAAGCATATATACATACACAGTTTTTGAGACAGTGTCTTGCTCTGTCAACCAGCTGGAGTTCAGTGGTGTGATCACAGATTACTGCAGCCTCAACCTCCCAGGCCCAAGCAGCCCTACCACCTCAGCCTCCCAAAGTGCTATGATTACGGGTGTGAGCTGCCATGCCTGGCCAAAAGCATATTTATTTAAAACACCACTGCTAGGCCAAGTACAGTAGCTCATGCCTATACTCCCAACACTTTGGGAGGCCGAGGAGGGAGGATTGCCTGAGCCCAGGAGTTCCAGACCAGCCTGGGCAACATGGGGAAATTCCATCTCTACAAAACAACAACAATAACAACAACAACAACAACAAAAAGCCATAAAAAAACAAAAATTAGCCAGGCTTAACATAGAGATGATTTAAAAGTATTACAGGAGGGCTGGCCATAGTGGCTTATGCCTGTAATCCAGCCACTGGGGAGGCTGAGTGCAAGGATTCCTTGAGCCCAGGAATTTAGGACCAGCCAGGGCAACATAGCGAGACAGCTCCCCCACCCCCCAGAAATAAAAAACCTTACCTGGACATGGTGGCACACACACCTGTAGTCCTAACTACTTGGGAAGCTGAGGCAGAAGGAACCCTTGCACCCAGGAGTTCAAGGATGGTCCATGCACGCACTTCATCTGGGCCTGCAGTGAAATAGGCTGCTCCCTTCCTGCCTGACCGGAAGGGTTGGGGAGAATCCCAGCAGGGAGAAAGCAATCCCTTCACCCCAGTTGCCAAACAGAACCCCCCACCCCCTGGATTTTCCTTCTCCCTCCATCCCTGACGGTTCTGGCTTTCCCAAACTGCTTTTGATCTTCTGATTCCCCTTGGGTTGAAGCAGACCAGTATTTTTTTTAACAACAGCACCACTCCCCACTTGTTCCTCCCCCTCCCCATGCTGCCAACTTCTTCTTCTTCCTTTTTTTTTTTTTTTTTTTTTTTTTTCCCAGTAGAGACGGGGTTTCACTGTGTTGACCAGGCTGGTCTTTGACTCCTGACCTCAAGTGATCCACCTGCCTCGGCCTCCCAAAGTGCTAGGATTACAGGCGTGAGCCACTGCAGCCAGCCTCGGTGTGATGTTTTGATACATGTACTACATGGACTTTTTTTTTTTTTTTTTTTTTTTTTTTTGAGACAGAGTCTCACTCCATTGCCCAGGCTGGAGTGCAGTGGCGTGACCTTGGCTCACTGCAACCTCCACCTCCCAGGGTCAAGTGATTCTCATGCCTCAGCCTCCTGAGTAGCTGAGATTACAACATGAGCCACCACGCCCGGCTAATTTTTGTAGTTTTAGTAGAGACAGGGTTTCACCATGCTGGCCAGGCTGGTCTCAAACTCCTGGGCTTGTGCCACTGAGCCCAGCCACCATGCCCGGCCAGAAATATGATTGGTTTTCATTTATTGATCTTGTACCCTACAACATTGGTGTACTTGTTTATTAGTTCTTATATAATTTTTTATTTTTGACACATAATAATTGCACTTACTTATGGGGTACAGTGTGATATCTTTTTTTTTTCCTGAGATGGAGTCTCGCTCTGTCTCCCAGGCTGGAGTGCAGTGGCGCCATCTAGGCCCACTGCAACCTCCGCCTCCTGGGTTCAAGCGATTCTAGTGCCTTAGCCGCCCCAGTAGCTGGGATTACAGGTGTGTGCCACATCATCCAGCTAATTTTTGCATTTTTAGTAATGACGGAGTTTCACCATGTTGCCCAGGGTGGTCTCGAACTTCTGACCTCAGATGATCCGCCCACCTCGCCCTCCAAAAGTGCTAGGATTACAGGCATAAGCCACCATGCCCAGCCTCAAGGCAATCCTATCAAAACCCCAGTTTTCTTTCTTGCAGAAGTTGTCAAGCTGATTCTAAAATTCAGATTAAAATACAAGAGTTGGCCAGGCATGGTGGCTCATGTCTGTAATCCCAACACTTTGGGAAACTGAGGCGGGAGAATTGCTTGAGGCCAGGAATTTGGGACCAGACTGGGCAACACGGTGAGACTCTCTACCAAAAACTACTACGACAAAATTAGAGTGGTGTGGTGGCTTGTGCCTGTAATCCCACCTATCTGGGAGGCTGAGGTGGGAGGATTGCTTGAGCCCAGGAAGTAGAGGCTGCAGTGAACCATGTTCACACCTCTGCACTCCAGCCTGGGTATCACAGTGAGACCACGTCTCTAAAAAATACAAAAAAAATAAAAAAAATAAAGGGAACCTAGAGCAACCACTGAAAAAAGTTGTTAAAAAGTAAAAAAAAAGAAGCACAATGAATATGCTAAGAAAAAAATAGAAAAAATTAAAAGGAGAGAAAAAATGAAGTCATATAAAATGGTCAGTTAAAACTACAAAAGGAAGAAAAATAGTGAAAGAAATACAAGGGACACAAAATAGCCAAAACAACCTTGAGAAAGAACAAAGTTGAAGGATGGGCACTTCCTGATTTCAAAACAGCACTGTATTAGTCCGGTTTCATACTGCTATAAATAACTTTCTGAGACTAGGCAATTTATAAAGAAAAGAGGTTTAATTGACTCACAGTTCAGCATGGCTGGGGAGGCCTCAGGAAACTTACAATCAAGGTGAAGGGGAAGCAAGGCACCTTCTTCACAAGGCAGCAAGAAGCAGCGCCAAGAGAAAGGGGAAAGAGCCCCTTATAAAACAATCAGATCTTATGAGAACTCACTGTCATGAGAACAGCATGGGGAACTGCCTCCACGATTCAATTACCTCCACCTGGTCTCTCCCTTGACACATGGGGATTATAGTGATTATGGGGATTACACTTCAAGATAAGATTTGGGTGGGGACACCAAGCCTAACCATATCAAGCACAAAGCTACAGCAATCAAGACAGTGTGGTACTGGTATAAGAACATTCAACATTCATACAGATCAATGCAATAGAATTAAAGCCCAGAAATAAACCCTTACATTCATGGTCAACTGATTTTTGACAAAGATGCCGAGGAAATTCAGTGACAAAGAGCCTTTCAATATATGGCGCTGGGACAAGTGAATTGCAAAAAAATTAATTTGGACTCCTATGTCACACCATACATAAAAAATTAGCTCAAAATGTAAGAATTGAAACTGTACAACTTATGGAAAAAATATATAAGTAAATTAAAAATTTTTATATATTTATGTATTTTTGGAGACAGGGTCCCACTCTGTCACCCAGGCTGGAGTGCAGAGGTGTGAACATGGTTCACTATAGCCTCCACCTCCTGGGCTCGAGCAATCCTCCCATTTCAGCCTCCTGAGTAGCTGGGACCACAGAAATATGCCACCATGTCTGGCTACTTTTTAGTTTTGTTTTTTTTTTTTGAGACAGGGTCTCACTATTTTTCCCAAGCTAATCTTCAACTCCTGGTCTCAAGTCTCAACCTCCCAAAAGTGCTGAGATTACAGGTGTGAACCACCATGACCCCCCAAAGTAAATTTTCTTGGGTTACAGAATGCTTTCTTAGATACAACATTAAAAGCATAAGCAACCAAAGATAAACAGATAAACTGGAATTCATGAAAACTGAAAATTTTAGTGCTTCAAAAAATACCATCAAGAAAGCTCAAGTACCCACAGAATGAGAGAAAATATTTGCAAATCATATATCTGTTATGAGACTTATATTCAGAATATATTCTAAAAAACTTACGACACCATATTAAGATAAAACCCATAATTGTTTTTTTAAAAAAATGCATCTGAAAAGAAATTTTTCCAAAGAAGATATGCAAATGGACAATGGGCACATGAAAAGATGCTCAATGTCATTAGCCATCAGAGAAATGCAAATCAAAATCAAAATGAGATACCACATCATTCCAGCTAGAATGGCTATAATCAAAAAGATAGATAACAAAGGTTAGAACGTGGAGAAATCGGTACTCTAATGCACTGCAACTGGGAATGCTAAATGGTGCAGCCACTTTGGAAAATAGTCTAGCAGTTCCTCAAAAGGTTATCATATGACCCAGCAACTTCATTCTTTGTACATATACTCATGAAAAATAAAAACATATATCCACATAAAAACTTGTACATAAATGTTAATAACAGCATTGTTCATAATAATCAACACAAGAACAACCTAAATGTCCATCATCTGGTGAATGATTAAACAAACTGTGGTATATCCGTACAATGGAATATTATTTGACCATAAAAAGGAATGAAGTACTGATACGTTCTGCAACATGAATAAACCTTGAAAGCATTAAGCTAAGTGAAAAAAGCTGGCTGGGCATGGCGGCTCATGCCTGTAATCCCAGCACTTTGGGAGGCCGAGGCAGGAGGATTGCTTGAGCCCAGGAGTTTGTTGTTGTTGTTGTTGTTGTTTTTCCAGATGTTTTGTTGGGTGTAGACATCTGGAGTACTGTAAAACATGCATTATCTTTCTTCTTCGGTTGTTGAGGTGTGTTAAATTTGAAGAAGATAATATCTCCATCTTCAACAATATAATTTCTGCCTTGTTGTCTGTACTTTCCGGCAGCCTTGACTGCATTTCAGAACCTTCCCATTTAAAATCTTCGTATTTCATTACTTCAGCCATAATGAATCTCTTTTCAAAATTTGTGTGAATCTTTCCTGCAGCCTGAGGATTCTTAGTCCCTTTCCTGATGGTCCCTGCACACACTTCATCTGGGCCTGCAGTGAAAACGTATTCTAGTTGGAGTGCTGCAGACCCAGCCTTAATGATCTTTGGCAAAGCACTTTGAGTCGTGTTTGCTTCCAGTTACTCCGGTCTCTCCTCAGCACTCAATTCTTGCCAAGGCCCCACTAAAAGGAACGACAAAGGCACCTAGGTCATACTTGTCCACCCACTATTTAATTTATTTTTATTTTTATCAACCATTTGTTTTTCTTTCTTTCTTTCTTTCTTTCTTTTTTTTTTTTTTGAGACGGAGTCTTGCCCAGGCTGGAGTGCAGTGGCACAATCTCAGCTCACTGCCACCTCCGCCTCCCAGGTTCAAGCAATTCTCCTGCCTCAGCCTCCCGATTAGCTGGGATTACAGGCGTGCACCACCATGCCCAGCTAATTTTTGTATTTTTAGTACAGATGGGGTTTCACCATATTGGCCAGGCTGGTCTTGAACTCCTGACCTGGTGATCTGCCCACCTCGGCCTCCCAAAGAGGTTTTAGTTTTTTATCTCCTCCTCTCACAGCCACCTTTTCTAGTTTATCTGTAATGGACCCAATCATTTCCTCCTCTTTAAGCTGAAGCTCTTCATGTATTATTTCTGTATCTCCAATAAGATCTACACTTCCTTCAACATGCGTCATATCACCATCTTCAAAAGTACGTGTTACATGAAAGATGCCATCACAGGCATTAATATGAGATTAAAAAGAAAAAAAGCATTCCCCAGGCCCTGCCCATTGTGAGCTCCTTTCACAAGGCCAGCAGTATCCACTATATTTAGAAAGGCAGGAATTTTGCTTGCTGGTTTGTGGTACTGGCAAAGAAAGTCAAACCTTTCATCTGGCGCAGGTACCCTGCTCTCATTAGGATCAATGGTGCCAAATAGGAAGTTTTCTGCTGAAGCCTGACTACTGGTTAATACATCGAAGAAAGTAGATTTTCCAACATTTAGCAATCCACCAATACCAATTTTCAGTGAAGTTCCAAATCTTCCAATGATTGGGGGTGGTTTAATTCCATCACCTCCCTCTTTGCAGGGCATCGTGCTCGGCCTTGGCGATGACACGGGGTCCCAGCGGCTGCGAGAGAAAGGTCCTACTGGCAGCCAGAGGCGGGGAGGAAGGAGGAGAGAATGCAGGCCTGGCACTCCGCCGGGCCCACGCACCTCGGCAGCGGTGGCCGCGGCGGAACTGGAGGGCCGGGCCTTGAACGGCACCTCGAGCCCAGGAGTTTGAAACTAGCCTGGGCAACATAGTGAGACCCTGTAGCTAAAAGAAAAGAAAAAAAAAAAAAAAAAGGAGAAGAAGAAGAAGCAAAAGAAGCCAGTCACAAAGGTCACATAATTGTGATTCCACTTATATGAAATGTCTGGAATAGGCAAGTCCACAGAGACAGAATGTAGATTAGTGATTGCCAGGTCCTGGGGGAATGAAGGAATGGGGAATGAATGCTAAAGGGTATGGAGTTTTTGGGGGGTTTTTTGTTTTTTTTTTTGGAGAGAAAAAAATGTTCTAAATGGACAATGGTAATGATTACACAACTCTGTGATTATACTAAAACCCAGCGAACTGTGTACTTTAAAAGGGTGAAATCTATGCTATGTGAATAATAAAGTGTGTTATTTAAACAACACACTTGGGGTTTGTTGTCTGGTACACAGAGGTGACTTTCAGATTTGTGCTGGTGGCAAGAGGGGAAAACAACTGCAAGGACAGCAACTGCTGCTAAAGAAACACCAGCAGTTTCTAATTTTACACTGTCCTATATTTTGCTGTGAGTTTCGTAGCTTTCGATAATGCTATACTAGAGGCCAAAACAGAAATGCTTTTTATATTTTATTATAACAGATAAACTGGGAAATAAACTTGCCCATTGCTTTTTTAAAAAGGAAATGAGCTAAAAACAACATAGATGTAAGTGGAGCTTAAATAAACCTTTGCTTAGTAAGATGGATATTTCACAAGAGAGGGAGAGTTTGGTCGTAAAAATAGTTTAAAGTGTTACATTATTTTAAAAAGCATTTTGTTTCATTTACTGTAGATGGCCAAGCATCATTTTAAAACATATGGTAAATCTGTTGGGTAGTAAAAAGAAATGACATCTTTTTCCATTTTCTTATTCTTTCCAGTTTATCTCTTTATTGTAAATCATTTCCCATTGTGGGAGGATATTAAATTTAAATCAAACTGAGGGGGAAAAAGCAGTACTTATGTTCATAAATTCATGTTTTTCTTAGTATTGCTGCCTCTTACAGCCATTTTATGAAGAATACCATGGACTGAGTAGTTAATATTATTTAAGATTTTTCAAATTGGTCTATTCCTGGATCTAAACAAATTGGAAAATTGGAAGTTTCTTTTCTTTTCTCTCTTTTTTTTTAGACAAGAGTCTCCCTCTGTTGCCCAGGATGGAGTGCAGTGGCACAGCCTTGGCTCACTGCAACCTCCACCTCTCAGGTTCAAGCGATTCTCCTGCCTCAGCCTCCCAAGTAGCTGGGATTACAGGCACGCACCACCATGCCTAGCTAATTTTGTATTTTTAGTAGAGACAGGGTTTAGCCATATTGGCCAAGCTAGTCTCAAACTCCTGACCTCAGGTGATCTGCCTACCTTGGCCTCCCAAAATGCTGAGATTACAGGCATGAGCCACTGTGTCTGGCCGGAAGTTTCTTCTCTTGAGCAAACAGCTCTTTTTATAGGTCAAGAAACCTATTTACAAAAAGAAACAAAAAATTTATGTAATTATGAAATAAACATTTAAAATAAATTGTAATACTCTTTCATGATAAAAGATCCATGAACCAGAACTTGTAAGTATTTAAGGAATGCTATTAAGGTTGATTTGTTTGTTTGTTTGTTTGTTTTTGAAATGAAGCCTCGTTCTGTCACCCAGGATGGAGTGCAGTGGAGCGATCTCGGCTCATTGCAACCTCTGCTTCCCAGGCAGCGGTTGATTCTCCTGTCTCAGCCTCCCAAGTAGCTGGGATTATAGGCACCCGCCACCAGGCCCAGCTAATTTTTGTATTTTTATTAGAGACAGGTTTTCACCATGTTGGCCAGGCTGGTCTCAAACTCCTGGCCGCAAGTGATCCACCCACCTCAGCCTCCCAAAGTGCTGGGATTACAGGCGTGAGTTACTGTGCCAGGACAATATTGAGGTTGATTTGTAAAGATAAGTCATAATTAACATGTATAGTGCTTTCCATGTCCTTAGACTATTCTAAGTGCTCTGCATGAGAGTGTATGTGTTACCGAAACACCAGGGGTTCAGTCTACGTCCTGCTGCTCTCTGCACAGAAAGCCAAACACTGAAACCACAATTACTGCCAAGGAAGAAGGCTTTAACTGGGTGCTGCAGTAGAGGAATTGGGAGCTTAGTCTCAAATCCAACTCCCTGACTGACTGTAACTAGGGGTTTATGTAGCAGAAAAGAAATGTAACAATGTATAAGAAAACGAGAGGCTGGGCACGGTGGCTCATGCCTGTAATCTCAGCACTTTGGGAGGCCAAGGCAGGCCCATCACCTGAGGTCAGGAGTTCAAGACTAGCCTGGCCAACATAGTGAAACCCTGTCTTTACTAAAAATACAAAAATTAGCTGGATGTGGTAGTGCCTGTAATCCCAGCTACTTGGGAGGCTGAGGCAGGAGAATTGCTTGAACCCGGGAGGTGGAGGTTGCAGTGAGCTGAAATCGCACCATTGCACCCTAGCCTGAGCAACAAGAGTTTTTTTCAGACTCCATCTGAAAAAAAAAAAAGAAAAAAAAGAAAAAAAAAAGAGAACAAGAACTAGGGAGGAGCAAGGCAGCAATCATGATGAATGAGGGGTCCCCGAATCTCATTGTCTGGATGTGGTGACCTGGTTAGTTTCAGTTCTTTGATAATGTTTTTGAGAGACCTAAAGGTAGTTTTTTGAGGAAAGAACTCAGATAAAACAAATGTGGCCAGGCATGGTGGCTCACGCCTATAAACCCAACACCTTGGGAGGCTGAGGCAGGTGGATCTCCTGAGGTCAGGAGTTCAAGACCAGCCTGGCCAACATAGTGAAACCCTGTCTCTACTTAAAAAAAAGTAAAAAAAAAAATTAGCTGGACGTGGTGATGCACACCTGTAGTCCCAGCTATTCGGGAGGCTGAGGCAGGAGAATCACTTGAACCTGGGAGCCAGAGGTTGCAGTCAGCCAAGGTGACGCCACTGTACTCCAGCCTGGGCGACAGATGAGACTCCATCTCAAAAAAGTTAAATAGATAAATAAAATAAAATAAAACAAATGTAAGTTTCAAATTTAAGACCAGGTCAGTTTCTTTTTCTGTTGTTGTTCCAATTTTAGTATATGTGCTGACTAAGCCAGCACAAGAAGAGTCAATTTCTATATTTATCCCAAAAAACTTCTATGGGACTATGGGGTCAGTTTCGTATATACATACATAAATACATGTATGTGCATATGAATGTGTACATTCCTCACAGTTATATAAGTAAATAAAAGGTCTTCACCACAACCCCATTAAGATGAGGACACTGAGACAGTGCAAGGTTAAATAGTCTCTCCAAGCTAAACTGAAGGATGTTTGGCATTGGAGTCCATGTTTTTAATAATTATGCTACATGAATATCAAGAGCTCTAAAGAGAACATTAAGCCAATAAATTCTGTCTCCTTATCCGTGTTTTGATACTACACTGTGTAAAACACCAAGTGCTTCCTTTGGACATAAGGTACATCTAAAGCTTATTATAAACTTCTTCTGCAAGAAAAGGGGTGACTAATTTGTTTTGGTACCCTCTTTGATCTGTGACAAAACTCTCTAGATTTAATGACTGATTCTGGGATTCCAAACAATTTGTCAATCTAAAGTACATTACTGGTTGGGCACAGTGGCTCACGCCTGTAATCCCAGCACTTTGGGAGGCTGAGGCAGGTGGATCACCTGAGGTCAGGAATTTGAGACCAGCCTGGCCAGTATGGTGAAACACCATCTCTACTAAAAATACAAAAATTAGCTGGGCGTGGTGGCGCATGCCTGTAGTCCCAGCTACGCGGGAGGCTGAGGCAGGAGAATCGCTTGAACCCAGGAGGCGGAGGTTGCAGTGAGTTGAGATGGCGCCACTCCACTCCAGCCTGGATGACAGACTGAGACTCCATCTCAAAAAAATAAAAAATAGCTTTCTGCCCATGGACACTGCCGAGGAAGCATCATTAAAGTCTCTCTTCTCCCTGCCGTCATGTATAAGTCAGAGTCTCCTAAAGAGCCTGAACAACTGAGGAAGCTCTTCGTTGGACGGTTGAGCTTTGAAACAACTGATGAGAGCCTGAGGAGCCACTCTGAGCAATGGGAACGCTCACGGACTGTGTGGTCATGAGACATCCAAACACCTAGTGCTCCAGGGGCTGTGCGTTTGTCACTATGCCACTGTGGGGGAGGTGGATGCAGCCATGAATGCAAGGCCACACAGGGTGGATGGAAGAGTTGTGGAAACAAAGAGAACTGTCTCAAGAGAAGATTCTCGAAGACCAGGTGCCCACTTAACTGTGAAAAAGATATTTGTTGGTGGCACTAAAGAAGACACTGAAGAACATCACCTAAGAGATTTTTTGTTTTGTTTTCAGATGGAGTCTTGCTCTGTTGCTAGGCTGGAGTACAGTGCTGCGATCTCGGCTCACTGCAACCTCTCCCTCCTGGGTTCAAGCGATTCTTCTGCCTCAGCCTACCGAGTAGCTGGGACTACAGGGGCACACCACCATGCCCAGCCAATTTTTGTATTTTTAGTAGAGATGGTGTTTCACCATATTGGCCAGGCTGCTCTTGAACTCCTGACCTGGTGATCCGCCTGCTTCGGCCTCCCAAAGTGCTGGGATTACAGGTGTGAGCCACTGCACCCAGCCATAAATGTCTTTTTAAAAAACAATAATAATAATAATTTCAAAAAAATAAAGTACGTTACTTTAGGATCAAATGTGGATACATTCAAAACAATGTACTGAAAATGGGTCTTTATTTTCCAGAAGGTCCAACCACTGGGTCACATGATGTAAATTAATTTTTATATAAGAAATGTATCTACCTTAATAATTTGCTTGGATTTGGGGGGGAAAAAAGAAAAAAAAAAAGAGGCTGGACTCCGTGGTTAACTCCCCTAATCCCATAACTTTGAGAGGCTGAGGTGGGAAGATCACTTGAGCCCAGGAGTTCAAGACCAACCTGGGCCGTCACCAATCAGCCTAGGCTGACTCCGTCTCTATAAAAAATTTTAAAGTTAGCCAGGCGTGGTGGTGTGTGCCTGTGGACCCAGCTGCTAGGAAGGCTGAGATGGGAGATTGCTTGGGCCCAAGAGGCAGAAGTTGCAGTGAACCATGATTATGCCACTACACTCCAGCCTGCAAATGCAGGAAGACCCTGTCTAAAAAAAAAAACAAAGGAAACATACTTCGTGAGATTATAATCAACCCCATACGACAAATTATTTTAGAACAATTCCCAAAAGACATTTTTATTTTGGGAGAGAGACCACAATTGTCTCCCTATACTCACATATACATGAATGAGCCCATACAATAATTTTTGATTGGTCTTACTTAAGCACCACTTTCTTTTTATACTTTTTATTTATTTATTTTTTCTTGAGACAGGATCTCTGTCACTCAGGCTGGAGCTCAGTGGTACGATCTCAATTCACTGCAGCCTCAACCTCCTGGGCTCAGGTGATCCTCCCACCTCAGCCTCCTGAGTAGCTGGAATACAGGCACATGCCACCATGCCTGGCTAACTGTAAAATTTCTTGTAGAGGACAGGATTTTGCCATGTTGCCCAGGCTGGTCTTGAACTCCTGGGCTCAAGCGATTCTCCTGCCTCAGCCTCCAAAGTGCTGGGATTACAGGTGGGAGCTACCACACCTGAGTGACGTATTTCTTTAAAACACTCAGTTTTTAATAAAACATGTCCATCTTGTGCCAACTTTAATTGACTGAGAGTGGGTGCCTGGAATTCTGTGTTGAGAAGGAATATGAGGCTGAGTCCAGGCTAATCCAGAGTGACTCTGGTATCAATTGTATCTACCATAGCTATGGGTAAGCACAGTGGTAGCATAAGTGCTATATACCATGGCTGAATTAGAGGATACACTTTCTATTTAAAAAAAAAAAAGAGTAATTGTATTTTGGGCTGGGCGAGGTGGCTCACGCCTGTTATCCCAGCACTTTAAGAGGCTGAGGTGGGCAGATCACTTGAGGTCAGGAGTTTGAGACCAACCTGGCCAACGTGGTGAAACCCCGTCTCTACGAAAAATACAAAAATTAGCCAAGTGTGATGGCAGGCACCTGTAATCCCAGCTACACGGGAGGCTGGCGCAGGGAGAATTGCTTGAACCCAGAAGGCCGAGGTTGCAGTGAGCCAGGATTGCATCACTGCACTCCAGCCTGGGCGACAAAAGTGAAAACTCCGTCTAAAAAAACCAAAAATTTATTTTCTCCCCTCATGGAAGTTAAAATGAAACTGGGAATATAACACAAGTATGCCAAACCATTTAAACCAAATGAGAACTGGGGGAAAAAAAATACAAACTAATGAAGGCCGTTTTTAATAAAAATAATACCATTTTATCATCTCCTAAATGAAAAATTAACACTCCAGGCCGGGCGCGGTGGCTCACACCTGTAATCCCACCACTTTGGGAGGCCGAGACGGGTGGATCACGAGGTCAGGAGTTGAAGACCAGGCTGGCCAACATGATGCAACCCCGTCTCTACCAAAAATACAAAAATTAGCCAGGCATAGTGCCAGGCACCTGTAATCCCAGCTACTTGAGAGGCTGAGGCAGGAGAATCGCTTCAATCCGGGAGGCAGAGGTTGCAGTGAGCAGAGATCATGCCACTGCACTCCAGCCTGGGCAACAGAGCGAGACTCCATCTCAAAAAAAAAAAAAAAAAGAAAAGAAAAAGAAAAGAAAATTAACACTCCAAATTACTCCTTGAATGTTTCAAGAATGAATACCTGGGCCATCAGCTGTTTCATGTAAGGATGAAAGAGGAAGGAAACAGAAATTTGTGTTAAAAGGAAGCAAGCTGGGGCCAGATGTAAAGAAAGTAAGGGACATACCTGGGCAGGAAGAGAGGAAAAAACATTCTATGAGGAAAGAGGGAGACCGGTACAAAGAAAAAGAGAAAGTAAAATTTTTCTATCTGGGTGAAGCATATTATGAAAACTGGCCAGGTGCTGTGGCTCCTGCCTGTAGTCCTAGAACTTTGGGAGGCCGAGGCAGGAGGATCACTTGAGCCCAGGAGTTTGAGACCAGCCTGGGCAACACAAGGAGACCCCGAGCTACAAAAAAATAAAAAAATTAGCCAGGCATGGTGGTGCACGCCTGTGGTCCCAGCTACTTGGGAGGCTGAGGTGGGAGGATCACTTGAGCCCTGGAGGTTGAGTCTGCAGTGAGCCATGATCATGCCACTGCACTCCAGCCTGGGCAACAGAGTAAGACCCTGTCTCAAAGCAATAATAATAATGATAATGATAATAAAAGTTAAAAATAATATTAAGAAAATAATATCCAAAATTTGGAAATGAGCAGAAGAGATCACTGAGTCTTTTCCATGGAATGCAGGATGCTGTTTAGACCCTCTGGGAATTATCTGATTATGTAGGCGTGTGCATCATAATTTGATTTTTTTTTTTTTGAGAGGGAGTCTTGCTCTGCTGCCCAGGCTGAAGTGCAGTGGTGCGATCTTAGCTCACTGCAACCTCCGCCTCCCCGGTTCAAGTGATCCTCCTGCTTCAGCTTCCCAAGTAGCTGAGATTACAGGCGTGTACCACCATGCCCGGCTAATTTTTGTATTTTTAGTAGAGACAGGAGTTTAACCGTGTTGGCCAGGGTGGTCTCAAACTCCTGGACTCTACAGATCCTCTGGCCTTGGGCTCCCAAAGTGCTGGGATTACAGACGTGAGTCATCGCACCTGGCCTGACTTATTTTCTGTTTATATTTACGTAAGAGACAAGTTTTTAACTTATGAAAATTTTATCTTAACAAGAATTTGTGTAGGAATATAATGATTAGCTAAGAAGCAGGTAAAAAGAGGACCTAGAAGACTTTGGATTCAATAACAATAGGCAACAGGAGAACAACAAAGAGAGCCACCATGCAGTCAACACATAGCCCATTGGGGGTTTGGTTTTTTTTTTGTTTGTTTGTTTGTTTTTGAGACAGAGTCTTGCTCTGTTGCCCAGGCTGGAGTGCAGTGGCACGACCTCGGCTCACTGCAACCTCCGCCTCCCTGGTTCAAGCGATTCTCCTGCCTCAGCCTCCTGAGTAACTGGGATTACAGGTGCCTGCCACGATACCTAGCTAATTTTGTTTTTTGTTTTTTTTTTTTTAGTAGAGATGGGGTTTCGACATGTTGGCCAGGCTGGTCTCAAACTCCTAGGTTCAAGTGGTTCGCCTGCCTTGGCCTCCCAAAGTGTTGGGATTACAGGTGTGAGCCCCCACGCTCAGCCTGTTGGTGTTTTGTTTTGTTTGAGACAGGGTCTCACTCTGTTGCCCAGGCTGGAGTGCAGTGATGCACTCTCGGCTCACTGCAACCTCCACCTCCTGGATTCATGTGATTCTCATGCCTCAGCCTCCTGATTAGCTGGGACCACAGATGCATGCCACAACGCCCTGCTAATTTTTGTATTTTTAGTAGAGACGGGCTTTTACCATGTTGCCCAGACTACTCTCAAACTTCTAAGCTCAACCGATCCTCCCACCGTGGCTTCCCAAAGTGTTGGGATTACAGGTGTGAGCCACTGCACCGGGCCACAAATAGCCCTTTGCATCCATGGGTTCCACATCTGTGGTTTCTGCATCTGTGGATTCAGCCAACCAAGGACTGAAAATATTTAGGGGCAGGCTGGGCATGGTGGCTCACTTTGGGAGGCCAAGGTGGGCAGATCACTTGAGGTCAGGAGTTCGAGACCAGCCTGGCCAATATAGTGAAACCCTGTCTCTACTAAAAATACAAAAATTAGCCGGGCATGGTGGCACACACCTGTAATCGCAGCTACTCGGGAGGCTGAGGCAGGAGAATCCCCTGAACCCAGGAGGCAGAGGTCACACTCTGTGTGACAGAGTGAAAATCCACCTCAAAAAAAAAAAAAAAATTGGGAGGGAAAAAAGGATGGGTGTGTCTGAACTAAACATGTATAGACTTTTTTTCCTTATTATTCCCTAAGTAATAATGTATAATTACTATTTATATAGCAATTGCATTTTATTAAGTATTTTAAGTAATCTGATTTAAAGCATATGGATGTGCATAGATTATATGCAAATACTACATCATTGTATATTAGGGACCTGAGCATCCATGGATTTTGGTGTCCACATGGGGTCCTGGAACCAATTCCCAGAGATACTAAGGGATGACTGTATCCACTCTCTTCTCAGATGAGGAAATGGTGACTGAGCATTTATTATTCTCTAAGTCTGTACTTGTGCCGATGTGGGTGACTATGTAGGTGTCCCCATTTTCACAGCAATATCTGAAGCTGTAAGATTCATAAAGAAGTAGCAGCTTGCCTGTAAAGAAAGCCTGCAGAAGTGGGGAAATCAGTAGAATATGAAAGTTTAGGGAAGAAAGATTCCAGGAGGTGGGAACAACCTATAGTGTAGAATGCTGCAAAAATGTCAAGCAGGATGAGGTTTAAAAAGTGTCCATTCATTTGTTTATTCCATAAGTATTTATTGGCCACTTAGTATATGCCAAAAATGGTATTAGGCATTAGGTACAGTAATAAACAAAGCCAGGCCAAGCGCAGTGGCTCATGCGTGTAATCCTAGCACTTTGGGAGACTGAGGTGGGCAGATCACCTGACGTTAGGAGTTGAGACCAGCCTGACCAACATAGCAAAAGCCCGTCTCTACTAAAAATAGAAAACTTAGCCAGGAGTGGTGGCACATGCCCGTAATCCCAGCTACTTGGGAAGCTGAGACAGAAGAATCACTTGAACCCAGGAGGCAGAGGTTGCAGTGAGCCAAAATCACGCCACTGCACTCCAGCCTGGGTGACAAAGTGAGACTCCATCTCAAAAACATAAAAATAAAAGTAAAGCTGGGCTCGGTGGCTCATGCCTGTAATCCCAGCACTTTGGGAGGCTGAGGCAGGAGGATCACCTGAGGTCAGGAGTTCAAGACCAGCCTGGCCAACATGGTGAAACCCCGTCTCTACAAAAATAAAAAAATTTGCAGGGCATGATGGTAGGTGCCTGTAATCCCAGCCACTAGGGAGGGTGAGGTGGGAGAATTGCTTGAACCCGGGAGGTGGAGGTTGCAGTGAGCTGAGATCACACCATTGCACTCCAGCCTGGGTGACAGAGCAAGACTCTTGTCTCAAAAAAAAATAAGTAAATAAAATATGTTTAAAAATAAAATAAAATATGTTTAAAAAATAAAATAAAATAGGCCGGGTGCAATGGCTCATGCCTGTAATCCCAGCACTTTTGGGAGGCCGAGGCGGGTGGATCACTTGAGGCCAGGAGTTTGAGACCAGCCTGGCCAACGTAGAGAAACCTCGTCTTTACTAAAAATACAAAAATTAGCTTGGCGTGGTGGCACACACCTGTAACCCCAGCTATTCGGGAGGCTGAGGCAGGAGAATCACTTGAACCAAGGAGGTGGAGATTGCAGTGAGCCGAGATCACGCCACTGCACTCCAGCCAAGGAGACAGAGTGAGACACCGTATGCAATGCAATGCAATGCAACAAAACAAAATAAAACAAACAAAATCAAAATTGTCCCTGCTGACATTCAGTATAGTGAAAGAGACACACATTTAATCACTCATTTAAGAAATAAGCTGGATGTGGTGGCTCACACCTGTAATCCTAACATTTTGGGAGGCCAAGATGAGGGGATAGCTTTAGGCCAGGAGTTCAAGAGCAGCCTGGGCAACAAAGCAAGACCCCATCTCTATAAAAAATAAATTAGTGGGCCAGGCACAGTGGCTCACGCCTGTAATCCCAGCACTTTGGGAGGCTGAGGCTGATGGATCACTTGAGGTCAGGAGTTCAAGACCAGCCTGGCCAGCATGGTGAAACCCTGTCTGTACTAAAAATACAAAAAATTAGCCAGGCATGGTGGCAGGGGCCTGTAATCCCAGCTACTTGGGGGGCTGAGGCAGGAGAACGGCTTGAACCCAGGAGTCAGAGGTTGCAGTGAGCCAAGATCACAGCATTGCACTCTAACCTGGGCAACAAGAGCAAAATTCCGTCTCAAAAAAAAAAGAACTAAAAATAAAAATAAATTAGTGGATGCAGTAGTGTGCACCTGTAGTCTCAGCTACTCAGGAGGCTGAAGCTAGAGGATCACTTGAGCCTGGGAGATTGAGGCTGCAGTGACAGTGCCACTGCATTGCAGCCTGGGCAAAAGAGTGGGACCCTGTCTCAAAAAAAAGAAAAAAAAAAGAGAAAGAATTATTAACATTTTAAGACTCCAGTGCCAGTCAAGATGGAGTAGTCCACTATAGGTTATTTCTATTGCTGGTTATAACTAAACACTCTGGAATAAATACAAAAAGCAACTCCCTGTGCACTCTGAAAAGTAAACAAATGCAGAGTCAAACTTGTAGAAAGGGGCCCACATGGGAGTGAGTTTCCGTGTGTGTGTGTGTGTGTGTGTGTGTGTGTGTGTGTGTGTGATCTGAGGATAGGCTACAGTGAGCTGTGGCAGTGCAGTGTGGACAGCTAAAACTCCCAGAGAAGCCCTGTCTGTGTAGATCAAGGAACTCAGAAAATGAGTCCCTGGGTTTCAGAGCTGTAAGGGAGAAATGTCCATTTTTTCCCTGTCTCTCTTGCTGTGGCAGTGGCATGGGCAACTAACCCTCCTTGAGAAGCCCCATCATTCTGGCTCTAGGACAGAGGCAGAAAGTTGAGAAGAATCCCAGAGAGGAGACCTAGAGAAGGGTTTTCCTACTTCTGTGCACGAATAAGCATCTGTCCAGGGCTCATTCCTGAGGTGCATATACACAGAATACCACAAAGCAGCACAGCAAAAGCCTCGAAAACCGAAGAACAACATAAGGCACAAGTCCAAGTCTAACCCCCAAAGGGCACAGATACATGTAGGATGATCTAAAGCAGCACAGGACAGGCTTTGAAAACTGTCTTGACATTGGAATCCACAGGGAGAAAAACGGGCAAGACAGACCTTGCAGTCTCAATCCAACCAGGATGACTGAATGCTGAAAACAGCAACTAAAATCAGCATTCTCTGGAGACTTTAATAGGACCCAGAGAGTCACAAAGGAATATTCAAACTGTTCAGGATACAAACTGGTATTATACAACATACAAAGAGTCATGAAAAAGTGACCATTCTCAAGCGAAAAAGATAATCAACAGATACAAATGCCAAGATGATGGAATTATCAAAGACTTTAAGAAAGCTATTATCATCATGCTCTATAAGATAAAAGTGAACATGGTAAGATATAAGTTCTCAACAGAAGAAAAAAACTATGAAAAAGAACCAAACAGAAAGTTTACAACTGAAAAAATATATCCGAAATAAAAAATTTCACTAGATGGTATCAATAATAGGATAAAGATTACCAATAGAGGAAAGAGTTAGTGAAGGTGGATCAAGAGAAATTGTCCAGGCCAGGCATGGTGGCTCACACCTGTAATTTGGGAGGCCAAGGTGGGTGGATCACCTGAGGTCAGGAGTTTGAGACCAGCCTGGCCAACATAGTGAAACCCCGTCTCTACTAAAAATACAAAAATTAGCCGGGCATGGTGGTGGGTGCCTGTAATCCCAGCTACTCAGAGGCTGAGGCAGGAGAATCACTTGAACGTGGGAGGCGGAGGTTGCAATGAGCCAAGATTGCACCGTTGCACTCCAGCCTGGGCGACAAGAGCGAAACTCCATCTCAAAAAACAAACAAACAACAAAAAAAGACAGAGAGAAATTGTCCAATCTGAAGAACAGAGAAAAACAGATTTAAAAGAAAATGAACAGAGAGCCTCAGGAACATGTGGGGCAATATTAGATGGTCTAATATTCACATAATTGGAGCCCTAGAAGGAGAGGTGTATTCGTTTCCTGTAAATGCTGCACCAAATGATCACAAACTTAGTAGCTGAAAACAACAGAAATTTATTCTTTCACAGTTCTATAGGCCAGAAATCTAAAATTAAAGTGTTGGCAGGGCTGCATTGCCTCTGGAGGCTATAGGGGATAATCCATTCCTTGCCTTCTTCCAGCTTCTGGCAGCTATCAGCATTCCTTGGCTTAAGGCCATATATCTCTCTGCTCCATCTTCGCATGGCTTTCTCCTCTGTGTCTCTATTGCCTCTCTCTTATAAGGACACTTGGGATGGTATTCAGGACCCACCTGAAAAATCCAAGGTAACTGACTCCTCTCAAAATCCTTAATTACATCAGCAAAGACTCTTTTTCCAAATAAAATAATATTTATGAGTTTCAGGAATTAAAACTTGACATCTTTGGGTGGCTATTTATTCAGCCTACTACAACAGAGAGAGATACCTGCAGAAAAAAATACATTACATAGGCCGGGCGTGGTGGCTCACGCCTGTGTAATCCCAGCACTTTGGGAGGACAAGGCAGGCAGATCACAAGGTCAGGAGTTTGAGACAAGCCTGGCCAATATGGTGAAACTCCATCTCTATTAAAAATACGAAAATTAGCCAGGCATGGTGGCACATGCCTGTGGTCCCAGCTGCTCAGGAGGCTGAGGCAGAGGAGTCACGTGAACCCAGGAGGCAGAGGTTGCAGTGAGCTGAGATTGCGCCATTGCACTCCAACCTGGGGAACAGAGCAAGACTCTGTCTCAGGAAAAAAAAAAAAAAAAAAAAAAAAAAAAAGGCGGGGCACCATGGCTCACACCTGTAATCCCAGCACTTTGGGAGGCCGACGTGGGTGGATCACGAGGTGATGAGACCGAGACCATCCTGGCTAACATGGTGAAACCCTGTCTCTACTAAAAATACAAAATATTAGCCAGGCATGGTGGCGGGCGCCTGTAGTCCCAGCTACTCGGGAGGCTGAGGCAGAAGAATTGCGTGAACCCGGGAAGCACAGCTTTCAGTGAGCCGAGATCACCGCCACTGCACTCAAGCCTGGGCAACAGAGCAAGACTCCGTCTCAAAAAGAAAAAGAAAGAAAAAAATACATTACCTATAGGGGAACAATGATTTGACTGTGGATTTCTTATTAGAAACCCTGAAGAGTAGAAACAGTGGAATATCTTTTTTTTTTTTTTAATTGAGATGGAGTCTCGTTCTGTCGTCCAGGCTGAAGTGCAGTGGCGTGATCCCGGCTCACTGCATCCTGGGTTCCAGCAATTCTCCCACCTCTGCCTCCAGAGTAGCTGAGATTACAGGCGCATGCCACCATGCCCGGCTAATTTTCTTATTTTTAGTAGAGATGGAGTTTCACCATGTTGGCCAGGCTGGTCTAGAATTCCTGACCTCAAGTGATCCACCCACCTCGGCCTCCCAAATTGCTGGGGTTACAGGCATGAGCCACTACGCCCAGCCAGGAATATCTTTAATTTGCTAAAACAAACTGTCTACTCAGAATTAGATACCAATGAAAATATCCTTCATTAATGAAGGGAAAACTAAAGATATTCTCAAATGAAGGAAAACTAAGACAATTCATTGGCAGCAAACCTGCACTAACAGAAAATACCGAAGGTGCCCGGCACTGTAGCTCACATCTGTAATCCCAGCAGTTTGGCACTTTGGCACTTTGAGAGGCCGAGGTGGGAGGATCATATATAAAATTATATACTTGGCTGAGTGTGGTGACTCATGCCTGTAATCCCGGCACTTTGGGAGATCAAGGCAGGAGGATTGCTTGAGCCCAAGAGCTCAAGATCAGCCTGGGCAACATAGTGACATCCTATCCCTACAGAAAATTTTAGAACTTAGCTGGGTGTGGCAGTGTGCACATGTAGTCCCAGAAACTTGGGAGGCTGAAGAGGGAGGATCACTTGAGCTTGGGAGTTCAAGGCTGCAGTGAGCCCCAGACTGCACCACTGCACTCCAGTGTGGGTGACAGAGCAAGACTCTGTCTCAAAATAAATTAATCAAATTAAATTAAAGTAATGATATGCTTATATTAGAAAATAAATAAAACCAAATAAATGAAATGAAATTGTATTGAAAATACCAATAAAATGGATAAACTTTTAGCTATACTGACCAAGAAAAAAACAAAGATTACACAGATTACCAATACCAGCAATAAAAGTGCTAATGTCAATACAGAGCCTACAGATGTTAAAAGGCTAATAAGAGAATATTATGAACAACTTTATGCCAATTCCTTCAAGCTGACTTAAGAAGAAGTATATAACCTGAATAATTCTATAGTGAATGCAGAAACTGAAATTTGTAGTTTAAAACCTTTCCATAAAAAAAAATTCTAGGCCAGATGGCCTCACTGGCAAATTCTACCAAAATTTAAGTAAGAAATGATACCAATTCAACACAATTTCTTCTGCAAACAGGAAACATTTTCCAATTCAGGCCAGCATTATCCTGACATCAAGAACAGTTAAAGATATTGTAAGAAAACCAGTATCTCCCACAAACAGGGATGCAAGAATCCTCCACAAAATATTAGTAAAATGAATGCAATATATAAAAAGGTTAATACACTACAACTCAGTGGGGTTTATCCTTGAAATGCAAGGCTGGCTTAACATTTAAAAATCAATTGATAGGCTGGGTGCAGTGGCTCATGCCTGTAATCCCAGCATTTTGGGAGGCCGAGGTGGGTGGATTACCTGAGGTCAGAAGTTCGAGACCAGCCTGGCCAACATGGTGAAACCCCACCTCTACTAAAAATACAAAAATTAGCCAGGCGTGGTGGCACATGCCTGTAATCCCAGCTACTTGGGAGGCTGAGGCATGAGAATCGCTTGAACCTGGGAGGCAGAGATTGCAGTGAGCCAAGATCGCACCACTCACTCCAGCCTGGGCCAACAGAGGGAGACTCTGTCTCCAAAAAAAAGAGAAAAGAAAATTTCACCATATCAACAGGCTAAATAAGAAAAATTGTGTGATTTTTTAATAAAGGCAGAAGAAGATTTGTCAAAATTCAATATCTACTTATGATAAAAATTCTTAGCAGACTAGGAGAAGAAGGGAATTTATTTACTTGACCTGATAGATGACACATACAAAAAAAACTAGAGGCTGGGCACGGTGGCTCACACTTGTAATTCCAGCACTTTGGGAGGCCAAGGCAGGCGGATCACCTGAGGTCAGGAGTTCCAGACCAGCCTGGCCAACATGGTGAAACCCCATCTCTACTAAAAATACAAAATTAGCCAGGTGTGGTTGCGGACACCTGTAATCCCAGCTACTGGGGAGGCTGCGGCAGGAGAATCACTTGAAACTGGGAGATGGAAATTGCAGTGAGCTGAGATCACACCAATGCACTCTAGCCTGGGCGACAAAGCGAGACTCCATCTCAAAAAAAAGAAACAAACGGCCCAGGTGCGGTGGCTCACGCCTGTAATCCTAGCACTTTGGGAGGCCAAGGCGGGTGGATCCACTCTGTCAGGAGTTTGAGACCAGCCTGGCCAACATGGAGAAACCCCGTCTCTACTAAAAATACAAAAAAATTAGCAGGGCGTGGTGGCAGCCGCCTGTAATCCCAGCTACTCAGGAGGCTGAGGCAGGAGAATCGCTAGAACCCTGCGGGCGAAGGTTGCAGTGAGCTGGGAAGGCGCCACTGCACTCCAGCCTGGACGACAGAGTGAGACTCTGTCTCACAAAAAAAAAAAAGGAAACAAACAAATGAGCAAAACTTACAGCTGACATACTTAATGGTAAAAAGGCTGAATGTATTCCCCTTAAAATCAGGAGCATGGCACGGATGTCTACTGTCACCATTCCTATTTAATTTATTAATAACATCACATTGGCAGTTACAGTTAATACAATAAAGCAAGAAATAAAAAGAATAGGCATCAGAAAGGAAGAAGCTGTTTCTATTTGTAGACAACACTGTCTACAAAGAATCTACAAAAAAAAAAGGCTCTGAAAACGCATAAATGAGAAATGGGCAAAGTTTTCACAGCCACAGCTTTTACTTCAAATTTTCCATCTCCAGATCCTTATATCACATTGCCAACTGGGTATCTTCACCTGTATGTTTCCCAGGAACTCCTAAGACTCAGTATTTCCAAGCCAAAATTACAGATATCTCTCCAAACTTGGTCTTTCAAAAAAATTCCCTATTCATCTGGTAATGCCACCAATTTACTTATTCTAATATAGCTTCCCAATATTGATGTATCCATCTATCCATGCTAAAAAATGAAGATTTGTCTTAGACTATTCCTCTTACCTGCCCTATATACTTGGTCAGTTAGGCTATCAGTTAATCTTGTTATGAAACCAACTGCTCCAAACCTAGAGGCTGAAAAGAAAATAATCTATAGGCTGGGTGCAGTGGCTCATGCCTGTAATCCCAGCACTTTGGGAGGCCAAGGCAGGCATATCACAAGGTCAGGAGTTGGAGACCAGCCTGGCTAATATGGTGAAACCCCGTCTCTACTAAAAACACAAAAATTAGCCAGGCATGGTGGCAGGCACCTGTAGTCCCAGCTACTTGGGAGGCTGAGGTAGGAGAATAGCTTGAACCCAGAAGGCAGAGGTTGCAGTGAGCCAAGATCATGCCACTGCACTCCAGCCTGGGTGACAGAACGAGATTCCATCTAATAAAAAAAGAAAGAAAGAAAGAAAGAAAAGAATCTATATTTCCTATAATTCTAGGTATAGACTGGCTCATTCTAGGATGGCCTCACACATATGTTTGGGGCTTCAACTGAGAATGCTGAGACAACCAGGAAGGCTGGGAGAGCTAGGGACACTCTCAAAGTGGTCTCATCTTCTAGGAGGCTAGCTTGATTTAATCAAATTGTGGCAAAGGGGTACCAGCAGTAAGAGTGTGAATCCCAATGCGGAAGAATTTTTCAAGTCTCTGCTAACATTACAATTGCTGTTGTCCCAAGGGCCAAAGCAAATCACTTAAATCAGTCTGTGAGGAGACTACCCAAGGGTATGGACATGGGTAGGTGTGAAAAATTGGTGTGGGTAGTGGAGGGGCCACAGAGCTTAACTGCAGCAATCTAGGACACTTAACCCTATTGATTCTATTTCATAACCTCTCCAATCTCCTTCTTCTTGAATCCCACTTCACTGACAAGTTCAAGACCTCATCTTGTACCTGAACTACTTATAATAGTCTCCTAATGGAACTTGCACTGCTACTATTAGCATATGAATTCTGAAAAAAGAAATCCAGTCACACAATTCTGTTGCTTAAAACTCAGTAGCTTCCCTTTAGAATAAACTACTAAGTGAGGCCCACAAAGTCATTTTCTAGCTTCTACTTATGTGACTTATCTCTTACTACTCTATGCACCCTACTCTTCCAAATATGAAAAACAGTCCTTAAATGACCATGGTATTTCAATACCACCATTTTCCATATAATGTTTCTATCTGCAATGCCCTATTACTGCTTGTGCCCTGGTAAATATCAACTTATTCTTAAGATTTCATCCAGGATGCTGAGGCACTAGAATCACTTGAACTCAGGAGGCAGAGGTTGCAGTGAGCCAAGATTGCGCCGCTCTACTCCAGCCTGGGCACCAGAGCAAAACTCCATCTCAAAAAAAAAAAAAAATTAAGATTTCATCTTAAATATCACAAATTTAATACAAGATTTATTGCCTGACAAAGTTAAATGCTTCTACCTTTTGCTTCCATTGCATCTCACAGAACCTTCAATATAGTGTTTTCTCCAAAATACTGTAATTATTTGTTTGCAGGTCTAACCATTTCAGTCACCATGAGACGGAAACATTTTTTTTTTTTTGAGATGGATTCTTGCTCTGTCACCCAGGATGGAGTGCAGTGGCATGATATTGGCTCACTGCAACATTTGCCTCTGGGGTTCAAGCAATTCTCCTGCCTCAGCCTCCTGAGTAGCTGGTTTACAGGCGTGCGCCACCATGCCTGGCTAATTTTTGTATTTTTAGTAGAGACGAGGTTCCGCCATGTTGGCCAGGCCAGTCTTGAACTCCTGACTTCAGGTGATACACCTGCCTCACCCTCCCTAAGTGCTGGGATTACAGGCGTGAGCCACCATGCTCGGCCCTAATTTTTATATTTTTAGCAGAAATGGAGTTTCACCATGTTGGCCAGGCTGGTCTTGAACTGCTGACCTCAAGTGATCTACCCACTTTGGCCTCCCAAAGTGCTGAGATTACAGGTGTGAGCCATGGTGCCTGGCCCATTATTATGTCTCTCTCTCCAACATCTAGTACTATTCTTAACATTCAGTAAGTACGTGGCAAATGCTTTTTGAATTAACCAATTAAAATTAAAATGTCTATTTCCAACAGTCCAGATGCCAGTGGAAAGAAAATTTATCAGATAACAGCCTGTCACCAGGTCAAATCTTCTTATCAATTCAGTACTTTCTTTCTTCAAATATGTCACATTTCAGTTAAGTTACTTGGGTGAAATGCAGCTCCAGGTGCACTAATAAACATCCAGTATGGACTAATATACCTTCAGTGTTGAGTATGTTAAAAGGAGAATCTTTTTTTTTTTTTTTTTGAGACAGGACCTCATTCTGTCGCCCAGACTGCAGCAATAATGGCTCCTTGCAGCCTTGACCTCCCACCTCAGCCTCCTGAGTAACTGGGACTACAAGCCCTTGCCACCATACCCGGCTAATTTTAACATTTTTTTTCTAGAGACAGGTTCTCTGTATGTTGCCCAGGGTGCTCTGGACCTCCTGGGCTCAAGCGATCTTTTCACCTCAGCCTCCCAAAGTGCTAGGATTACAGGAATGAACCACAGTGTCTGGCCAAGATGAGAATTTAAACATTACATTTGGTATTCTAAATTTACAAATGTACCAAACGTACCAAAATTATCAGTGTACTAATACATACCGTGCTCCATTGTGGCTGTGGCTGAATTATGTGGTATTCTTTTTCTTTTTCCTGTTTCCTAAGTTTTCACACATTTTTAAGTTTAAAAATATCCACGACTGCCGGGCGCAGTGGCTCACGCCTGTAATCCCAGCACTTTGGGAGGCCGAGGCGGGCGGATCACGAGGTCAGGAGATCGAGACCATCCTGGATAACACGGTGAAACTTCGTCTCTACTAAAAAAATACAAAAAAATTAGCCGGGCGTGGTGGCAGGTGCCTGTAGTCCCATCTACTCGGGAGGCTGAGGCAGGAGAAGGGGGTGAACCCGGGAGGCGGAGTTTGCAGTGAGCCGAGATCGCGCCACTGCACTCCAGCCTGGGCGACAGAGCAAGACTCCGTCTCAAAAAAAAAAAGAAAGAGAGAGAGAGAGAGAGAGAGAAAGAAAGAAATCCACGACATAGTTGAAATGTTAGAATACTTACACAAATCTCCTCGGAAAATTCACTATAGTCTGGAGCCTGGCGCTCACCCTTACTGACCCAGAAATCTGTCAGAAAGATTTAAATTAGTAAGCATAGAGAGACTTAAGTACGCCTTCCACCACCGCTGCCCACCCCACCCCCACCAAAAAAGAAAGCCAATGCGTTTTTTTTTTGAGACGGGGGATCCCTCTCTGTCGCCCAGGCTGGAGTGCATAGGCACGATTTCAGCTCACTGCAACTTCCGCCTCCCAGGTTCAAGAGATTCTCCTGCCTCAGCCTCCCGAGTAGCTGGGATTACAGGCACCCGCCACCAAGCCCGGCTGATTTTTGTATTTTTGTATTTTCAGTAGAGACAGGGTTTCGCCATGTTGGCCAGGCTGGTCTCAAACTCCTGGCCGCTTTTTTTTTTTTTTGGTAGCAGATGTTCCCTAAAAGATCATTTGTGTAGGGCAGCAGAGCTTTGGCAGTAAGAGAGAAGGGAGGAGTCCAGTGATAAATAACCTGAAAATTCATCTGCTGTGATTATTTGCTACTCCTTTAGTGAATAAAGGATACTCAGGGAGGAATATCCTGCCGGTATTTAACTGCCTGTTTACTTAGAATATTTTCTGCTATTTGATTTTTTAGGAGACAGAGCCCTGAAGCAAAGACATGTGGGTCAGAGAAAAAGTATTTAAGGGCCACGCAAGCCAATCGTAGCCAACTGCGCAGTCCTCCAGGAACTGAAAGCAGTGAGGATGCCTCAGCCCCTCACTGTGTCCACACAAGATTGACAGAAGAAGGTTCTTGTCTTCATTCTGGAGATGTTCATATCCAGATAAATGCCATATCTAAAGAATGTGCGGAAAATACAAGCTCCAGAAATATAAGGTCAGATGTCCATAGCTGTGCCCATGGATGGGTACACAGTCACTTACAGGGTCACTCCCACAGTGAAGCAAGGCTGCCTGATGATACTGCCGCAGAATCTGGAGATCACGGTAGTAGCTCTTCAAGTGGTTGCAAAAAAGTCTTCCACATATTTTGATTCTGAGTGTCAAACTTGTTATGCAGCATATAACAGGTAGGGCATAATAAAACATTGACTTGTTTTCATTCTGAAAATCAGTTAATTTTCTTTATTGGTAGTCTACTTAATGCATTCAGTTACTTATTTTTTGTTAGCTTTTATTATTGTATATGTTTACTTTTAATTTGTGTCATTGTTAGCTTATATAATCCTCTTTGATTTTTTTTTCTTTCAATTAACTGGAACTTATTTTCTAACAGGAATTTCTCTTGGAATTGGGCTGCTAACAACTTTTATGTATGCAAACAAAAGCACTGTAAATCAGGTTTTTCTAAGCAAGTATAACAAGCAACTAAAAAATTATTAACTGTTTCTCTCCATAGATTTTAGACAAATAATTTTGAGAGAAATAGGAAATAACTTTTGAAAAAAATAGGAAGTAATGGGATATATTGTAACTTCCATGATATATTAAATTTGTTATCTAAATCCTGGAATAAATTATTTCTCCTAATGCTGAATTCCTTCACCTTACCTTCTTTGTAAGAAAAAAAAAAATTGGTTACTGTTAAAGAAAAAGTAGTAAAAAGGATTAAAAGAGTTAGAACACGCTATTCGATCTGATTTGGCAAGTCCCTTCATGTTATATGAGTTACTTTGATGATACTAAGTAATATCATCATCGTTAACAACTTTTAGTGGCCGGACATAGTGGCTCACACCTGTAATCCCAGCACTTTGAGAGGCCGAGGCAGGCAGATCACAAGGTCAGGAGATCGAGACCATCCTGGCTAACACGGTGAAACCCCATCTCTACTAAAAATACAAAAAATTACCCAGGCGTGGTGGCACGTGCCTATATTCCCAGCTACTTAGGAGGCTGAGGCAGGAGAATTGCTTGAACCTGGGAGGCGGAGGTTGCAGTGAGCTGAGATCGCACCACTGCACTCCAGCCTGGGATACAGACTGAGACTCCGTCTCAAAAAAAAAAAAAAAAAAAAAAAAAAAGAAAAGAAAAAAGAAAGACCTGTGCCAAGCCCAGTGGCTCATGCCTGTAATCCCAACACTTTGGGAGACCCAGGCGGGTGGATCACCTGAGGTCAGAAGTTTGAGACCAGCCTGGCCAATGTGGTGAAACCCCGTCTCTACTAAAAACACAAAAATTAGCTGTGCGTGGTGGCGCTTGCCTGTAGTCCCAGCTACTTGGGAGGCTGAGGCAGAAGAATTGCTTGAACCCAGGAGGCAGAGGTTGCAGTGAGCCAAGATCGTGCCATTGCACTCCAGCCTGGTGACAGAGTGAGACCTCATCTCAAAAAAAAAGAAAAGAAAATTAAACCCAAGGAATTTTTCCATAAGTTACTCAAGCCCTAGTCATATAAATCATTGGGAAAAAATAGGATGAGTTTCTAAAATTTCACCTTAAGGCAACTTTAAATGGCTATGTCTGTGTAAAGTATCATGCATTCTGACCTGGAAATCTATAGTTCAGCCTATCAAACTAGAAAAATCTTAATGATTTAAAATTAGTAAAACTTTTCATTTAACTTGACTTTAAAAGTGAGATTACAGGCAAGGCACAGTGTCTCATGCCTGTAATGCAGCACTTTGGGAGGCTGAGATGGGCAGATTGCTTGAGCCTAGGAATTGAAGACCAGCCTGGACAACATGGCAAAACCCCATCTCTACAAAAAATCAAAAAATTAGTGGGCGTGGTGGCACATGCCTGTAATCTCTGTTATCTAGGAGGCTGAGGTGGGAGGATTGCCTGAGCCCAGGTGGTCAGGGCTGCAGTGAGTTGTGATCATGCCACTGCACTCCAGTCTGGGTGAAAGAGTGAGACCCTGTGTCACAAAAAAAAAAAAAAAAAAAAAGAGATTACAATTACTTGGGAAGCTGAGTTGGGAAGAAGGCTTGAGCCTAGGAGTTCTGGGCAATGTGTCAAGAAGCCATATTAAAAAAAAAGTAAGATTAAAACAGATTAATTTATTAAATTGTTATAATCTGAGAATTTTAAAAATATAAACCTTGACGAGTCAAGGTTAAAATGCATTTTGAAATTTTCTTTTGTGGGTGGGTCCATTTTTTTTCTGAGATGGAGTTTCGCTCTGTCGCCCAGGCTGGAGTGCAGTGGCGTGATCTTGGCTCACTACAACCTCTGCCTCCTGCGTTCAAGCGATTCTCATGCCTCAGCCTCCTGGGTAGCTGGTATCATATGCGCGTGCCATGGCACCTGGCTAACTTTTGTATTTTTTTTTAGTAGAGATGGGTTTCACCATGTTGGGTAGGCTGGTCACAAACTCCTGACCTCAAGCGATCCGCCGACCTCGGCCTCCCAAAGTGCTGGGATTGCAGGTGTGAGCCACTGCGCCCGTCCTGGGTGAGTCCTTTATGTCAGCTTGTAGAGGACCTGGCTTTTTTTTTTTTTTTTAATTTAATTTTCTTGTTTTTTTTTTTTTTTTGAGAGAAGATTTGGCTTCTTTGAAACATAGGTAATGTTTTTCATACGGTGAAGAAACTTGTGTTTTAAACATTTGTTTAATATAATAGTTCTGTTTGGTCACTAAAGTTGTATAAAACAAAGTAACTGATGATTATGTACAGTTTAACAGATATTCTATATTAAGATTTAGAAAAATGTTCTAAGTTAATAGTCATTAAAGTAAAACAGTTTAATGATATTTAAAATTCTGGCAAAATCAAAGTAACATTATAAAATTGTTTACCTTTCAGGAAAGGTCCTCAAAGATTCAGTGTGCTTGGTTACTGGTATTCTTAGCAGGATCTTCTGTTCTTTTATATTACACCTTTCATTCTCAGTCACTTTATTACAGGTAATTAGAGGTCCAAATACACAATTACATTTTTAATGTAATCATGTTTCATAGCACTTTGTACCTTACTTCACATAGTACTTATTGTATTCAATCAGTTCAGTTTTTAACTGTCTCCTTTCATAAGCGAGAGCTTTTTTTTTTTTTTTTTTTTTGACATGGAGTCTCACTCTGTCGCCCAGCATGGAGTGCAGTGTCTCGATCTTGGCTGTCTGCAACCTCTGCCTCTCGGGTTCAAGCAATTCTCCCATCTAAGCCTCCTGAGTAGCTGGGATTACAGGTGCACACCTGGCAAATTTTTGTATTTTTAGTAGAAATGGGGTTTCACCATGTTGGTCAGACTGGTCTTGAAGTCCTGACCTCATGATCCACCTGCCTTGACCTCCCAAAGTTCTGGGATTACAGGTGTGAGCCACTGCACCCGGCCTCATAAGCAAGAGCTTTACGTAACTTATTCAGATTTTGTATCCCCAGTGCTTTGGCACATAGCAGATGCTCAATAAATATTTAATTTTTGATACCTGAGTTTTTGTTTATATATTCCATAATTTTTAAGTACCATTAGGTTGTTATTGTTGGTCTTTTTTTCTGAAAGTAAGAACACTTACTAAATGACAGTAGCTGATAAGTTTCCATGTCAAATGGGAGTATTCTGAATCTTCAGCTTTTACCAGAATATTAGAAGACCAGATTTCACTGGAGTTGGAGAGATGGGCAAATCTGGGATATAGTTTGGAGGTGGAGCCAGTATCCCTCAGATGGACTGGATTGGGTAGGTGGGTGGAGAGAAGCAAGAATGACCTCTGGGTTTTTAGTCTAAGCAACTGGAGAAAAATCAATAATTTTGTTTTGAACATGTTAAGTTTGAGAGGCTAAGTAGAATTGGTAAGAAAGTGGTTCCAAATATATGTCATGAACTCAGGGTAGAGGTTAGGGCTATAAATTTTGGTATCAGGAGCACATGGTTGATATTTAAAAACCACAGGACTGGGGCCAGGCGCGGTGGCTCAAGCCTGTAATCCCAGCACTTTGGGAGGCCGAGTTGGGTGAATCACGAGGTCAGGTTATCAAGACCATCCTGGCTAACATGGTGAAACCCCGTCTCTACTAAAAATACAAAAAAATTAGCTGGGCATGGTGGTGGGCACCTGTAGTCCCAGCTACTCGGGAGGCTGAGGCAGGAGAATGGCATGAACCCGGGAGGCAGAGCTTGCAGTGAGCCGATACCGTGCCACTGCACTCCAGCCTGGGTGACAGAGCAAGACTCTGTCTCAAAAAAAAAAAAAAAAAAAACCCACAGGACTGGACAAAACTAACCCAGGAAAGAGAGAGTGCAGATAGAGAGCCCAGTACGGGACATGACCACAATTAGAAGAGAAACAGCAAAGGAGACTAAGAAGAAATCAGCAGTGAAATATGAGAAATAGACGACTGTTGTGTTAAAAGTCTAGAAAGAAAATTATTCAGGGAGGGAAGACGGAAAAAGAGAAGTGACCTTGAAATTTAGCCATACAGAGGGAGTTGATGATCTTGACAAGCAATTCACTGAAAGGAAGAGATGGAATCCTGATTGGAATTGGTGAAGAAAAACATGGGAGATGTCTGGTATTGATGAGTTTTTTTTTGTTTACAGGCTAGAAAGGTGTCAACTATGACAAACTGTGAAGACTTTTTCCTTATTCTATGAAGGGAAGATCTAAATTCCAAACATTTTAAAAATCTCTTTAAAATAAGCAAAATGATCCTCCATTCCATTAATGTGAACTCTGACATCCTGCCAAATTCATATTTTTTACATATCAAAATAAAATATTTGTAGCAAATTAAAACTCTTTCTTAATACTTTACCTTTGTATGTTGCTCTGGTAAATTTTGATGATTTTCTTTTGGTGGCTGAATTTTTTTATATCCTATTTTGGACCATTTGAGCTTCTGGGAAGTACTTTGGATTATTGGAATTACAGACTTCATTCTGAAATTCTTTTTCATGAGCTTAAAATGCCTTATCTTATTGGTGCCTTCTTTCATCATGCCTTTTAAATCTAAGGTAAGAAACTAACTTATGCTTTATTGCAGTGATGTTAACTAATCACATTAATGCTATTTAGTCTTTGTTTAAATGAATCCTCCTTTTGCAATTTTTCAGTTTGCTAACTAGCTTTAATTATCTGTATTATTTCAGCCTGGCAACCATTTGTTCAAGCACTTGAACCTGAATATTAACCTATTTGGATAAAATCAGAATTATATTTGCTTCAGAATAATTTTAAAATCAGTCCCCACATCATATATGGGAAACTATTTAGATTGGTACTTCTGTTGTCCAGGGCATTATCAATTGACAGTTGACTATATACAATTATTCAGTGGTTTCCCATATGCAATAAAAACTTTAAAATTTTTATAACCAGCAAAAACATATATAGGTTTTACTTGCAGTATACATAAAACATTTTCACTATATCTTTTTTTTTTTTTTTTTTTTTTTTTGAGACCAAGTCTCGCTCTGTCGCCCAGGCTGGAGTGCAGTGGTGTGATCTTGGCTCATTGCAACCTCCACCTCCTGGGTTCAAGCTATTCTCCTGCCTCAGCCTCCCAAGTAGCTGGGATTACAGGTGCCCACCACCAAACCCAGCTAATTTTTGTATTTTTAGTAGAGACGGGGTTTCACCATGTTGGCCAGGCTGGTCTCAAACTCCTGACCTCAGGTGATCCACCCGCCTCAACCTCCTGAAGTGCTGGGAGCCACCGCATCCAGCCTAGAAATTCTTTCAAAGCAGCCCACTCAGTGACTGTAATATGTGAGAACCAGCTTGAGGTTCAGTCGTAATCATTATGAAGATTAATTTTATAGTTATTTATATTATTGTATCATATACTCAGTGTTCTCAGTCTAGTATTGTTTGTGCTATGTAGTTAGGTAGTTTGGGTAGCTCTATTTGTTTTCTTTTTCCTTATTTTTTAGGGTTACTGGTATATGCTTTTAGAAGAATTGTATCAATACTACCGAACTTTTGTTCCCATACTAGTTTGGTTTCACTACCTTATAAGCTATGGGGAGTTTGGTAATGTAACTAGACGGAGTCTTAGGATATTGCTGGCTTTACTTTACCTCGTACTAAAAGTAGGTAACATTACAAATCTTGTCACTGCATGATTCATATTAATGATTACTGATACATACTACTATTTTCCTCTTTCACAGTTTTATAGTTTATCTTTGTATCACTAGTTTGAAGTAATAGCAGGTTCTATATTTATTTAGAAATAGAGAAACAGAAATAGACTATCTTAATCCAGCGGTTTCAGTTTTCATTGGAGGGAAGGGGAGTAGACCTTCACATAGCATGGATTATCTAAGTAGGGAAAACAACTGGAATAGAACATACCCATCCTCAATAGTAACACTGTCATATACATAATTCTTAAACTAGTAGAGTATCTTGTCCTGTTCTCTCCATGCCTGCGCCCCTCAACCTAATAATCACTTTATGAAACTTTAAAATGTAAATGTTAAAAACGTGTGAATCAGATAAAATTGCTTTGACTTTGACATAGTTACATTTGTATTTGTCTTGATCAAATTGTTACTCTAGGCATTTAAATGTACTTCAGCCTGATTGAGATGGCTCAAATCTATAAATTGAATAAAATATTCAGCACAAAATGATTAGTTGTGACATATAATGAGCATTAAGTTAATATAAGGATTTGATGTTATGGGATTTCAGCTTTGGTTTTTGGGTTTAGCAGATAGGACTGTTTGAATTAATAAATGATCTCTTATTTCCCTTTTCAGCTTTTGGAATTTTTTGGGCATCTGAGAACTTTCAGACAGGTTTTACGAATATTTTTTACATGACCAGTTAAGTACTTTTTATCAGGTAAGAAAAACACCTTCACCTTTCTTCATTGCAAAAAGTTTTTTAGTTCAGCAGTTTTACAAGAATGGATTTCATAAATAGATGATCCTTTTCTTTTACTTTGACTGTTTTCTAGTACTTTGGCACTTGGGGCTATAATAATTTAGGAGTTTTATCTCTATGATCAGATTCTTGAATCACACATTGACAACCACCTGCTAATTGTTGCAGTACTTATATATTTGAACTTGTTTCTTGCCCCTTCAATCCATTTGACATTTTTAAGGACTTATAAACCCTTAAAAATCTTATGAACTTTTGTTCCTCTTTTTTAATTCACAAATGGGGCTTTGTGTGTTCCTATTAACTCCTTATTCACCTGTGAAAATCCTTCCACTGTAATTTATTTTGTATGTTTAGAAAGCTCATTGCCAAAAATCATGTCTCTTGAAGTTTTCTTACTGGAGCAAATTTCCCCATTGCTCGATTTTATGTGCACAAGTAAGTTCATGGCATGAAATTTAACAATTAATTGAGACTGTGGTGTCATTTATAACATTATTATGTGATTCTATTGATGTTGCAAATTGCAGTGAAAGGATGTCATAGAGAACCCTAATTTACTATTTAGTAGCCTGAAAGGTTCCCAGTACCTACGTGTGGTCACCAGATTTCGGGGTTTGATTCTCAACTTTGCAGTCATTTCATCAGGGCTCAAGGAGACTGACTTAAAAGAATGCCAACCGAATAATATAAAATAAAAATAAAAAAAGGATTATGTCTACAAAGTAAACCAGACTAACCAGCCAGGGCATCTTTTCCCTAAGATAGAGTTAGCAATGTAGAAACAAACTTTGCTACATCCTATGCAAGCTTCTTTCACTAGACAAGACATAATAAAATTCTGAGAGTTCAGCTTTGTCCAAGTCAATTCAACTGATGATTATGTGAGCATCAACCATTTTACTATAATTGGTCTTGTAAGATTTGTGCCAAAATACTCTCAAGAAAATACCCTGATATTCTTTCTCTGAGACAAACTATAGAGAGGATATCAGTCATCAATACTTTGACTTGTTCAAGTCTCCTTTACCAGGGAAATGGCAGTTACTCTCTGGAGAGGGAGTCTCCAAGATGCCAGATGAGTAATGTCTTAAAAGCTTGTCAGCATAATTATCTGCAAATGTACTTTGCTAAATGACACCTTACTGAAGGGAAATTGACACCAAGATCATCTAACAGTATCCTGACTTGTTTCTGAAATCTTTATCACCAGTCTCAAAAAACCTTAATTTTTAATATCTTTATCCTTTGAGTTTTACTTTGATTTTGATGTTGTTAGCCTGAGACGTTTTAGTACAAGAAGTTTAGATAACTCTTTACCCTCATGACCGTGACTGAACTTGGGTGTTCTTACATCTCTTTAGTTGCCTCTTCCCCATCATTTCTACAGAAAGAAGGTTTCATTTGTAACATTTTGATTTCTCCAAATTTCACTGAGGGTTATTAACATCACATCTAGTTAATGATTAAGTTCTGAATCTGGTGAGGAAGTTAAAATCTTAGAGACCAGAAACTTGTTATTAGGACATTCGAAGAGAAGAAAATTCAAATAATTGCATTTTTGTTCAGTTCGTTTTGACAGTAGTTATTCTACCCAAGCGATATTTACAATTGCAGTTTCTCTGTAACACTTTATCATTCATTTTTAGCACTAAATGCTTTTTATAATTTGGAATAATAATTTTTAGACCTAGTGGCAGAACACTCTTCAGTGGTCCCTAAGTCTTCTTCATATTGCACTCACTTGGAGACCTTTCAAATAATAGATTACTGGGTCACATCCCAGTATGTCTGGTCCTACAGAATCAATATTGTGTGGAACAGAGAAATCTATTTTTAAAGCAAGCTTTCCACATGAGTTACATTCAGCCAGCCAAGCTCTGGCTGGATCGACTTTATGAACCACTGCTGTAGGTAATAAGTTAGCTCAATTTGGCAGTCCTGGGTCAAATAATACATGGCTATAGATTTTATAATAGTTACATTTCAGACTGCTTAGTCTCTTAAGCCAGTTATGTTGAATTTGAAGCACTATCATCCTTTGTAAAGCTAGTAGATCTAACAATCTTCCAAAATCCTGTGATGTATTATTTAATGATTTCATCTTGGTGCACTCGAGAGGTGGTTCTGTATATGTGGTTCAGCTTTGAAATGTTTGTATCCTTTGGGAAGGTTTTTAAATGCCTGGTTCCAGGGAGATTGGAGAAGTACGGTATCACTTATGTAATTAGAGGAATAGGAAAGAAAGAAATTTGTAGATTAACAGAACTTACTATCTTCATAGAGTTATGGAGTGGCTGCCAGCAAGAGACAGTGTTCAGATGTGGATGGTACTTGTTCAATATGTCAAGCTGAATTTCAGAAGCCAATTCTTCTCATCTGTCAGGTAATTATATTTTTAAATTTAAAAACCTAAATGCAACACTTCTCTGTGACTTGCAAAAGTCACATTTATGTTTGTTGTAAGGCAAAAAAAAAAAAAAAAGTCTAGTGTTTAGTGTAAGGTAGCATTCAGGGTACATACTAGTAATTTATTCATGATCAGGGGATTGGTGGATTGGCTAAGTTTTGTCCCTTATGTTCTGATGATTTTTATGCAGAGGAGTATATGAATGGGGAAAAAATAATTCAACTGGCAGATTGAATACCAAAGTGATTAAAAAACAGGCAATTTTTATAATTGGATACTAGTCATTTAGAACAATACTGACATTTGTTACTGGATTGTGGCCCTTTCCTATACTTTATGGCAGTTACTAGTAACTCAAAGACTTTAAGCTGTTATCATACTTAATCTTAAAGGTGTCACCTAAGGATCGCTTTTATGGTTAAATGGATGGTACAGTCAGAACACTAGTGGCTCTACCAATCATACTGCTCTTTGTCTTCTTGAATGTCTCATACGTTCTCCATTTTCACAATTGTAAAATGAGGGGATTAGTGCTCTTCAAAATCCCTTTCAGGCCGGATGCAGTGGCTCACGCCTGTAATCCCAGCACTTTGGGAGGCTGAGGTGGGTGCATCACCTGAGGTCGGGAGTTCAAGACCAGCCTGACCAACACGGTGAAACCCTGTCTCTACTAAAAATACAAAAACTAGCTGGGCATGGTAGTGGCAGTCACCTGTAACCCCGGCAACTTGGGAGGCTTAGGCAGGAGAATCGCTTGAACCCCGGGGGGCGGAGGTTGCAGTGAGTCGAGATGGCGCCATTGCACTCCGGCCTGGGTGGACAGAGCAAGTCTTCAGTCTCCATCTCAAAAAAAAAAAAAAAAAATCCCTTTCATTCCCTACAGTGTGATGGACTTAAAATGATTATCAAGTATAAAATTTAATTCTTAATTCCATTACAGCATATATATATGCATATACATAGCATATATATAATTATATATGTGTATATATATATATATATGTATAATTTTTTTTTTTTTTTTTTGAGACGGAGCCTTGCTCTGTCGCCCAGGCTGGAGTGCAGTGGCGCAATCTCGGCTCACTGCAAGCTCTGCCTCCCGGGTTCATGCCATTCTCCTGCCTCAGCCTCCCAAGTAGCTGGGACCACAGGCGCCCGCCACCATGCCCAGCTAATGTTTCTTTGCATTTTTAGTAGAGATGGGGTTTCACTGTGTTAGCCAGGATGGTCTCGATCTCCTGACCTCGTGATCCACCTGCCTCGGCCTCTCAAAGTGCTGGGATTACAGGCGTGAGCTACCGTGCCCGGCTTTTTTTTTTTTTTTTTTTTTTTTTTTTTTTGAGATGGGGTCTTGCTCTGTGCCCAGGCTGGAGTGCAGTGGCGTGATCTCGGCTCACTGCAAGCTCCGCCTCCTGGGTTCACGCCATTCTCCTACCTCAGCCTCCCGAGTAGCTTGGACTACAGGCGCCCACCACCACGCCCAGCTAATTTTTTTGTAGTTTTAGTAGAGACGGGGTTTCACCACGTTAGCCAGGATGGTCTCGATTTCCTGACCTCGTGATCCGCCCGCCTCCGCCTCCCAAAGTGCTGGGATTACAGGCGTGAGCCACCGCGCCCAGCCCATTACAGCATATATTTTGTGAAGAGTGCATTACCTTATGGTTTAACAGAGAGAAAACATGTCCACTCTGCAGAGCTGTGATTTCAGACCATATAAACAAATGGAAAGATGGAGCCACTTCATCACACCTTCAAAATTATTAAGTTGTATAAACTATTAAGGCCACAAAATACTAATGTCATTTGGTCATAATGACTACCGATAAGGCATCAGAATGGATTTTCGGGGCTACCAGAAAAATGTTTCCAGATGGTTTTAGAATGTAAGACTTAACGGTCCAATTCACCAAAAGATTAAATGAAACCACCCTGTGTTTTAAAATATATATAATGTTCAACCTAATGTATATGCAACATTCTATTCTAATTATTTGACAGGTAACTGCAGTGTTAAATTGTAAATGTGTTTTCTTAATATTACCAAAACAGCAATTTGAAACTAGAACTAGTGGTTTTAGAGAACTCAGGTATTCTTTCCAGCATTGTTTTCAGAATAAAGAATATTTTTCATAATATTTTAAGATACATACTATCTAAAAGTAGAATTCTGCTTTCAGCATTGACTTTTTAATTCCCATCCTAAAAATTCTTAATATTTTCATAAAATTTGTATTTTTAAATGAAAGTTCTAAATGTTATATTTTATCAGTAACAGATTTTCTAAGTGAAGATTAATTTACCGAGGATGATACATTTTAATATTGTATTATTCTCTGTAGTATGACTAGTAATCAGTGAAAATAAATGATTTAAATTCATTTTGTCTGTGGACCTCATAAATTCTTCCTGCCATCAGCTTTAATGTTCATGATCATGCTTTTTGTGTAGTACCATGGAGTATCTTGAGGTAACTATTAAAATAATTCATGTGGATTATAAACAGCTGGCTTACTTGATGATTTGAGTAGTACAGAAAACAAGACAAATGGCCAGGCATGGTGGCGCATGCCTGTAATCCCAGAACTTTGGGAGGCAGAGGCAGGAGGACTGCTTGAGCCCAGGAGTTCAAGACCAGCCTGGGCAACATCCTATCTCTATATAAAAAAAAATTAAAAAGTTTCAAGACAGATGCCCTAAAATCTTAGAAAAGAATTGCCCTTATAGTCTTCTCCATAAAAGTTTTGGAATGTTATGCTTGACTCACCATCAATTGGAAGATTAAAGCTTGCACTGAGAGGTGGTCATGAGGTTTTGATAGTGTGGTTTTTCGCCTCTAGGTATTTGTGCAGGGTGCTAGAAAAGGGAATGAAGCACTTTTCTCCCCGTGTTACCTCTAAGGAGGAATCTGAAATCTAAAACATGTCTGAAGGGCTGCTACTGGTTATATCTAAGTTTAGAGTGCATCTATCAGTTTGTAGTCGAGGAAAAGGTGGTAGAAAGGAGAACTTAGGAAGCAGAGGTAGAAAACAGATTTGCTGTACTGATAAGACAAAAGCTAAACCAGCACATGGATTAATAAGGATACTGACCAACTGGCTATAGAAGGCACTTTCATGACTGTATGGCCATCCAAATTGACAAGCGACCATTAGGAAGCCTGTACCTTTTTTTCTCCAGGTAAATACTACCAGGTTCTAAGTACAATTATATTCAATTACAGTATATTTCACTCTATTATCTACTTTGAGACCCACTACAAATATTATTTAAATGGCTTCGTGGTGATGCTAATAGTTGTATTATTTAGGTATACAGCAGAGGATGGGTGAGAAAAGCAGTTTGGGATTACAATTCGGCTGTGAAGGATAGCCAAGATGACTTCCTGTTCAAACACAAGAATAGCATTTTACTTCAGCCCTATTACAATACCTATTTAATACATTTGCTTACCCTGTAACTATTCAGACAGCACTGTTTCTTAATGTGATTAAAGAACCAAGGAGGTGCATGGTGGGGTTTTTTTGGAATGCAGTTTACCTATAAATTGAAAAGGGAGAAAATCTAATGGAGCTATGCCATCCAATAACAATGCTGATGAACTGGAAGTATTTCTTCCATCCCGCTATTCCTTCACCTCAAAAAAAGGTAATATAGATTCAGAAACCCATTTACTCTGTGAATTCAGATCATGACTTCTAAAAGATTGTTTTACCAGTATTGATACGCTACTATGTTGTATAGCAAGGTAAAGTCAGTTTGAGAGCTTCTGTAGAGAAATCCCCTTGCTAAGTGTGATATAATTACCTCACAGGTAAGAAGTGGTTCATGCAAAATACCCAGCTCACACTAGATATATTGAGACATGAGTTAAAACAGATTAGTTCACTACGTTATTTTGTGCATACATACCAAATTATCAAATGTAGCTGACCAAGTGTGGCTGAACAAATTGTTGATTGTTAGCACAAGAAGGTCTTCCTAGAGTTTTTTATGAGGCTAGTTTTCACATAGGTTGTTACATGTATTTTTTTAAGTAAATAATTCATGTCTACTACGTGACTATAAGTTGAAAAACAAAGATGTGTAACATCTAACATAAAAATCAATACTAAAACTTGTTATATACTTAAATAGCTTCAATTTCTCAGCAGAACAGCTTTTAACCCATTCCTTACACACAGTTTATTTATATGACAACTTGAACACATCTGACATGTTAATGAAAATAAATTATTTAAACCATTTATACACCTGATATGTATACTAATTTCTTCCTATCAGGATAATAAAAAAAATCACTTCTATTTTATGTTCATTCAAATTTGCATTTAATTTCTATTTACATTCATTCAATCCAAAATCAAATAATACAGTAAACTAAATACAAGATGAAAAGCAGAAAAGCACAGCACTCCTGATAACGCAGCTGAATAGTTTTATTTACTGATAGATGCAAAGCCAACTTGGGATAGGAGAAACAATAATTTAAAGCGCAAACACAAACATACACGAACCCATCTTTCAGATGTTATTCCAGATAATCCACTGAGATAATACTTGTGCTATAATGTTAAGAATCACACAAGAAAAAGTACTGTATTAATCAACAACAGACCACAGGTTATGTGTGACAAATACTTTTATGATAGTTTGTCCAGCTTGCTAGTGTCTACTCCTATGAAAAAAGGTAGATGTTTGGACATTGATGTTTTTGAGAAATTAACCATTTTCAAAGCCTCAAAATCTATTCTTCATAAATTCAACATTTCTCATGGGAATAATCTTAGATCTAGCTCTTCTTGTAAACTAGGAACCATATGATTAACTGAATATTCAAAACAGGTCCTATATCAAATATATAATCCAAGGCTCAATATATTAATGCTATCTAAAATGCATCTTGTTTATAATCACTTATTACCTATAGTAAAGAATGTTGACATTTTGGAGTATCATACATGCATCCTCCACCCCTCCCCTCAAATTATCTTCTATCTCAAAAAATAGTATGGAAAAATCCTTCTTGAAGGATTCAAATTAGTTAAGACCATAAAAGGGGAAAAAGAACATAATTTTCCTAAAAATCTGGTTCAAAGTTCAATAATTAATACTTTACATTGTTAATCACAGCTGGTTTATAAGTCCCAGTTTAGTTATTCTGTAATGCTACAAACCTTATAAAATCAAATTAGTAAACTTCAATTCAGTGATTATATTTTACTTAAAAAACAGCATGTATAAAATAAAAAAAATCCTGTAATAGCTGATTTTAAAGAAAGTAAGTGATGAAAAAGAAAGCACTTAAACTCTTTTATACACTTAGTATAATCATAAAGAACCCTCTTAGAAACTGAAGACTGGTAATA
This sequence comes from Homo sapiens, assembly GCF_000001405.40. Taxonomy (NCBI): domain Eukaryota; kingdom Metazoa; phylum Chordata; class Mammalia; order Primates; family Hominidae; genus Homo; species Homo sapiens. The sequence goes on along the minus strand of NC_000017.11, from coordinate 20,739,668 downwards.
TTGACTTCATATTTTAAACTATGCTTGGATTTTTACAAATAAAGATAGATAAGGCATATTGCACGGGTGTGTGCTTTCTGTGACACTAATGTGACACTTGACACGTTTTCACAGTCATAGTAGGGATATCCATTTATGAAACAAGTTCTCAATAAACTTTCCACAGCATGGGAAATTAATTTCACTTAATAAATGTGAAGTCAGAAAAACTATGTATTTGTGTGGATGGTAGCTGTGCAATTAATGCTTTTTATGCAGAAAAGTTGCAGCGTTTGCCACTATTGCTGGCACTACTAATTATCAAAATGGTTTAACTGGGGTGGTTATAGCCAGCCAATCACAGTGCTCATGTTACTAGCAAATAGGACCTAGGAGGAATATTTTGGTGTATAAGTTTCACTGGAATTTGGTCAGGCAGTCAACACTACAGTTAGTAAACATATTTGAAAACAAGTATCAAGAGTATCACAAGCCATTTACAGTCTGAAATAATGCCTGTACACGTCACCATAGCTTTTCAGGTTCTGTTTTTTCAGACATCACAAATTGTCAGAGAACAAGGATCTACACTTTAAGTATAATTTCTGCCCTTAATTATTATTGTAGCTTCTAAGTTACCAGCAACAGTCATAAAGTTCTCAGTAGGCTGCTGCAATAAGGGAGGAGGGGGAAGAGGGAGTGATTTTTTTTAAAAGGCTTTCTGTCCAAAGATGAACTTTTATCGATTCTTTCAATTATTGCCACAATTGAAAAGGTATATTTCCAATCATTTTTCATGGTTCTGTTTTTGCTTACTGTCATAGGATTTCATCCCATCTCATTTGAGTTGCAATTTCAAAAAGCAAAGCCTTGCTCTTTTCTGACTGAATTCATCATGCATAAAGAATTTTATGGCTTGGATCCTATGGCTCAAAAAGGATCTATTTGAAAAAATCCTAGGGTTGCAAAATATTACAGATTGACTGCATGCTCAGACTGAAGACATTATAAAAGACAAACAAAAAGAGGTGGTAAAACTCAACTGCAACTGCATGATCATCTGTTATACCAGTATGCACTGAAATATATTTTTACAAAGCTCTGCAGATATTAAACCCTTTCACTAGCTAAAGTCATGGAAATGCTCTCTTTAAGGCAGGAAATATTTAAGGAAGGTAAAGTTACCTTTACTTTTATTCTTTGTACCTGTAAATCATTTATGTAGATTTGGTTATAATTTCAAAAACATAGTGTCCTGTTAACATGTTTCCTAAATGAAGCCACTAAGTTTTCTTATTTACTGTGGAAGACATTCATCAAAAGGCCATCAAATATTTTTACAATAAAAAAATGTAGCCCCAGTATAGGAGAAAAAAAAATAGACCTTTTTTTCTTTTTAAAACTGTTGAGGAGAAAAATATAAGGAAGGTAGACAGTAGAAACAGTAGAAAGAAATAAAACTGAAAATCTTACCAATTTGCTGTGAAGAGATTAGACAGAGAGTGGGCCACAGCAACACCCTCTTCCCCTGGATATCCCTATCTCTCTCACCTTGCCGACCGCAGTATGTATTTTTTATCCTGACTCTCTTCTGTTGTTCTTCAGCCATGGGCTGAACACATTTGGCGTCTTGAACCAAATACTGGTGTAAGAACAGGTGGCGATTTTTTTTCCAGTGCAATGCAGGCCCGGGACAATGATGAAATGTAGGACATACAACTTATGCCCATTCCAAGGCTTCCAGTTAAGCTTAGCACATAGCAGTACTGCAAGTAGAAATGATTAAATAGATTCTTTTTTTTTCTCATATTACAGACGAGTATTGCAGCTGGGTTACTGAAAATAAACCCCAGGTCCACCCCAGTCCCTCGAACGAGCCACAGATGTGGTTAACAATGATTCATTTGCATTTTATTATTTCACCAAGAGAAGAAACGGAAGTTGTTTGGCTTTCTTCACACCAACTAATAATTTCGCATTTTAAAGTTTGGGATGTTTTTCATAATGAGCTGAATCAAAAATCTACTTGAAAAATATATATTTATATAAAAAAAGATTCAGGTTATGTTCACGTAAAACATCAATTGGTAAGTTTCTTTTGTCTTTGATTCCATGTTGCTGGAAAAAGTTTGACCAAGCTTGCATGCTAATTTGTCCTTAGTTGCAAGTATTATAGGCAATTTTGTACTTTGCCTAATGAAAGGATAACCCTTCTTCGACACAGTTAGAACTCAACAGTGATTCAGAAGCAACATCCTACCCTTAATACTGTCAGTTTCGAGTCATCAACATGAAAATCCTTGATAAGGTTGAGAAGATGTCACGAGGAAACAATTAATTGATGTGCCTGAGTGTTCAGCAGTACTATTTTGCTTTAAGTTTTTTTGCACGATTGATTGATTTTTTTAAAATCCATGTTTATTTTTCCTCTGTCCAAAGTGTTCTATGTAATGACACTGACTCTCTGAAATTGTCACTTTGAGTCTTGTTTCACCCTGTAGGATGCTCACACATCGGCCTCTCCACCTTTTTTGCCTTAAATTCATTAAAAGCATTGCTGTGGCATAGATTCATACGCAGGTGCTCTGGCCGTTTGGAGATCATGGGAAAAGCTTGTTTTTTGTATGGCCCAGAGTTCGGCTGTCGTATTGGAAGTGGTGCCAATGCTTCCCCACTCGTTGTCACATCCATCTGCTCTGTGCCACTTGTTTCCATTGGGTATTCCACAGGTGTCTGAGGATTTGCTGTGCTGGCCGAAGCGCCTCTTCCCCAGAAATCCCCAGGAGAAAATTGGGCTTTAAGACAAGGAAGAGCTGTCATTCATTTGTTTAAGGGTCATCTCAACAGACATATTTCCTTTACATTTAAAGGGAGTGGCGTAATATGACATTTATTTTCATTTAATTTTATTTTCATGTGGATTAGCACAAAGGCAAAAGTTGAACCATCTCTCCCCCGCCTATATTAACTGCTAGAATTTCCTAACTGGTCTCTTTACCTCTACACCTGACCCCCAAAACCCTCAATGAGATATATATATATTTAAATACATAGTATATATATCATTTTACTCTCCCCTGCTCAAAACAGCTTTCTATTGCATTTAAAATAAAATACTTTTCCAAACCTCTGCCCGTCTCTTCACTCACCACACACTCCAGGAACATTGATCTCCCTTTCATTTCCAGGAAAAGGCAACTTTTCTCCTCCCTCAGGGCTTTTGCATTTGCTGTTCTTCTGCCTGTAACATTCTTATACCTCCTATTTTTGTAGGGCTGGCTCTTTCTGTTCACTGCTAGATGTTACTACACCAGGGAGGCCTTTCTCTGACCACTGTGAGTAGAAGCCCCCTTGTTTTTCCTCTGCTCTCTACCACTACATTCTTTCTTTCCCCTTTTAAATCATAGCACTTAGCACTACTTGTAATTGTATTTTTGTATATCCTTTGTCTATTGTGACTCTCCCCCTAAATTGTAAGCTTCATCAGGACAGGGACAATTCCTGTATTATAGTACTATATATATACACACTCATATATATACACACATACATAACATGCAGCATGTAGTGCTGGTGCTCTTGGTACACAATAAATGCTGAGTGAATGGATAAAGAAGACATCTGCCAGTGTGGCTGCTTACTTTCAGGAGGGAAGGTAAACCATATAACATCATAGATTAGTCAGACTAGTCCTTTGCAATGTAAGATATAGATGCTGTGCTTATGTCAACCAAAGAGAATATGACAGTCTTTCATTTATGTAACTTGGCATAAATTTCTTAAGTAAACACTCTTGTAGGTTGTAAAAAAAAAAAAAAAGTGAAAATAAGAGTGTGACATACCTGACAGGTGTTCGTGGGCTGCCAATAAATCTTCGAGGTGATCGGATTTTTGGTTCAAAGGAAAACTTTTCTTTCACACTTCAAGTACAGATGGAGCCACATAAGTAAAACCCTGAAAGACAGTAACAGTGGACTACAGAATGGCATTTTGTCATATATCTCAAGAAAATGGGGTTGTTCAGTCTGACATACCTACACAGCGATGCACACCTAAAACCACCAATGTGTACAGTCTCCCACGTCCTCAACCTCATTTTTAGACCTGTTAACTTCTTTCCAGCCATTTCGTGAGGCACACACTTCAAGAAAGCAGAATTCTATTGAGCTTGATATGCTAGCAAACAAAATTCCACCCTACTGACAGGAATCGAAAAAAAGGAAAATTCAGGCTCCATATGAAGATGTTAAATACGGCCAGGCACGGTGGCTCACGCCTGTCATCCCAGCACTTTGAGAGGCCAAGGCGGGCAGACCACCTGAGGTCAGGAGTTCAAGACCAGCCTGGCCAATGTGGTGAAACACCATCTCTACTAAGAATACAAAAATTAGCCGTGCATGGTGGTGCACGCCTGTAATCCCAGCTACTCGGGGGGCTGAGGCAGGGCAATCACTTGAACCTGGGAGGCAGAGGTTGCAGTGAGCAGAGATCGCACCACTGCATTCTAGCCTGCACAACAGAGCAAGACTTCACCTCAAAAATTAAAAAAAAAAAAGATGTTAAATACTAGGAGAAATGTAAAGAAACTTCTAGTGTTTCTAGCCACAGGCATATAAGCAATTAAGTTTATCACCCCAAAACAGTTTCTCATAATTAGGTCAAAGTAAAAACAATTTTTTGATTTGGCATCAAAGTCAGATCTTGTGATCTTTCTGGTTTATGGCAATGATTGGACAGAACTTGTTTTTTGTTTTAAGAGATGGGGTATCCCTATATTGCCCAGGCTGGAGTGCAGTGGTGATATCATAGCTCACCACAGCCTCAAAGTCCTGGAGCCAAGCTATTCTCCTGCCTCAGCCCCTCAAGTAGCTGGGACTATACAGGCATGTGTGATCTCTGCCCAGCTAGAATTTGGTATTTTCTTGATGAATAAGTATCAACATTTCAAAAACCTTCGTTTGTAATAGGCAAAAATGCAGTTTTGTTCGTTTTAGTTCTCTCTTGGGCCTTACTATTAGGCTACCAGCTGTCATTTCTCTTACTGTCAATATTCATTCTTTTAACCATCTTCACCTATCCTCTCTTCTATTTATCAAAATCTATGAGTAAGCATTATGTGTTACAATAAATAAGACTCAACAAAGCTCTGGGTGAAGGCCCAAAGAGTGCAATTCTGAAGTGCATATGATTTGTGACAGTTATATGTGAACTTCAGAGAATAATTTTACAAACATTCTAGTGGACTAAAGCCGTAACTACCAAGAGGTACAGGCTGTGCCTTAATCATCTTTGAATTTCCTCTAATTCTGTGATGGGGTCTTACAACAGGAATTGAAATATTTGTTGAAATGAGGTTGCTAGAACCACATTATCCAGATAAGTGGGATGTCACTATATATACATATACATACGTATATATACGTATGTATATATATACACACACATATACACATACGTATATATACACACACATATATACACGTATGCATATATACACACATGTACGTATATATATACACACATATATACACGTACTTATATATACACACACATATACATACGTATATACACACACATATATACGTACGTATATATATACACACACATATATATACGTACGTATATATACACACATACATATATATGTACGTATACATATACACATATATACATACGTATATACACACACATATATACATATATACACACATATATATACATATATACACACACATATATACACACATATATATACATATATATATACACACACACATATATATATATATTTTTTTAGATGGAGTCTCGCTCTGTCGCCCAGGATGGAGTGCAGTGAATGGCACGATCTCGGCTCACTGCAACCTCCGCCTCCGAGGTTCAAGTGATTCTCCTGCCTCAGCCTCCCGAGTAGCTGGGACTACAGCCATCATGCCTGGCTAATTTTTGTATTTCTAGTAGAGATGGGGTTTCACCATATTGGCCAGGCTGTTCTGGAACTCTTGACCTTGTGATCCACCCACTTCTGCCTCCCAAAGTGCTGGGATTACAGGCGTGAGCCACTGCACCTGGCCTATTTTTTTACTAATGTTTAAAGAGACCCACTTTATGTACAGAATTCTGGCTACAACCTAACAAAAAAATTGCTCTGTTCATCAGTTACAGCCAATTTAAGTAATTATGAAGAGCTCAACAATACTTTAACTGGCAATGAAAGCTTCAATATCTCACTTTTACCACCACAACTTTGGATTTCTTGGTAGCTAAATAAAATGCTTCTATTTTGTGGGGGGAAAACTGTCACATAAGTTGAAATTTTGCAATGTTCAGTTGACGAAGAGGTCTCTATGTTAAATCAAAGGTATAAATTCCACATCAGTAGCACATGAGAGGAAAAAAAAGCCAAAATTAAAGTGATTCATGCTCATTTCCTTAACTGAACCTAAGATTTTACTAACAGAGATGTCATAACTTTGATCATGCACACATCAAACTTGAATTTAAAAACATGCATGCACTCACTCATCTTTTATCTCTTATGTAATTAATACTGTAAGATTATATTTTGCCTACATGCTCTATATTACTAATTTATAGGATTATTACTATTCAGTGTTGTTTACTCGAAACCATACTGTACTACACACTTTTGCATTCCATGCTAACTTTATTTTTTTAATTAATTTTTTAATTTGATACAGAGTCTCACTCACTCTATCGCCCAGGCTGGAGTGCAGTGGCACGATCTTGGCTCCTGCAACCTCTGCCTCCTGGGTTCAAGTCATTCTCCTGCCTCAGCCTCCCAAGTAGTTGGTACCACAGGTACATGCCACCACACCCGGCTGATTTTTGTATTTTTAGTAGAGAGGGGGTTTCACCATGTTGGCCAGGCTGGTCTCGAACTCCTGACCTCAGGGTTATAGGCGTGAGCCACCATGCCCCATGAGCTTATTATTAGAGCTTATTTCCCATCCCATAAGATACAACACTACTTGTGTTACATAGTGAGCAGTGTGGGGAAGAAAAGCTTGAGAATTAAGTTAGTGACAAATCCAGTGTACTCAAAAAGAGGGAAAAAAACACTCAGAAACAATTGCTTTCCCCATATTCTATTCTCCCTAGAGGTAGTCCAAAAAGGAATGACAAAAGAAAAAAAAGGATACAAAATGAGATACATGTTCATGTGACATATAAGTACAGTAATAAAATAACCATATATGATATTTAAGCAAAATAATATGCATTGATGGTCATCTGATATAAATCCATCATTTCTGTTGGCCAATATCTAAAACCTTTACTTTTCTGAAGAGACAAGCTATAAATCTATACAGATATTTCTACAATGAGAATTCACTATTACATATGATCCAATATATTTTGATGTCAAATATTCACAATTAATGTTAAAAAATCCCCTACTTGGCCAGGCGCGGTGGCTCATGCCTGTAATCCCAGCACTTTGGGAGGCCAAGGCGGGTGGATCACGAGGTCAAGAAATCGAGACCATCCTGGCCAACATGGTGAAACCCTGTCTCTACTAAAAATACAAAAATTAACTGGGAGTGGTGGTGCGTGCCTGTAGTAGGCTGACGCAGGACAATCACTTGAACACAGGAGGCAGAGTTTGCAGTGAGCTGCGATCGCACCACTGCACTCCAGCCTGACGACAGAGCGAGACTCCGACTCAAAAAAAAAAAAACCCTACTTATGTTAAGAGTACCAAAAATAGGGCCAGGAATGATGGCTCAGGCCTATAATTTTGGCACTTTGGGAAGCCAAGGTGGGAAGACAGCTTGAGTCCAGGAGTAAAACAGACTCTGTCTCTACAAAAAAATTAAAAATTAGCTGGATGTGGCACACACCTGTAGTCCAGGTACTCATGAGGCTGAAATGGGTGGATCACTTGAGCCTGGGAGGTCAAAGCTGCAGTGAACTGTGATCGCACCACTGCACCCTACACCCAGCCTGGGCAAGGTGAGACCCTGTCTCAGAAAAAAAAAAAAAGGTACCAAAAATCTATAGCTGTTTCAGGAATAAAATACATGTAGTTAGTGAGGTTTTTCTCCCCCACTGCTATGACTTAATTTTTGGTTGAGATGCTAAGCCAAACATCATTTTAAGTCTGTGGCCCAACCGAAAAAGGGAATCATACTCTCCAAAGAATTGTACATTCCCACTCTAATTGCTAAAATAAAATGTTGGATTACGAAAATCAATTTTGTAGGTATCAATAAGTTATAAGAGCATGGCTTATTAAAAAAAAAAAGCGGGCGAGGTTACCTACATGAACTGCAAAGCAAGCAAACTGAATTTTCTTCTCGAAGAGCCCATCCTCATACTTAAAATTTCCCACAACTATATGGAAATTCTTTCACTTACCAGAAAGACCTGATGGGCACTTTCACTGAGAGTTGAGTCATCTGGGCTGTCGACAGGTGTCTGACGTGTAAACTTGGAATCAAACTGACTTACATCCTCTTCAGATTGCTTTATACAAACAAAATAATTTAGAAAATAATGAATAGTCCATATTACATCAATCAAATGCACTGTAAGCTCTGGGAGCTCTTTTCGCAGGGGTTAACTATAATAAAGTATTAGAATAGTCTTAGCAGGCACAGAATGAAGAAAAAAATGCAGGTGGAAAGTACTGAGTCAAATTACATCTTCAAATCTTAAACATGCATTAAAATAGATTTTAGTATACTGTTATTCCTATTAAAAATGTGAATATATCAACTGGGCATGGTGGCTCATGCCTGTAATCCCAGCACTTTGGGAGGCTGACGCGGGCAGATCATGAGGTAGGAGTTCGAGACCAGCCTGGTCAATATAGTGAAACCCCGTCTCTACAAAAAATACAAAATATTAGCCAGGCGTGGTGGTGGGCACCTGTAATCCTAACTACTTGGGAGGCTAAAGCAGGAGAATTGCTTGAACCCGGGAGGAAGAGGTTGCCGCAAACACAGATTGTGCCACTGCACACCAGCCCAGGTGACAGCGCGAGAGTCTGTCTGAATAAAAAAAAACAACAAAACAAAACAAAACAAAAAAAGTGAATACATTGAGCTCAAAACAAGTTGGAAAAAATGTGAATATCAATTTCCTCTCTCACAAAGCTTCAGTGTGCTTAGTACACTGGCTAAATCCCTGTTTAGAGATAATTAGTTCAGTTGGCTACTGCAGGTTTGTAACAAACCTGAAAAACTACTGAAGCAGAGTTAAAACATGAATAATACTGGTAAGATGCTCCAGTTAAAGTTTCTTCCCACAGCTTATTTCATTCCTTTAGAAATCTAAAGGAGCAAAAATAATTTTCTATTCTGCATGGGTTATAAGTTATATTCCCTTGTGAAAGTATAGTTATCACTTCAGTTCTAACCATGAGATTGATTTATGTAATTCCTTGTCTCTTTCCCAAAATATCTGGTTAGACTCTTGGGCCAAATCTAGGAAGTAAATAATAATTTAGAATATCTGACTTAATACTAAAAGATGACCACATTGACCTGATAATTCTCTTAGAGCCCAGACTGTGAACTTGCACTCCCTGGAGGAATGGCTGATTCCAAATGTGGGGAAAATGTAAAAGATAAGCAGAGAACAGCAGTTTCCTTATTTTGCTCTCTTGTCCAACACCAGACAACGTGCTCGTCAAAAGGACTCAGAACCCAATATGAAGATGCACCCAGCATTCAACGAAGGGAAAAAATGAGCATCAATAAAAATAACGGCCAGGCACGGTGGCTCACGCCTATAATCCCAACACTTTGGGAGGCAGAGGCAGGTGGATTGCTTTTGAGCTCAGGATTTGAAGACCAGCCTGGTGAACATGGCAAAACCCTGTCTCTACCAGAAACACAAAAATTAGCTGGGCGTGGTGGTGTACCTGTGGTCCCAGCTACTCAAGAGGGTGAGGTGGGAGGACTGCTGGAGGCCGGGAAGTCAAGGCTGCAGTGGGCAGAGATTATACCACTGCACTACAGCTTGGGTGACAGAGTAAGACCCTGCCTCAAAACAATAAATGAATAAATAAAAATAAAAATAACTGCAATGAAATGAAACACAAATATGTTAAAACGTGTAAGTTCATAATATACTAAAGAAGAAAAAAACACATACACAAAGTTCATTGGTCAATTTTGGAAGATGCTAGGGAACTAATTCATTATTTTGAAAACTAGGAAAGAATCAAACATACATCCTGCCTTTCCTGTATGAACTATACCTTGTGTAACTAACTGTTCAAAGAGTTTCTCTTTATGAAAGAATTCCAGCTAACAAAGAAAGAAGAAATAACAGAATAAAACCATTTCACAAACACCTGATGAAATTATAAAAGTATGCCAGAGTTTCTCAACCTCAGGGCTACTGACATTTTAGGCCTATTAATACTTTGCTGTAGGGGGCTGTGCTGTGCTGACTCTTACCCCTGAAGGTACCTATAGCATTCCCTCCCCCAAGCTGTGACAATCAGTGTGTCTCCAGACATTGCCAAATTACCCTGGTAGTGAAATGCTGACACAGGCAATGATCAGTGACCACTAACATCACTAAACACACACACACACACACACACACACACACACACACAAACTACACATTATGCCTCCTGATCAAAGCATATGCAATACCGAGAGTTCAATCTGAATCAGATCAACCACCTAAATTTAACTACCAGTTTTTGGAAATTCAGGGAACAGATGAACATGGGCAATGACACCTATGGGGATAATATCAGCAAAATCAAAATTTGAGAATTCTACAGGACAAATGACCCAGTTTCTTCAATAAATCATTAGGGCAATCTATAAATGAAAAGAGACTTAAGAGACATAGTAATCAAACTATATACAGACCTTGATTAAATCCTTACAAACAGGAGAAAAAAAAAAAGAATGGAACAACAACAACAACAACAACAAAACTAGGTGGGGCAACACAGGGAGACCTCATCTCTAGAAAAATTCAAAAAATTAGCTGGGTGTGGTGATGCACCCCTGTGGTCCCAGCTATATGGGAGGATCCCTTGAGCCTGGGAGGTTGAGGCTGCCATGAGCCACTATCATGCCACTGCACTCCAGCCTGGGCAACACAGAAAGACCCTATCTCAAAAAAAAAAAAAAAAAAAAAAAAAACTGGGGAAACTGTCAACTTCTTAGGTGTGATGGTGGGATGGCAGTTATGTTTAAACAAGATGACCTAATCATTTTTAAGCTGTGCAGTAGGTGTATGACAGTCATCCTCCTTACAATTGTTTGTTGTTTTTTAAAGTGGGTCACATTATGCTCCATGACCAAAAAATAATCACTATCATCATCCTCCTCCTCCTCCACCTACATCCCAAGGAATGGAAAAAGAAACTGTTTTCTCAGATTCTGAAGTGGGAGAAAGACAATAACTAACACACTAACTCATTTACTCATAAACATATTGTTATGGATTGAATCGTGTGCCTTACCCACCCCCCAAAAAATTTAATATGTTGAAATTCTAACCTCTAGTTCCTCAGAATGTGACCTTATTTGGAAAGGGTTATTGCAGATGTAATCAGTGAAGATGAGGTCCTACTGGAGTAGAGAGGAACCCTAATCCAATATGCCTGGTATCCTTATAAAAAGGGGAAATTTGGCCACAGATACGCACACAGGTAGAACACCATGTGAACATGAAGGCAGAGATCCGGGTGATGCACCTACAAGCCAAAGAATGACAAAGATTACCAGCAAACCACCAGAAGCCAGGGGAGAGGCATGGAACATACAGTTTGTCACGGTTGTCAAAGAAACCAACTCTTAACAATGTGATCTAGAACTTCTAGTCTCCAAATCTATGAGATAATAAATTTCTGTTGTCTAAGCCACCTGGTTTGTGGTACTTTGTTGCAGCAAGCCTAGCAAACTAATGCACATATATTCTATATTTTGAAGAAAAAATTCCCAAAGAATCATATTTAAAATGGTTAAATTAAGCAAAATAAAACAAACCAAAAAAAGAAAGGTCCCAACTACCCGAAATATTTAATTGTCTTAGGTAACTGACTTAAAAATAGCTAATACAGTCAATTGCCACTGGCTTTAGTTCTTTAAAAGATAGTACAAAAATAAAAGATGCTTGGCTGGGTGCAGAAGCTCACACCTGTAATCCCAGCACTTTGAGAGGCTGAGGTGGGTGGATCACTTGAGCCCAGGAGTTCGAGACCAGCCTGGGCGACATGGTGAAACCGTTTCTACAAAAAAATACAAAAAAATTAGCCAGGCATGGTGACATGTGTCTGTAGTCGCAGCTGTTCAGGAAGCTGAGGTGGGAGAATCACCTGAGCCTGGGGAGGTCAAGGCTGCATTGAACTGTGATCGTGCTACTGCACTCCATCCTGGGTGACAGAGTGAGAGCCCGTCTCAAAATAAAATAAATAAATAATAAAAACAAAGATGCTGAAGAGAGGATAAACCAGAGATCTTTGAACTGCTAATAAAAATAACGTTTCTGTCTGCTCTGAGATTTTTCTTACTCTAAAAAAATCTCAAGCGATCTTCCTGCCTCAGCTTCGCAAGTAGCTGGGACTTACAGGCACATGCCACCATACCCAGCTGACTTTTAAATGTTTTGTAGAGATGGAGTCTTGTTATGTTGCCCATGCTGGTCTTGAACTCCTGGCTTCAAACAATCCTCCCACCTCGGCCCTTTAAAGTTTTGGGATTACAGGCGTGAGCCACTGCACCCAATTATAAGCTTTCATGTATACTTACCAACAGAGGTTTAAATGGGGGCTCCACCTTTCGAGCCAGAAGTTCTTCCCAGTTAATGTGTCTAAAGAATGGATGAGCCTAGGAAAAAAAAAGCAGAAAGAAAAGTTGAGGGGAATAGACTTTGCTGGATTGATAAATTAATCACCTTTTTGAAGTTACAAGTCACAAAATAAGCTAACTTATAAGCAACTACATATAACCCTCAGAAATACATAAAACTAGCATTATCTTCCCCACAAAACACCAAAGATGCCAATACCTACTTGAACATCTCCAGCATCCCCAGGACCAGCTCCCAGATGAGAAGCAGCATTTCTTTTCAGTAGCTTTAAAAAGGATAAAAAAGCCTGGATAAAGAACTTTAGTCAAACTGATTTTTTTCCTTTTTAGACTTTGCTTGTCTACTTTGCCTTGAGAAAATATAGTTTATTGGCTGGGCATGGTGGCTCATGCCTGTAATCCCAGCACTTTGGGAGGCTAAGGCAGGTGGTTCACCTGAGGTTGGGAATTCGAGACCAGCCTGGCCAACATGGTGAAACCCCTTCTCTACTAAAAATACAAAAAGTAGCCTGGCGTGGTGGCGCACGCCTGTAATCCCAGCTACTAGAGAGACTGAGGCAGGAGAATCACTTGAACCTGGGAGGCAGAGGTTGCAGTGAGCCAAGATCATGCCATTGCACTCCAGCCTGGAGGACAAAGCAAGACTCCATCTCAGAAAAAAGAGAAAAGAAAAAAATATATAGTTTACTAATTACTACTGAATAATTGTTTAAGGGTCTGTAATCCCAGCACTTTGAGAGGCCAAGGCAGGTGGATCACCTGAGGTCAGGTGTTCCAGACCAGCCTGACCAACGTGGTGAAACCCTGTCTCTATTAAAAATACAAAAAATAGCGGAGCATGGTGGCGGGCGCCTGTAATCCCAGCTATTCGAGAGGCTGAAGCAGGAGAATCGCTTGAACCTGGGGGACTGAGGATGCAGTGAGCCAAGATCGCACCACTGCACTCCAGCCTGGGTGACAGAGCGAGACTCTGTCTCAAAAAAAAGAATTAAAAAAAAAGAATATGAAAAGAAAGTCGTTAAACAAATCTGTACTTCGCCTTCAAAAATTGAAGACTTTTTTTTGTTCACTATATATTATTCAAAATATACATTAAATTCTATCTAGTTAAATCCTAGTCATTGAATCTTATACTGTCAGTGACCATTTAAGAACCTTACCTTTTTAAGCAGATCTCTGGCTTCTTGTGTGAGGTAGGGAGGCAAATTAGTTTACATTTGAGGATGTTGTCAATTGTTTTCTTTCTATTCTCCCCAGTAAATGGAGGCTAAGAGTAGAAGACAAGTGAAAAATATTAGCAGGAAGTGAAAAATATTAGTATATAAGAAACAAATTTTAAATAACCATATCCATTTCCTGAATTAGTTATGCATGGAGATCAGAAATGTATGCTGTGAAATGGGCTAACTGCTAAAGACCTTTATTTTGTTTTAGAGACAGGGTCTCTTGTCAAGGCTAGATTCTATTAATAATCCTTAGCCCAAATGATCCTCCCACCTCAGCCTCCTGAGTAGCTTGGGCTACAGGCATGCACCACTGTGCCTGGCAGACGTGCAGTTTTTAAGCAACAGGACAGAGGAAGTAGCAGTGTCCTGGAAGGAAGCCTGTGTTTCCACCATTAACTTGCTGTGTGATAATAAGTGAGCTATGTGATTTTATGCTTCAATTTCTGTATTTATAAAAATAAGAGCATTATCTGTTCAACATCTATTTCACAGGCCTGCCATGACACAGATCATTTCAACGAAAATGTTTCTCAAAGTATGGGATCCCATATAATCATACAGCATTATTAGTGTTAAACTGCTAATAACAAATCTTTGGGCTTTGAAAACTCCATTGGTAACATTTTCAGAAAGCACAGGACAGGTCTCTTGCTACAGTGACTCAGCATAGACCATAATACATGCAGCTTTTAACTGTGCACCTACTGCTCCAGTTGGCATGTCATACATTAATGCTCCCAAACTCCAACAATCCACAGCACAATTGTGGCCACTTCTCATCAAGATTTCAGGGGCCGTACAATGAGGAAAATAATATGCTTTAAAATGCCCCCATTGGCATATCATGTGAATTAGAATTTTAAAAACAATATACAGAGTCAATGAGGGTACAGAAAACAGATACTATTCCTTAAAACAGGTAAAATTAGCTATTACCTCCAAACCAATTATGTTTAACATGCAGCTCACATGTATTCTATTGTTCCACAAAATGTGTGTGTGACTGTTCCGTCATGAATGATTCTTTGCATAGTCCAAAGTCTGTTAGTTTCACATGACCTGCAATGAAAGATTACAGCATGATTATTCTCAGAATTCTAAGTATGTGCAGTGTTTGAACATGTCATATAACACCTTAATCTATCCTTCCATTTAACTTTTCTTGCCTCAAACTTTTCTTGCAGATGTCAAGAACAAGGTACCATCCATAAAATGGGATGCTAACTGTTTAAGGCTAGGGCAAAGTCACATTTGCCAAAGATACAATCTATCTGGTAAAGAGAAAATAAAGATAGAGAAAAAAGTGAAATAACCTGTTTAAGGCTCTAGCTTTAAGTATACACAGAATCCTCTACCATCCTGAAAAAGAAAAATCCTGGAAAAACTGTTTTATGGAGTCTAGTTTAAGTACACAGACCCTAATAAACATATTCTGTACCTTTTAAACAAAGGTGTGAGATAGTACTTCAAATATATAGCTTTTATCACAGTGAACTGTGAAGAGTTCTTAAAATGGTCTCAGAAAGTCACTATAACAAGGTAGCTCATTCTGCCCAATGCTACCAATTAGGGGAAAGAAAGAAAATTGCTAGATAGTATGAATCAATCATCGCTGATCCAGAAAGTAAAAAACTTACCACCTTATACAAAGATCATTTCAGTTCAAGTTTAGCTTTCTTTACTGGACTGTCATAACAAGTGGTTCAACAACCTCAGGGGCTCTAGTATTTGAGGTTCATTTCATAGAAAAGGCACAATGACCTATTGATTCAAATGTAAACATATACTACACTCTGATACAGAAGAAGTATGGCCTTTATTTTCACAGAACCATCTGATACACTCAACCTTATAAATGAAAGGAGAAGTCAACTATTCTATCACTCCCCTATTCTATCCTGTGACTTAGAATTCAGATCAGAACCAGGTTTTGGGGAGTGAGGAGGTGTTGATGAGAGGAAGGAAGAGACGCTGATTCCCATGATCTATTCAGTTAAGTATATCATTTCTCCTTAAAAAAAAAAAAGGTGGGTGGAGGAGTATAATCTGGAATGTTTATATGAGCCTTGGTTGTTCATACATCATTCTCTAAGAGTTTGAAACAATTAACTACCTCATGGATTGTTCTGTAGACATCTAAGGATTAGCAGCTGCTACCACCTTCTAGATACCCTGGGTCATCTGGTTGCTCCTTTGGGGTATGAGTGAATTGCCAAGTCTACCCACAGCCCAGATTAGCATAAATTGAGCTGTCTGTAGCAGCAGGCAGTTGTAGTCAAGGCTCACGGTGCTATATCTATAGTTGTATAGATTATCGGTCTCTCTGATGTTTATGTTTGTTGTTGCAAACAAACAGCAAGAATAAACTGATTCTGGCAGTGGGGGAGGTGGGTTATGCCTGTAATCCCAGCAATTTGGGAAGCCGAGGCAGGCAGATCAATTGAGCTCAGGAGTTTGAGACCACCCTGGGCAACATGATGAAACCCCATTTCTACAAAAAATACCAAAAATTAGCCAGGCGTGGTGGTGTGCCACAGTGGCCCCAGCTACTTGAGGGGCTGGGGTGGGAGGATCACTTGAGCCTGGGAGGCGGAGGTTGCAGTGAGCTGTAATCATGCCACTGTATCCCAGCCTGGGTGACAGAGTGAGATCCCCATCTCAAAAAAAAAAAAAAAAAAAAAGAGTAACCTGATGCCTATTAAACATCATATTCCCCAAGTTTTATCAAATACTTTGGTTCCATTTCAATCCTTTTTCCAGCATTAATAAAACCTACTGTAAGAAGCATAGCTTCTAATATTTACATATTTTCTTTTTCTTTTCTCTTTTTTTTTTGAGATGGAGTCTCGCTCTGTCGCCCAGGCTGGAGTGCAATGTCACGATATTGGCTCACTGCAACTTTCGCCTACTGGGTTCAGGCGATTCTCCCACCTCAGCCTCCTGAGTAGCTGGGATTACAGGCATCCACCATCATGCCCGGCAATTTTTTTTTTTTTTTTTTTTTGTAGAGATGGGGTTTCACCATGTTGGCCAGGTGTCTTGAACTCCTGACCTCAGGTGATCTGCCCGCCTCAGCCTCCTGAAGCGCTGGGATTACAGGTGTGAGCCACCGCACCCAGCCAATAATTACATATTTTCATTACTAAAACTCGACTTATATAATTAAGATTCACTTTTCAATTTAAGTAACAAGCCAAAATTAATGTTTAGACTGGCTTTTATAGTCTAAAACATTACACAACATTTTATGTAAGGATTCCAAAAACATGAAAAACTATAGAGTAAGGATTAAACTAAAAAAGGCAATTGAGCAACTATTATCCTCAACTTCTTTTACTCTCACCAAGTGTAATTACCTAAAGACTTAAAACATCAGCAAGTACTATGATGCCATAAATTCTGAGGGAGGAAATATACAAAATAGAGAGATGACTGTGGGGCTTTGAAAATGGCCATGACCTGTGTGGGAGGATTTTAAGATGATTATTTACTATAGAATTGTTTATGGTATGTCTCCACCTTGGTGATTAAGCATGATATTCTCCAGCTTCAAGTCTCTGTAGATGATCCCCTTTTGATGTAAATGCCCCAAAGCCATGGAGATTTCTGCCAAGTAAAAGCTGGAAACAGAAGTGATTTAATAGAATTAAAAAGAGTGTAATCTATCCAAAACAGTTTATGTATGGAGCAAAATTCCTTGAAAGAAACAGACATGCACCAAAGACCAAATTAGTGGGGTACAGGGATGTATGGGAAGAAGAGATGGCATAGGATGCTGCCAAAAGGCATGGGGACATTTATGTTTCACTCATTTTAGTGAAACTATAAAGTGCTTTATTTTGCCATTAGAACATACTGCTAAAATTGCAAAGATGTCCAGAATATGCTAAACTGCCATTGGTCATGTTT
This sequence comes from Homo sapiens, assembly GCF_000001405.40. NCBI lineage: Eukaryota > Metazoa > Chordata > Mammalia > Primates > Hominidae > Homo > Homo sapiens. Next base: position 20,721,745 of record NC_000017.11, on the reverse strand, counting down.
TGTTCTGTCTGTAGGAATTAAGCTAATAGTCATTCATTTCAAAACAAATTTCTCCCATCCACACTCAACTTTAAAATCCCATAGGAAATAGGAACGTTGTTATTCTAGAGATCAAGTCTTGATTTCAAAAGCTATCTTATAACCTGACCCTTAGAAGCCCACTCATCCCTTACTTAATACAGCTACGTATTTATAGACAGCTAAGGCCCACAGTATCCGCCCTCCCTCCAGCCAGCCAGCCCACAACTATAAACTGTGTGACACCCAAATTTATCTACCTCAAAAGAATAAAGGGCTGAATCAACCCTGTCTGGATGTGAAAAGCACAAGGCACCGCAATACTGGCTGCTTAACAATGTTGCAATCCTGCAGATTATTCCAGGATGGAGAGGGTGTGTCCTAGAGGAAGGACTGAGGCAGTTTCACAGCCAGCACGACCACAAACACAGCCTCCAACACTGCTCAGTGAGCCTCCTCCACAAAAGGGCACTTCATCCCTAAGGCTCTTAAATGCAGCTTCCGTGTTAGAAAAGGCCTGAAATTAAACAATGGAATGCAGTTTTGGTAATTAAGGTAGAAAAAACATTTAAGTGTTATTTTCTATTAAATTAATGTGTAGGATAAACTGATTTATTGTGATCCAATATTGTTGCTTCACAAAATGATGTGCATATTTTTAATTTGAAGCAGATGACATGTTTAGAAATAGGAGGGTAAATCCCATCCTGACTATATAATCAGACCACAGATGATATGCCAGGCTTATCACCTCCCTAAGACTGCACCTTGAGAAATAGAAAGCCTAAAAAAAAAAGGAGATGATTTCTGATAATTTCCATTGTTCCACACATAAAGGTTCACTGGAAAACCACACTCACCCACAGTCAAGGCAGGCAGCTCACCAATTCAAGGAAAGCAAGCAGCAATGAGAATGGTTCTGTTAGGAACAACTGGTGTGAAGAGCGTTCCACTCAAGCCTAAGGGCAAAGGAGTGATGTGACCTCCATACCCGCCCAGTCCCAAAACTGCTTCTCCCCCGTGAAGTCCTGAGTGAGTGACTGGCTCCAGATCAATTTACTGAATCATGTGGCTGCCCATAGTGGGAATGGGGCTTTGCTTGTAATTACCTGAATCTTTGCAACCACAAAAAGTTCACTTACCACGCAGTGTCTTCCATAAATATTCCCTCTCTTTCTAACTGCATAAATAGTTCTCCTGTAAAGAAAAAGAAAAAACATTAGAAATAAAACAATATGGCCAGGCGCGGTGGCTCACGCCTGTAATCCCAACACTTTGGGAGGCCGAGGCGGGCGGATCACGAGGTCAGGAGATCAAGACCATCCTGGCTAACACGGTGAAACTCCCGTCTCTACTAAAAAAAAAAAAAAAAATTAGCCGGGCGTGGTGGTGGGCGCCTGTAGTCCCAGCTACTCGGGAGGCTGAGGCAGGAGAATGGCGTGAACCCGGGAGGTGGAGCTTGCAGTGAGCCGAGATCGCGCCACTGCACTCCAGCCTGGGCGACAGAGCGAGACTCCGTCTCAAAAAAAAAGGAAAAAAAAAAAGAAATAAAACATTTATTTCCAACCCACTTCTAATGAGAGAGTTTGTGCTTTCCTTCTAACCATAATTAAAAGACATCAGCCCCTTAAACATGAAAAACAGATCCTAAAAATTATAGGTTTTAAAACTAAGTCCTCAGGATTCTATTTTTAGTAGCATTCTTATTCTTCTGTGAAACACATATGTTTAAAAACTAGAACTGCCTTGGAATTCCAGGTTTTATATCTAGAAACTTTGAAATATTTGTAGATTCCAGACCTGAGGTTAAAAAAAAAATCTTGATTAAAAACTCTTTAACATTTTACCCATAAGTAGAAAAATGATCGTCTACAATTAAATCACCCTCACTAATTTTAGTGAATGCTCATATTTCGTATTTTCAGAACCCTTAAATAAACAGAATGAACCTGGCAGTGGCCTAGTAAAAAACATGGCACAATTTGAGTATCAAAATAAATAATGATAATAAAGGGTTATATCACATTGAATGGTATTAGAATCCCTAAGCCCACAATGACATAAATAAATGAATACATAAATTTTTTAAATGGGGAAGAAGAGAAAGTTCTTTATTACGGTAGAATGCCAAGTAATAAATGAAGAAGGCATGACGGAATAAGAACAATTACTTGGCAAACATCACAATTAATTGTTGCAGGCAAGAATCAATGGATGTCAAAACTGAATGTGGGCTGGGCGCAGTGGCTCACGCCTGTAATCCCAACACTTTGGGAAGGCAAGGCGGACAGATCACCTGAGGTCAGGGGTTCAAGACCAGCCCGGCCAACATGGCAAAACCCCATCTCTACTAAAACTAAAAAAATTAGCTGGGTGTGGTGGTGCCTGCCTGTAATCCCAGCTACCCGGGAGGCTGAGGCAGGAGAATCACTTGAACCTGGGAGGTGGAGGTTGCAGTGAGCTGAGATCCTGCCACTGCACTCCAGCCTGGGCGACAGAGTGAGACTCCGTCTCAAAAAACAATAGCAACAAGAACAAAACTGAACATGAAAGTTTGATGGAAGATATTTAAATAATCTCAAAGTATCTCCTCAAAAGATACTTACTAAATACAAAGGCAAAAATGTCACCAGGGGAAAAACCGGCACACACCACCTTATACGTGTGACTGAAGTTAACATCACAAGTAATGGGACAAATATATAAATAATCATGTACCTCTTGATCTGATGCATTAAGGAGGACACAATGTCAGTTCAATGGTCCTGCCAACATTGCATAACCTGAATCTAATACTAAGAAAACATCAGCTAAACCCAAAGCATTTCTACAAACTAACTGGCCTGTACTAATAAAAAATGTCAACATCATGAAAGTCAAAGAAAGACTGAGGAAATGTTCCTGATTAAAGGAAACTAAGGAGAGTTATAATTGCATCAAAGTTAATTTCCTATTTCTGATCATTTTAGTATAGTTATGTAAGATACTGTCCTTGATTTTAGAAAATATACACTGAATAGGCTGGGCGCAGTGGCTCACACCTGTAATCCCAGCACTTTGGGAGGCTGAGGCGGGTGGATCACCTAAGGTCAGGAGTTCGAGACCAGCCTGGGCAACATGGTGAAACCCCATCTCTATTAAAAATGCAAAAATTAGCCGGGCGTGGTGGTGGGTGCCTGTAATCCCAACTTGGCAGGCAGAGGTTGTAGTGAGCCTGAGATTGCGCCACTGCACTCCAGTCTGGGCGACAGTGTGATACTCCATCTCAAAAAAAAAAAAAAAAAAAAAAGAAAAGAAAGAAAACATACACTGAAATTTTAGGGGTAAAGGGAAATCATGTCTGTAACACTCTCTTAAACAGTTCAAAAAATTATGCATGCATGCATGTATATATGTATACACATATATACATATATATAGAAGGATAAAACAAAATAAATGTGGTGAATAAATGTGGTGAAATGGTAACATTTGAGGAACCCAGGTATCCAGGTGAGAGATATATAGGAATTCTTTTTTTGTGTGTGTGTGACTGAGTCTCGCTCTGTTGCCCAGGTTGGAGTGTAGTGGCGCGATCTCAGCTCACCACAACCTCCGCCTCCCAGGTTCAAGCGATTCTCCTGCCTCAGCCTCCCAAAGAGCTGGGATTACAGGAGCACACCGCCATGCCCAGCTAACTTTTCTACTTTTAGTAGAGACAGAGTTTCACTATGTTGGCCAGAGTGGTCTCAAACTCCTGACCTCATGATCCACCCACCTTGGCCTCCCAAAGTGCTGGGATTACAGGCATGAGCCACTGAGCCTAGCATAGGAATTCGTTATACTACTCTTAAAACTTTTTAAATATGAAATTATGTCAAAATAAAGTTTTTCTGGGTGGGCACAGTGGCTCGCACCTGTAATCCCAGCACTTTGGAAGGCCAAGGCGGGCAGATCACCTGAGGTCAGGAGTTCAAGACCAGCCTGGCCAACACGGTGAAAGCCCAGCTCTACTAAAAATACAAAAAAATAGCCTGGTGTGGTGGTGCATGCCTGTAATCCCAGCTAAATGGGAGGCTAAGGCAGGAGAATCACTTGAACCTGGGAGGCAGAGGTTGTGGTGAGCCGAGATCACGCCTCTGCACTCCAGCCTGGGCGAGAAGAGTGAAACTCCATCTTCAAAAAAAAAAAAAAAGTTTTTCCAATGGCAATAGTCACAAAAAAGTTGCTACATTCTGCACCTTTCTGTTCCATGTTACATGTTACTGCAAAATCTTTCTCAGAGAACTGAACTGTGTTTGCTAGAAATAGATACCTGTGGTCGGGTGCAGTGGCTCACACCTGTAAACCCAGCACTTTGGTAGGCCGAGTCAGGTGGATCACTTGAAGTCAGGAGTTCGAGACCAGCCTGACCAACATGGTGAAACCCCATCTTTACTAAAAATACAAAAATTAGCCGGGCATGGTGGCACATGCCTGTAATCCCAGCTACTCGGGAGGCTGAGGCAGGAAAATCGCTTGAACTACAGGAAGCAGAGGTTGCAGTGACCCAAGATCACACCATTGCACTCCAGCCTGTGCGACAAGAGCGAAACTCCATCTCAAAAGAAAAAAGAAATAGATACCAGTGATTAGAAATGATATGGAAGCAACAAGTTCCTATGAGGTGGTAGGCCCTGGCAAATGTGGATGATTTCCATTATAAGCTACACACCCCATCACTAAGGCTACAATAAACAAAAACTCTTGTTTAAAGACCCAATTCCAAAAATAGTCAGTATGTTAAATAATCCTCCCAATTATTTAAATTACAGTATCTTACCCCAGTACAATTTGATGGCTCTGCATCACTTAGGTATTTGTTTTTCTGTTAAGTGACTGATTACAAAGGAAATAAGATAAAATTTTACAGATGAGGGAAAAAAATCTTCAGTTTCCTCCATATTTGTCTGCCAAAAGAAACATTTGGTCATATCTGAATTTTGTACTTCAGCGTACTCATCAATTTTAAGCACTATTTGATCATAATGGGAAAAAGTATTTTTCCGTTGAAAAATAACATTTTGACCCAGTTTCTGGAGCAAATGCAAATAATTACACCAAACTCTGTGTACTGACCACTGAGATACTCAAGGATGAGGTAGAGTTTTCCACCAGTCTGAAAAGCATAAATTAAATCCACGATGAAGGGATGCTTTACTTCTTCCAGAATATTCCATTCTGCTTTTGTATGAGCTGTATCTTTAGCATTTCCTACTATCATTGCCTAAAGGGAAAAGAGATGATCTATAAGAACAAAATAGTGAACATTTTTATTCTATAGTAACTGGAAAATCTATTTTGTGTTTTTCTTGCCAATATTGAACTATTAACCATAGTTCCCACTAGACACTGAGATGGGGTAATGGAAAATGTTCACTTTATATATGCCTCTGTGCAGTTTGGATTTTTTGCAGTGAACATGTAAATGAATACCTAAAGAGACTTTTTAAAAAAGATATCGGTAATCAGATCAAGTTTATTCACATATTCACAAACTATTGAGTGTCTACCATGCTCCAGGCTGTGCCATGAAAGCAGAATTGAAGGAATGCCCTGTCCATAGGAGTCCAAAAGTCCACAGGAGCCCAAAGTCTCAGGGAAAAAAAGACAAGTCAATGTAGGTAAGCGCAGGATGGTAAGGGTAAACAGGGGAACTACATCTGACCTAGCAAAAAGTCTTGCTTGAAGGTTATTAAAATGAAATGTGGCCTGGATGCGGTGGCTCATGTCTGTAATCCCCGCACTTAGGTGGGCAGAGGCAGGAGGATCGCTTGAGCCCAGGAGTTTGAGATCTGCCTGGTAACAAGCGTGACCCCATTCTCCACAAAAATGGTTAAAAAAGAAAGAAAGAAAGAAATGTAGAAGGTAAAAAAAAAAAAAGGCATTCCAGTGCAAAAGAGGCTTGATAGGACAGGATATGTCTGGGGAATCTACAAGTAGTTCAGCATGGTTAGAAGTGTTAGAGATTAGGCTACAGAAGCAGGTAGAGGCCAGGAAATGGAAGGTCTGGACAAAGGAAGATCTGGGTGAAATGAACAAACTTTTGGCTTTATGAAAGACACATCTAGTAGCAGTAGGGAGTATTAGGAGAGAAATGAGACTAGTTAGGAGGCTAGTATAATAAACCAACTAAGAAGATCTGTAAGAAAATGAAGGTAGAAAAAAATGAAAGGCTAAGAATACATAATTTGCATTTGCTGACAAACTAGACATGAGAGGAAATGAAGATACCTTTATTTCTGCATAAGTAATAGGATAGATAATGGTGCCATTCAATACTGGCAAATGAAAGTGAAAAAGTTTTGGGAAAACGATGCCCTGTTTTAGACATGCCAGGTATCAGTTCCAGGAAGTTAACCCAATGGTACATCTCCATAAGTAATATGGAAAGCAAATACACAGGTTACTGGTTGCAACATTATCTGTGAAACTGACACACTGGAAACAGCCTAAATGCTCAGACATAGGATATTGGCCAAAAACCTATGGAATCTACACAACGTGTAACAAAGCTATTAAAATAAGAAACATCTCTATAAAAACAAGATACAAAAGAGTATTTAAAAGTACAGCAGCATGGATACTATGCTATCTTTTGTACAAGAAAGGGGAAATGAGAATATATATAATATATAATATGTATAATATGTATAATAAATATATATAATATATATAATATATAATATATATAATATAATACATTATATACATATAATATGTATCTGCTTATACCTGCAAAAATGAAGACAACTAAGATAAACTAAAAGCTAATGATAATGGAAGGGAAGGACAAGAACTCAGACTTTTGAGTATACCCTCTGAGTAAAACCTCAATGGGTTTATCATCCATTTTTTTCTTTCCTAAATCAAATATTATTGCAATTATAAAATGTAGATTTTTCTTTTTGAACCATATTAATGTTTAATATATTCTAAAAATAAAATAAAATCAACAAGGATGAGGGGTGGGAAGCAGAACTGAATACAATAAGAATACATAAATTTAATTGACTATGACACCAATAATTTCACCACAGAAAGAGAAAGAGAAAAAAGATATAAAAGGAAAAGATTTTTCTTTTTTAAGACAGAGTCTCACTCTATCACCCAGGCTGGAGTACAGTGGCGTGGTCTTGGCTCACTGCAACCTCCACCTCCCAGGTTCAAATGATTCTCCTGCCTCAGCCTCCGAAGCAGCTGGGACTACAGGTGCCTGCCACCACGCCCAGCTAATTTTTATATTTTTAGTAGAGACGGGATTTCACCATGTTGGCCAGGTTGGGTTCGAACTCCTGACCTCGTGATACCCCTGCCTTGGCCTCCCAAAGTGCTGGGATTACAGGCGTGAGCCACTGCTCCTGGCGAGAAAAAGATACTTAAGTAATTTCAGACTGCACACCCTTAGTAGCCTATATGTAAGCACACAAAAAAATTGCAAAGAAATATTAAATCAAACTTAGTAGGTTTGTAGCTGGAAATACTATTGGTATTATAATTTTCATTACGCATATATTGTACAACTGAACAAATGAATGCATTTATTTATGTTGTTACCAGAGTTCTCACTGTAGAAAAAACGGAGATCCAAATATGACCTGAAAGAAGAATGTGGCCAGGCGCGGTGGCTCACGCCTGTAATCCCAGCACTTTGGGAGGCCGAGGCGGGTAGATTACAAGGTCAGGAGTTCAAGACCAGCCTGGCCAAGATGATGAAACTCCGCGTCTACTAAAAATACAAAAATTAGCCAGGCGTGGGGGCAGGCACCTGTAATCCCAGCTACTCAGGAGGCGGAGGCAGAGACTTGCCTGAACCCAGGAGGTGGAGGCTGCAGTGATCCGAGATCACACCACTGCACTCCAGCCTGGGGTACAGATCGAGACTCCACCTCAAAAATAAAAAAATAAAAATAAAGAAGTAGAACGCTATGGAATTCGACTAGAATTAGGGCTAACAATATGAAGCACTTTGGGAAGCCAAGGCAGGTGGGTCACCATGTTGGCCAGTAGTTTGAGACCAGCCTACCCAACATGGTGAAACCTCATCTCTACTACAGATACAAAAATTAGCCAGGTGTGGTGGTGCGCACCTGTACTCCCAGTTACTTCAGAGGCTGAGGCACGAGAATCATGGAACCTGGGAAGCAGAGGTTGCAGTGAGCTGAGGCAGCCTGGGGTCCAAGGCTGTGGTGAGCCACGATCACGCCACTGCACTCAAGCCTGGGCAACAGAGGAAGACCCTGTCTCCAAAAAAAAAAAAAAAAAAAAGGGGGGGGGGGCCAGGTGCAGTGGCTCTCACCTGTAATCCCAGCACTTTGGGATGCTGAGGCAGACAGATCATGAGGTCAGGAGTTCAAGACCAGCCTGGCCAACACAGTAAAACTCCATCTCTACTAAAAATACAAAAATCAGCCAGGTGTGGTGGCATGCGCCTGTAATCCCAGCTACTCAGGAGGTTGAGGCAGGAGAATTGCTTGAACCTGGGAGGCGGAGGTTGCAGGGAGCTAAGACTACATCATTGCACTCCAGCCTGGGCAACAGAGTGAACCGCTATCTCAAAAAAAAAAAAAAATTTAAAAAGGGAGTATAGGGCCAGGCGCGATGGCTCATGCCTGTAATCCCAGCACTTTGGGAGGCCGAGGTGGCTGGATCACAGGGTCAAGAGATCGAGACCTTCCTGGCCAACATGGTGAGACCCCATCTCTACTAAAAACACAAAAAATTAGTTGGGCGCGGTGGCGCATGCCTGTAGTCCCAGCTACTCTGGAGGCTGAGACAGGAGGATTGCTTGAACCCGGGAGGCGGAAGTTGCAGTGAGCTGAGATCACACCACTGCACTCCAGCCTGGTGACAAAGCGAGACTTCATCTCAAAAAAAAAAAAAAAAAAAAAAGGAGCATAAAAAAATCTTTACAGAAGAATGACAATATAGAAAAAATGCAGAAAAAATAGAAAAGTCTCCATTTTATAATCATAGTAATATTTGATTTGGCAAGAGGCAATCCAGATAAAACCATTAAGTAAAGATTATTATGGGACAGAATATTCACACTGTTTCTATCATTCCATAGATCACTTGTTAATTACAAAAGGAAAAGGAGGTCGGGAAAGGAGGCTCATGTCTGTAATCCCAACACTTTGGGAGGCCGAGGAGGGCGGATCACCTTAGGTCAGGAGTTTGAGACCAGCGTGGTCAACACGGCAAAACCCCGTCTCTACTATAATTACAAAAATTAGGCAGGCACCTGTAATCCCAGCTACTTGTGGGCCTGAGGCAGAAGAATTGCTTGAACCCAGCAGATGGAGGTTGCAGTGAGCTAAGATTGCGCCACTGCACTTCAGCCCGGGTGACAGAGTGAGACTCCTCCTAAAAAAAAAAAAAAAAGCCCTTAGGAGATATATAGAAGAAATTAGGGGTGAAGTGCTATGAAATCTGCAGTTAACTCTCAAATTGTACAGCAAGAAAATTTATTAAAGTTAAAAAAGTGAATATTCATAGATATACATATATGTGGGTGCAGGTAGAAAGGGAGGGACACACAGACAAAGAAAATATGGCAAAATGGTATCAACTGGTGATCACCAACCTATCCTTGGAACTCTTAGAAAAGTTTTTAAAAATTTCAAAAGTATATTATTTTTGAACTGCTCAGGAGGTTTAAATTTTTGAATTTTTAAAATAAGCAATCAATTGTGAGGAAGTCTGAGAAGCCACAGACTAAGAGATAAGATGAAAAACAAGGAAAGTAGAATCACAGTAATGAAAGGAATAGAGTTTCAAAATGCTGTGGTCAGTAGCTTCAATGCAAAAGAAAGTTAAATTAAGGACGAACTCAGTAACGACAACTGGATTCAGCAACTGGGAAGTCAGTGATGACCTAGGGTACAGGAGCTTCATTGAAATAGTACAGTTGGGCCACGGCACGTGGCCCACACCTATAATCCAGCAGTTTGGGAAGCCGAGGTAGGTGGATCTCTTGAGGCCAGGAATTCAAGACCAGCCTACCCAACGTGGTGAAACCCCATCTCTACTAAAAATACAAAAATTAACCAGATATAGTGGCACGCCCCTGTAATCCCAGCTACTCAGGGAGCTGAGGTATGAGAACTGCTTGAACCTGGAAGGCAGTGAGCCGAGACAGGGCCACTGCACTCCAGCCTGGGTGACAGGGCAAGACTGTCTAAAAACCAAAAAATAGCCCAGGCGTGGTGGCTCATGCCTGTAATCTCAGCACTTTGGGAGGCTGAGGCAGTTGGATCACAAGGTCAGGAGATCGAGACCAACCTGGCTAACACAGTGAAACCCCGTCTCTACTAAAAATACAAAAAATTAGCTGGGCGTGGTGGTGGGCGCCTGTGGTCCCACCTCCTTGGGAGGCTGAGGCAGGAGAATGACATGAACCCGGGAGGTGGAGATTGCAGTGAGCTGAGATCACGCCACTGCACTCCAGCCTGGGCAACAAAGCAAGACCCCCTCTCAAAAAAAAAAAAAAAAGGAAGTAAACTGGGTATCTGCCTTTAGAGGTGTTGTACGTTTTCAGCATTATAAATGAATAGAGATGAGTGGCAATAGTTACTTGGTACATAGATTTTTGGTATCTTAACTAGTTTTGGATCTCTTCCACTAAAGGGACTGCCTGTTGAACGTTGTTAGGAATGTAAGTACTGAAGGCAAACTGCCTGGGTTTGAATTTTGTTCTGTCCCTTGCACCCTGCCTGGCTTCAAATCCTAGCTCTGCTTATTAAGTTCTTTTAAGGGGATGATCTTTGAGCAAACGTCTTAGCTTCTGTTTTCCCAAGTAAATGGACACAATAGTTGCTACCTTGTGAAAGATTCATGTAATTGACCAGTGTTTACCAAGTAGCATCAGTGTTCAGTTTCAGTCATTGGTGATTCAGCAGTTGGACTGTGATGGGGTGTTGGGGTGGGGGTGGTGTGTGTGTGTGTGTAGCACTTAATTGCACACAGAAAGGAAAAGATACTTTTGATGACCGAGAGGCAGCTTTTCTCTGCTTTTGTGTCAAAAGGGAGGAAGGGAGTTTGGAGAGGGAAACCAATTCTGTTCAATACTAAGCTCTCTTCCTCAAAATCAGAGGTACATAGAATGTGTAATAACTTACAGAATTTCTAGACTTCAACAATCTGAATTTTTTAAAATTCATTTTTATTTTTTCAGGTTGAGACTGAGCTAAAGTTAATCTGTGGCGACATTCTGAATGTACTGGACAAACACCTTATTCCAGCAGCTAACACTGCCAAGTCCAAGGTTTTCTATTATGAAATGTAGGTTCTATACTAAAAATTAACAAGTGTACTTCAATAATTTTAAACACGCTCAGGAATAATTGGCTTTGTTTCTTTTTTCTTAGATATTTCCTATCATTTTCCTTATTAAATATAACCAAAAATCCCACAGAAATTAACTGAGGAGCCTCTAAATATCAACAAAATTATCACTTGATAGACTAGAATTAAACAAGCAAGTGGTTCCAAGAAATGGCACAAGTGTATTAATCATAAAATAAAATGTCTACATGAAACATTCAGCCAGCACTGTGAAATGTGTGGCCGTTTGGGGGAGGGGAATGAGATAGGTCCCATGAAAGCAAAAGAATATAAGTAAGTAAAGCAAAAGCTAATGCATTTTTATAATAGCCTGACCATCTGTTTATTCCCACATTAACTATCCTTCTAACATTAAACAATTATTTTTTTAAAAAAGTTGGAAACCTACATAGAAGGAAGTCATGATTCTAAAAAGGCCAACTTTTAATCTTACATTTTCCTTTCTAGTATAGAACCTACATTTCATAATAGAAAACCTTGGACTTGCCAGCGTCAGCTGCTGAATGAGGTGCTTGTCCAGTGCATCCAGCAGGTCGCCACAGATTAACTTTAGTTCAGTCTCAACCTGAAAAAATAAAAATACATTTAAAAAAATCAGATTGTTTCAGTCTAGAAATTCTGTAAATTATTACACATTCTATCTACCTCTGATTTTGAGGAAGAGAGCTCAGTATTACAGAGAATTGGTTTCCCTCTCCAAACTCCCTTCTTCCCTTTTGACACAAAAGGAAGAGAAAAGCTGCCTCTCGGTTATAAAAAGTATCTTTTCCTTTCTGTGTGCAATTAAGTGCTACACACACACCACCCCCACCCCAGCACCACCTCACAATCCAACTGCAGAATCACCAATGACTGAAACTGAACACTGATGCTACTTGGTAAACACTGGTCAATTACATGAATCTTTCACAAGGTAGCAACTATTGTGTCCATTTACTTGGGAAAACAGAAGCTAAGACATTTGCTCAAAGATCATCCCTTAAAAGAACTTTAATAAGCAGAGCTAGGATTTGAAGCCAGGCAGGGTGCAAGGGACAGAACAAAATTCAAACCCAGGCAGTTTGCCTTCAGTACTTATATTCCTAACAACGTTCAACAGGCAGTCCCTTTAGTTGAAGAGATCCAAAACTAGTTAAGATACCAAAAATCTATGGACCAAAAAAACTATTGCCACTCATCTCTATTCATTTATAATGCTGAAAATGTACAGCACCTCTAAACGCACATACCCAGCTTGCTTCCTATTTTTTTTTTTCTTTTTTTTTTTTTGAGACTGAGTCTCACTTTTTCCCGCAGGCTGGAGTGCAGTAGTGCGATCTCGGCTCACTGCAACCTCCGCCTCCGGGATTCAAGCTATTCTGGTGTCTCAGCCTTCCGAGTAGCTGGTATTACAGGCACTTGCCATCACACCTGGCTAATTTTTGTATTTTTCTTTTTTCTTTTCTTTTTTCTTTTTTTTTTTTTTTGAGACAAGAGTCTAGCTCCTCGCCCAGGCTGGAGTGCAGTGGCACGGTCTCCGCTCACTGCAAGCTCCCCCTCCCGGGTTCACGCCATTCTCCTGCCTCAGCCTCCGGAGTAGCTGGGACTACAGGCGCCTGCAACCATCCCTGGCTAATTTTTTGTATTTTTAGTAGAGACGGGGTTTCACCGTCTTAGCCAGGATGGTCTCGATCTCCTGACCTCGTGATCCGCCCACCTTGGCCTCCCAAAGTGCTGGGATTACAGCCGTGAGCCACCGCGCCCAGCCCCTGATTTTTGTGTTTTTCTTAGTAGAGACAGAGTTTCACCGTGTTGGCCAGGCTGGTTTCAAACTCCTGAACTCAGGTGATCCGGCTGCCTCAGCCTCCCAAAGTGCTGGGATTGCAGGCATAAGCCACCACGCCCGACCTTGTCACAGTTTTTTTTTTGTTTTTGTTTTTGTTTTGTTTCTTTTTTTTTAAGAGACGGAGTCTCACTCTGTCTCCCAGGCTGAAGTGCGGTGGTGCGATCCTGGCTTACTGCAACCTCCGCCTCCCGAATTCAAGCAATTCTTTTGCCTCAGCCTCCTGAGTAGCTGGACTACGTGTGCATGCCGCCACGCCCAGTTGATGTTTTTTGTATTTTAGTAGAGACGGGGTTTCACTGTGTTGCCCAGGCTGGTCTTGAACTCCTTAGCTCAGGCAATGCGCCCGCCTCAGTCTCCCAAAGTGCTAGGATTATAGGCATGAGCCACTGCGCTTGGCCTAACAACGTTTTAAAAGCGAAAAGTTATGTACATATAAATATTCCTTACATTTGTATCTACATTATTAAAAACCACGAACCAGCTGAGTATAAATGGGGGAACAGTTTAACACACATCAGTAAGACTGAAACTTGTTTATGCTGAGAGAAAATATACGCCGGGCGCGGTGGCTCATGCCTGTAATCCCAGCACTTTGGGAGGCCGAGGCGGGTGGATCACGAGGTCAGGAGATCGAGACCATCCTGGCTAACACGGTGAAACCCCGTCTCTACTAAAGATACAAAAAATTAGCCAGGCGCGGTGGCAGGCGCCTGTGGTCCCAGCTACTCGGGAGACTGAGGCTGGAGAACGGCGTGGACCCGGGAGACGGAGCTTGCAGTGAGCAGAGACCACGCCACTGCACTCCAGCCTGGGCGACAGACCGAGACCCTATCTCAAAAAAAGAAAAAGAGAATCCACATTTCTAGCCCTACTCCCAAGCACACAAATCTTGGAAGATTCTTGTCTTACCAAAGTCTGGGCACCACTATGCTAAATGTTTCTTCCGTACCCCAGTGATTTTTCTGTTTGCTTTAGGGCTCAAAAGAGAGTCATTGCAGTGGTGGGGTCGGCTTTTAACCTCTCTCTTTTCCTGGAAACCAGTTGATGCCTGTAAGAGGGGTTTCCTGAGCTCTCTGAATAACTTCAATTTGTTCTTTTTGGGCCAAGCACTGTGCTACCTGGTCCTGCTGATGAGAGTTCGGCTAGAGGGAGGGGTGGGGAGGGGCCTGGGCTGGGGGACCAGCTGGGGGGCAGCCTGCAGCCCTGAACCCTAATCCTCGTCACTGTCCCTTCTCTGCCTCATAAAGGTGTTCTTGCTCTTTCTCATTTCTAGCCAAGCCTCCTCCCTCCACACACGTGTTCTCATCCAGATCAGTTTCGATTCCTGCTGGTGGAAAGCAGCCTCAGGCAGGGCCACTGTGCAGGAAGAGCCGGCCTGGGTGCAGGCGGGGCTCCGGGAGTCACCCCAAGATGCCCGGCTGCCCTTCATTGTCCTCCGCATGACGCCGGTGCCAGAGCCCACGTGAGCCTTTGCCAAGGAGAGATTCAGAGACGTGAGCAGAAGAGCCTGAAGAGGGACTTCTTCAATAAGGCAGCAGGAGGGTTTGGCTGATGGAAGATGTTTCCCGGAGGCCTGTTCACGCTCCACCCTGAAAGCCCCAGGGCCCTGAAAGCCCCAGGGCCGTCCCCTCCAGGTTGCAGGATGATCCAGGAACTTGTTCTCCTCAGCACTGTGTAGATTTCAGCTTATGAGTTCTGTCCATGTTTTGTGAGATTTATAGCTAAGTATTTAATTTTTCGAGTGATTATAAACAACATAGCAGTTTTAATTTTAGTGTCTACTTGTTTTTTATTACTATATAGAAATACAATCGGTTTTCATATATTTATGTTGCATGCTGTGCGCTTCTAAACTCACTAGTTTCGGAAGCTGTTTTTTGTTTTTAGATTCCTTAAAATTTTATATAGGGGCAATCATGTCATTTAAAATAGGAACAGTTTGATAATAATCAACCTGCATGCCTTTTATTGTAAGAAAATCCCTAAATGCTGGGATTACAGGTGGTGAGCCACCGTGCCCAACCAGAAACTTTTTTGGTGATTTCAGATGAACTTGACTTTTACTGTAATTATACCTGAAGTGTTTGTAAACAATTGTTTAGAACTTCTATTTGTCATGGACTTATGAGTTTATTCTTTGGATCACATAGTAAGACTTTTTTTGTCTTTAAAGTTATAAATCTCTGTATGTACTTTGCTTTTCTTAATTAAACATAATCCAAAGTAAGCTGTGACTTATTTATTTATTTATTTGAGACAGGGTCTCACTTTGTCACCCAGGCTGTGGCTCGATCTTGGCTTACTGCAGCCTCAACCTCCCAGGCTCAAGCAATCTTCCCACCCACCTATGCCTCCCGAGTAGCTGGGACTATAGGCATGCACTACCAGGCCTAGCTAATTTTTGTATTTTTTGTAGAGGCACGGTTTCTCCATGTTGCCCAGGCTGGTCTCAAACTCGTGGACTCAATCAGTCCTCCTGCATCGGCCTCTCACAGTGTTGGGATTACAGGTGTGACTTTGCCACCATCCCCGGTTTCTTTTTTTCAACAGGCAGAGTTTAACTGTCATGGAAGGTTCCTGCCTCAGCCTCCCAAAGTGCTTGGAATACAGGTGGAAGCCACTGCACCCATCCAGCTATGATTCTTTGGTAGTGTGTACAAGATTGTACACTACCAATGTATCTGATTTTCAATTTTGCTTGAGATGTGATGCAAGTGGTGTCAGCCTGCTGATAAGATAACACTGTCAGGATGAATCTTCCACAGAAATAATTGCTTTTTTCCCCAGTATTTAGTACTGAAAGATATTAATGGTAATCTATTTGTGGCTTAATATAAATTAAGCATGTTTTCTAGTTGTGCATGAATGCTGGCTGGCAACTTAGTAAGTTTTGACAGTTGTTTAAATACGTAATGTTAAGCTTAGGTTTTAAAAAAGTAAAACTTAAAAAGGAAAATAAAAAGAATCTCAGGATCCCCAAACTCCTTATGCCAAAGAGAAAGTTAAGCCTGGAGCTTGTGCCACACAACACTGCCATGCTTTTGCCAAGTGCAAAGCTGCTACTTCACAACCTTGTGTGAAAGCATGAAGCATTAGCCAGACCTCCACAGGATGCAAAAGGCCTCAGGCAGCTCCAGATGTTTGCCCCACAAATCAGTCACACTTAAATATTTTGCTGCCTCAAAAACTTTCAAGATGTATATCCGCCCATAAAATGAGGGCATGTTGATTGTAACTTTAGGTCTGCAATCTAAATATAGCTCTTAAAACCAACATTGTTCCTTTCTACACAGATAATGTTGATTCCAAGTTTATCTTTCCAGGTGCAGAACAAAGCAAAGATGAGATTAATCATTCTTCCACCTACCCGGAGACACCTGCACAATTAATTCTTCCTTTACTCCCTTTTTTCCTTCAGAAGTTCACCTTATCTTACGTAAAATGCAGATCTACTGGGCACTAACTAAAGTCTCACAAGAATATAACTATTCCCTGTCTCACTACCTACCTGCCCCTCATCCTACATGCCTTCCCCACCCCCCCTTTTTTTTTTTTGAGATAGAGTTTCGCTCTTGTTGGCCAGGCTGGAGTGCAATGGCGTGATCTTGCCTTACCGCAACTTCCGCCTCCCGGGTTCAAGCAATTCTCCTGCCTCAGCCTCCCGAGTAGCTGGGATTATAGGTATGCACCACGACGCCCGTCTAATTTTGTATTTTTAGTGGAGATGGGGTTTCTTCATGTTGGTCAGGCTGGTCTCCAACTCCAGACCTCAGGTGATCTGCCTGCCTCGGCCTCCCAAAATGCTGGGATTACAGGCTTGAGCCACCGTGCCTGGCCATGCCTTCCCCTTTTTAAGGATATGTATAAATACTAAATCTCTTTAAAACTTCTTCAGAGAATCCATGCCATAGACTCTTTCTGTGCCTTGTGTATTTCCTGGGCACTTCCTCAAGCTTGGACTCAATAAACTTTGGCTGATGGAGACTTAACTCAGCCTGTCATTTTTTTTGTTTAACAAACCGATAAACTGCTGTTCATTATTTACTTTTAAAAAAATAAAATAAATATGAATGTGTTTGGCACATTCAAAAAAATTTAAGGACTGCTTTTGAAAGACACTGTTGAAAAAATGAAAAGATAGTCCCAGGCTAAGAGAAAATATTTGAAAATCAGATTTCTGATAAAGTGCTTGCATCTGTCAAGTCTTGTTAAATACCAACAAAAAAAAAAAAAAAAGAAAAGTACTCTCATCCAAAATATGTAAATTACTCTCAAAACTAAATAATGAGAAAACCATCTAAGTTTATAAATGGGCAACACGTTGAAACAGACAATGCAAAAAAAGAAGAGACACAGGCATAAATAACCAACTGAATAAATGTTCAACATCATCACTCTTTAAGGAAATGCAAATTAAAACCATTAATGAGACACCACTACACAACTATTAGAATGTCTAAAATGAAAACATTTCACTCAGGCTTGAGAGGCTGATAATGAAGTTCTGCCTAAGTCCTGTCACCCAGAGTTATCTGATATACCTTAGGAATGCACCCTGAGGCTGGGTAATTTACAAAGAAAAGAGATTTACTTTGGTTCACAGTTCTAGAGGCTGGGAAGTCCAAGATTGGGCAGCTCATCTGGTCAGCTTCTGGTGAGGGCCTTTGACCTGTGTCCTAACATGGCAGAGAAGCAGAAGGGCAAGCAAGCGTGTGCCAGAGAGAGAGAACAAAATAGGCTGACCTGCTTTATAACAACCTACTCTCAGGAGAGCTAATCCATTCTCTTGATAACTCACCCAGAGGAAGTCATTCATCCATCCTGATAACCCAGTCACCTCTTAAAGACCCTGCCTCCAAACACCATCATGTTGGCAAGTAAATTTCAACATGAGTTTTGGTTGGCACAAACCACATTCAAATCATAGCACCTGTCAAGCAGAGACCAGCCTGTCCTAAACACCCTGAAGGAAGTGCCTAGGGTAAGGCCCTGTGGGGGGACAGGGAACAGAATAAACCTGGCAGTGGTAGATTCTCAGTCTGGTTCATAGAGACCATCATACTTACATTTAAAAAAAATTTTTTTTTTTTTGAGATGAAGTCTCACTCATGTTGCCCAGGCTGGAGTGCAATGGCACGATCTTGGCTCACTGCAACCTTTGCCTCCTGGGTTCAAACGATTCTCTTGCCTCAGTCTCCCAAATAGCTGGGATTACAGGCACCTACTACCACACCCGGCTAATTTTTGTTCTTTTAGTAGAGACTGGGTTTCACCATGTTGGCCAGGCAGGTCTCGAACTCCTGACCTCAGGTGATCCTCCCACCTTGGCCTCCCAAAGTGCTAGAATTACAGGCATGAGCCACCGTGCCCGGCCACATTTTTAAAAATTTTAATTGCAGGCAGGTGCAGTGGTTCATGCCTGTAAATCCCAGCATTTTGGGATGCCAAGGTGGGCAGATTCACTTGAGCTCAGGAGTTTGAGATGAACCTGGGCAAGAGGGCGAAACCCTGTCTCTACCAAAAGTACAAAAAATTAGCCGAACATGGTGGCATGAGCCTGTGGTCACAGCTACTCAGGAGGCTGAGGTGGGAGGATGGTTTGAGCCCGAGGGTGGTGAGAAGGGGTGGGGGTGGCGAGGAGGTTGTGGTGAACTGAGATCACACCACTACACTCTGGCCTGGATGACAGAGTTAGACCCCATTTAAAAAAAAAAATTAATTGTGGTAAAACACACATAATATAAAATGTACCATATTAACCAGTTTTAGGTATACAGTTCAGAGGTATTAAGAACATTCATGCTGTTATACAATTATCACTACCATCCATCCACAAAACTCTTTTCATCTTGTAAAACCAGAACTCTATACCTATTAAATGACAAGTCTTCATTCCCCCTCCTACCAGCCCCTAACCACCGTTCTACTTTCTTTTGTTGATTCTGGCCACTCTAGGTATCTCAGACAAGTGAAATCATACAGTGCTTTTTCTTTCTTTTTTTTTTTTTTTTTGAGACAGTCTCACTTTGTTGCCCAGGCTGGAGTGCAGTGGTGCGATCTCAGCTCACTGCAACCTCTGCCTCCCAGGTTCAAGCGATTCTCCTGCCTCAGCCTCCTGAGTAGCTGGGACTACAGGCACTCATCACCACGCCCGGCTACTTTTTATATTTTTAATAGAGACGGAGTTTCACCATGTTGGCCAGGCTGGTCTTGAACTCCTGACCTCAGGTGATTTTCCCACCTTGGCCTCCCAAAGTGCTGGGATTACAGGTGTGAGCCACCGCACCCAGCCTACAGTGCTTGTTCTTTTATGACTTTTATTTCACTTAATGTTCTCAAGGACCATCCATGTTGTGGCATGTGCCAGAATTTCCTTCCTTTTTAGGGCTGAATGTATGTCTGGCCCACATTTTGTTGACCACTCATCCATTGATGGACACGTGTTGCTTTCACCTCTTGGCTTTTGTGAATGATGCTGCTACAAACCTGGGTGTTCACATGTCTCTTTGAGTTCCTGCTTTTGGTTATTTGGGGGATATACCCAGAAGTGGAATTGCTGGACCATATAGTAATTCTATGATGAGGTTTTTGAGGAACAGCCATGCTGTTTTCACAGGGTTCCAGTTTACTCACATTCTAGCCAAAAGTTGTTATTTTCTGGATTTTTTTTTTAATCATAGGCATCCTAATGAGCGTGAGGTGGCAGACTCCCTCAGTCTATAGGGCAGAGAACAGAGAGCCTCCGAGAAGGGTCTGTGACTTTGAACACTAGAGCTCTGAGCAGGAACATTCCCGAGGGCTGCTTCTAGTCTCCTGAAGACCAGAGCTAACCACTGGGAATGGATTGTGGTGACTGAAGGGTGCCGAAGTCAGAACTCTCAGTGGCCTGGCACTGTGCCTCGAAGTGCCTCCCTACTGTACTGTGTTGATTAGTCTAAAAACATGTCAGCCTTTGGGTATGACCTTACTGGGGCACCTCCAGACAGGGTGTGGAGCAGAGGGCCCTCCTTTATGGGCTGGACTCACTAGTGAAGCTGCTTAACTGTGACTCACCTCCAAGGCTCAAGGTGATGCTAAGGTGCTAAACTGCTGGAACTCTTAGCTGTGCCTGTGTCTCCTTGGGCTCTGGGAGATATTTTCTTTTAGCAGTATTTTACGGAGATATCGTCTAGGTAGAGTAAAATGTACAGATCCTGGTTTTCTGTTTGAGTTTTGTTTTGTTTTGAGACAGGGTCTTGCTCTGTCACTCAACCTGCAGTGCAGTGGTGTGATCATAGCTCACTGTGGCCTCAGCCTCCCAGGCTCAAGCAATCCTCCTGCCTCAGCCTCCCTGTAGCTGGGACTACAGGCATGCACCACCATGCCTCACTAAGTTTTTTGATTTTTAGTACACAGAAGGTCTTGCTATGCTGCCCAGGCTGGTCTCAAACTCCTGGACTCAAGCAATCCTCCTGCCTCAGTCTCCCAAAGTGCTGAATTACAGGTGTCAGCTGCTGCACCCAGCCTCAGCCTGTTGTTAATGGATGTAAACACCTGTGGGACCACCACCCAGAACCAGATCCAGAACATTTCCAGCCTCTCCAAGACTCCTTCGTGCCCCTCCCAGTCAGTGACTCCCAAGGGTAACGCCACTCTGGCCTGTTGTTCAACTTGACTCGAATGGAATTCTCACAGCATGTGTCTGTTTGGATCTGGCTTCTTCCGCTCAGTTGCAAGGCTCATTGACGTTTCCTGTGGCCTAGCTCCTTTTTATTGCTGAGGGCCACCCTGTGGTGTGAAAACCACAATTCATTTCTCCCTTCTTCTGTTGGTGACCATTTGCATTGTTACCAGCTTGGGGCTACGATGAGTAAAGCTTTTAAAAACAGACAAATATGTTTTCCTTTCTCTTGGGTAATTTTTCAGAAGTAGAAAAGCCAGAACATAGAAGTAGATATTTGACTGTATTACAACTCACCAAGCAGTTTTTTTTTTTTTTTTTTTTTTTTAATTTTTTGAGACAGTCTTGCTCTATTACCTAGGCTGGAGCTCAGTGGCGTGATGAGGGTTCACTGCAGCCTCGGCCTCCTGGGCTCAAGTGAGCCTCCCACCTCAGCCTCCCACATAGCTGGGACCACAGGTGTCCACCACCACACCTGGCTAATTTGCCTTGTAAATTATATGTAGAGACAGGGTCTTCCTATCTTGGCCAGGCTGGTCTCAACCTCCTGGACTCAAGTGATCCTCCCGCTTCAGCCTCCCAAAGGGCTGGGATTACAGGCATGAGCCACCACGCCCTGCCCATTTTTTTAAGTTGGATTATTTTACACTCAAGTCTGCTATGAATGATAGTTCCAGTTGTTCCATATCCCAATCAATTGGTGATTGCCTACAAATGACGTGACGTGATGAAAATATTCCTGGTGTTCGAGAGGATTGCAAAGAATTTCCCTTCCTTTCTCTCCTTTCTGCTCCCCTTGTACTGTCTATTCCTTAACTTGGTCAGATTCTACTTGATCCAGAACATAATGGGATGGAGAGTGCAGACGACACACACGGCCTCAGTCTATGGGAGCATCTCAAAGGAATTCATCTGCAAATTCTAGTGCATCTAGGCAGAGCACAGGAAGGAAGAGACGTGCAGACTCACGTATGGCCTGGGGCACCTGCCATCCCCTCGAGCCTGTATGGTCCTTACCCGCCCATCCCCAGCTTGAGTTCTGGGCCTTCTCGCCAGCACATCGTTGGGACCTGGTCAACTTCAGGTAAGTTTATTTCATGGCTCCCTCTCCCCTCTGCAGCCTATCCTGTTATTCTCTGTTTCAGCCAATTATTTCCCCTAACTAGCTGCTGAAGCCAATTAAAGGCAGTTCATGCCATATGTTCCTTCCCACTCCCATGTCGCTTGAAATGTTCTGTTATGTCCAAGACTTCTCTCCCCATCCTAAAGCTCAGAAAATAAGGATGGAGAAGAGAAAAAAGAGAGATTCACTGAGAGGGAGGATCAGAAGCTCCTGGGCACCACATACTCTAGAATAAAAATCTTCATTATAGTGTTTTTCATGCAAAATATTCCCTTCTACATAATTATGTTTTTACATGAAGAATAGAAATTTAAAGAGGAGAAATACTTTTTGAAGAGTCTGAGAATCTTCATATAGCTCAGGCTGCCACGAATTAGCTGTGTGACCTGGGGCATCTCCCTTAGACTCTGAGCCTCAGCTTCTCTATATGTAAAATGGGTTGAAGCCGCCCTTCCCCACAAGCACCCTGTGCACAGGCAATGCCCAGCCCCATTATTTTCTGGAACCAGTGGCCAAGCATGCTTAGGACACCCAGCCACATACTTCTGGGCAGTGTCATCTGGCAACTCACTGTCATGTCAGTGTGGTCAAGCATTGTAGACCTCTATAAACCAATTATGCTTCAGGCTGGGGTTGAGCACAGGAGAGGGAGGAGGGAAAGGTCACTGGGGCTGGGAGTGCCTACTTCCCTCTATGAGTGTCACCCCAGTTCAACCAGCACCCTACCACCTTTCTCTCTCTGGACCCACTTCCTCTTGCTGCCGGCTCCTCCCCATTGAATAACAGCCAAGTTGCTTTGGTTTCTATTTCTTTGTTAAGTCATTCCTTCTGCAAAGGACTGCCTGGCAGGTGTGAAAGGCAGCGGTGGCCACAGAGGCGGTGGAGATGGCCTTCAGCGGTTCCCAGGCTCCCTATCTGAGCCCAGTGAGTTCCAGGGCCGTGGGCACAGGGCTGCCTCAGCCAGGGGGACACAGTTATGGGGCTCTGAGGGTGGCAGGAGATAGGGGTGGGAGCATCCCAAAGAGTACACAAGCAGGGAAGAAATGTCAGTAGGGGTCATCCTGGCACACCTGTGCCATGCTGAGCTCACTCATGCCTGGAGGGATGCTCCTCCCATGAGTCATGGGTTTGACAGTGTTGACTGAGCTGTCCTGTCCTGTCCTGTGCGCTCAGGGGAAGAGGTGTAGAGTGGGATGGTTTGTGTAAAGAGGAAGCAAGCATGCTTCTGGGACAGTAAGGATGCTACCCGGCATGGTAGTTAAGGGTGCGTACTGTGGAGTTGGCCTCCCTGGGTCCAGCTATTTACTGGCTGGTGGTCTCTGGGCCTCAGTTTCCATACACTGGTGTGGATCCCTGAGCGGGCCACATCTGTCCTTCTCTGTTCACCCTGCTTTCTCACCACCCTCACCCTTGTAGGCTGCCGTCCGACCCCAACTCCTCCAACTCACAGTGCTCCAGATCTGCTCTGGGTCTTTGGAGTCCCTCTTGCTCCCAGGCACAGCCCTGACTTTTGAGTGCTCCCCTGGCGACAGTGGCCAGTGGTCTTGGCCCTTGCCCAAGGCTCTTCCTCCATTCTACCCTAGAAAGCAGCCCTGGCAAGAGCACCTGGGCCCAGACCCTGCCTCCAACTCTGATTTCTAACCTCAAAACATAGATGGAAACAGTAATATTGGTATTGCAAAATGTATACTTCAAGATTAAAAGGACTAACTAAAATTAAAGGTAAAAGCCACCACCAAGAAGATAGGGCTAGAAACCTTTATGTATGGTTCGACATAATCTCTTAGAAATCAAAGCTTTTTACACAAACCACAGTTCAGAGGAAGAGACTTCAACACATCCGACTCAGAATTCAGCAGATCAAGTGGCCACAAGGGATGAGAGACACTCGATCTGCCACTGAGGCACCGGGGTCGATGGCGGGCCTCAGACCACTCACACCCTGAGCCCCGAGAACAGGAGGAGGCCTAGCCTTACTTCTGCACAACTAACAGGTCCTTTCAGAAGACTTTCACCAAAACAAGGGCATCAGTCCCAGGGAAAACTTCAGTCTTCACTGTTAGAGAACACAAAAATTGTCTGGAACTTTTAAATGAGAAGTTTCCCAACTTCCAACCATTTCTTTTTTTTTTAAAGCTTCAAGTTTTCGTTTGTCAGATTTGAGAGTCAGAGTCTTATACCCAGAGTATAAAACATCTGTGGCTGGGTGCGGTGGCTCACGCCTGTAATCCCAGCACTTTGGGAGGCCGAGGCAGGCGGATCACAAGGTCAGGAGATCAAGACCATCCTGGCTAACATGGTGAAACCCCGTCTCTACTAAAAATACAAAAAATTAGCCGGGCATGGTGGCGGGCGCCTGTAGTCCCTGCTACTCGGGAGGCTGAGGCAGGAGAATGGCGTGAACCCAGGAGGCGGAGCTTGCAGTGAGGGGAGATCGTGCCACTGCGCTCCAGCCTGGGTGACAGAGCGAGACTCCGTCTCAAAAAAAAAAAAAAAAAAAAAAAACTTTGGCTGAGAATTAATTCTGTCACCAACACTACTAGAGAAGGCAGTAAAATAAATAAATATTACTTTTTCTTTTTTTTTTTTTTAAAAAAAAGTCAGGGACTCACTCTGTTGCCCACACTGGAGTGCAGTGGCATGATCACAGCTCACTGCAACCTTGAACTCCTGGGCTCAAGCAATCCTCCCACCTCAGCCTCACAAGTACCTGAGACTACAGGCATGTGCCACTATGCCCAGCTATTTTTCTAAAACGTTTTTGTAAGAGGAGGTCTTGCTATGTTGACCTGATTGGTCTCAAACTCCTGGCCTCAAGCGATTCTCCCACCTTGGCCTCCTAAAGCCCTGAGATTATAGGTGTGAGCTACTGCACTTGGCCCTTATTGCATTTTTGACTACATAAAAAGATAATACAGGGTTTTAGAGCTCACTAACATCATAACTAAAAAAATCAGGCCTTATTAACACAAAACTTTATTTATACTTAAAGCAAGCAACCACAAGCCAAATGTCTCTTCATCAATAAGAGTATAAAAAATAGTATGCTTCATATTAAATATTAACCATAATCAAGTAGAGATTTCCCACAACAGTAATACACCATAACCAAATTGGAATTTTGCCCCCAGATATGTAAGAATTTTTTCCTACTAGAAAATCTATTTATGTTATTAATTACATAAATAAGTTTAAAAAGAAACCATATGAATAGCTCATTAACTGCCAAAAAGGAATTTGCTATAATTCTTATCTATTTCGGGATTTAAAAAAACTCAGTAAATTCAAAACAGATGTAAGCTTCCCTTAATTGATAAACTATTCATCAGAAAACAATACAAAAATCTTAAAGTAAGATATTGCTATTAATGGAAAATAAAACAAGAATGTCCAGCATTAATAAGTATTAGTTGTTTCAGACTGTCATGAATGCAATAAACCCAAAAAAGTACAAGAGATATAAATATTGGAAAGAAGAAATAAAATTATTTGTAGTAATTTATCTGGCACACCAACAAGTATAATGAAATAATGAAAAATGCCAGGGCATAAAAATCATGACGACAATGCACATAACAGCACTGGCTGACACTCACAGGGCCCTGGCTGGGACCCAGGATGTTGTGCAGCATTCAGATCATGCTCTCATTTCTCTGCTCAGCAGCAACCTGTGGCAGAGGACCAGACCCACAGAGCCACAGAAGGGAACAACAAGTCCAGACACCACTCAGTTCCCATTCATACCTAGGCCTATCAGGTAGTTCAAGAGAGATGATGAAATAAGTGATGCTGAAATAAATGGCCATCCAGAACAAAGGAGTATGTGTATTTATATAATGTGTGTGTGTGTGTGTATGTGTGTGTGTGCATATATATATATACACACACACACACACACACACACAAAGGATATCTGGGACCTCTGTGACAGATATGGTTAATATCCTTCAGGAGAAACGAATAAAGTGCTCTGAGGCTTCCAGGCAGACAGCAATGAAATGCATGCACTCACAGTCTCATTCCATTGTGAAGCCCCACGAAACCACAGAAAGGCATTTCTTTTTTTCCCCCAAAAGCATTAACTGACAAGGAAAAAGAAAACAGCAAAGAAAATAAAACTTGGCAGCTGAAAAGTTGATGGACAAGAAATAACTAACAAAACAGACCTAAGCAAACTAAATCCCAAGCCAGCAGTGGGGAAGGGCAAAGACCTGATTATGGTACAAAATCCCCCAAAGGCTCAGGAAATTTGTGGCAAGAGGTGCTTCAGGTCGGGGGATGAAGGTGGTTAAAAACAGAAGGACTGGGTTAGAGATGTGTTCACAGAGCAGCCAAAGCTCCAGACACTCTCTCTTCCCTGCACACCAGAGCATAAAATGAAGCCTCTGGACCGGGTGGATATTGAGCAGTTGAGGCACAAGTGATACATTGAAAACAAGGGAATTAAACGAATTTACAAGGTGAGGGCTGAGATAGTCATTCTCCACCCCCAGGCCTCTTCTCTGACTGATCCCATAATCCTGGCTGCCAAGTCTAAGCCCTCAAGCAGGAGACTGGAAGGCCCTTCTCTGGGGAATGGATGAGCCCAAGAGGAAGGACCTAAAGACACTGACATCAGGAGTTTGTCATGGACATGCCACGGGAACAGCTCTCTACTATGAAGACCATAGTTGCAGGCCACATACACAGGCCCAGGCAGCGGTCAGCTTTGCAGAGCCTCCACCTAAACATGAGCAGTCAAACCTCAAGCATAAAGATAGAGAACTAAAGATACCAGTGGAACAAAGGGACTGTAGGAAACAACCCAGGTAGGGAGATTTGGTGATAGAATCAACCTACAATCTTCAGCGAAATTCATATATGACATTACATCTAGGAAACAAGAACAGGATGCTATAAAAAATTTAGGGAACAAAAAAATCCTAGAAGTTAAATATATGATAGCAAACATATCTGACGGAATTTTATTCAGCCTTAAAAAGAAATGAAATTCTGACATGCCATAATGTGGATGAACCTTGAGGTCATTATGCTAAGTGAAATAAGCCAGACAAAAAGGACAAATACTATATGATTTCACTTATATGAGGTACCTAGAGTAGTCAAATTCATAGTGATACAAAGTAGAATGGTGGCTGGGGGACAAGGGGAATGGCAGGTCAGTATTTAATGGGTAAGAGTTTCAGTTTTGCAAAATGAAAAAGTTCTGGAGATTGGTTACACAACAATGTGAATATACTCAACAATACTGAACTGTACACTTAAAAATGGTTCAGATGGTAAATTTTATGTTATACGTATTTTGCCACAATTAAAGTAAGAAAATTGAAGTGATGCAAAAACAAAAAAAAGATAGCAGAAATGAAGCATTTAATAGAATTTGGAAGATAAACTTAGGGAAGCCTCAAGTTTAATCCCAGAAAACAAAATTATAAGGCAAAGAGATAGAAAACAGGAGAAAAAAATATGATAATTAGGGGACCAGGGTAAAGGGAGTTCCAGAAAAAGAAAACAGAGTAGAAGAAATTACCAATGAAATAATTCCAGAAAATAAAGACACGAATTACTGTATTGAAAGGGTGCAGTGAGTGACTAGCATGACAAAAAAAAAAAAAAAAAGAAAGAAAGAAAGAAAGAAAAAAAAAGACCTTAAGCTATACAGCAAGGCAAACCACACTGAAAGTTTAGAATCCTGGCAACAGCCTGAACCTCCTATGAGCTTTTGGAGAGAAAAAAGTCACAAAGGACTGGAATTATTTTCTTCTTGCTGCAACACTGGCAAATAGAAGACAATGGAACAATTCCCACAAAATTATAAAGGGAAATAGTTGCTAACCTAAAATGTTATACCCAAGGAAACCATCAAGCATTAGGGTAAAACAAAGATGCAAGGCCATAAAATTTTACCTTCTATGAACCCATTCTCAGGGAGATACTGGAGGAAAAAAAAAGAAAAAGAAAAAGAATAGGATGTAGGACACAGAAGATCAAAAAAGAGAGAGGCAAAGAACTAACAGGGAATCTGTGCACCAGGCACAGAGGGCAGCCATGATGGAGGAGGTCAGAGGCTCCAGAGAGATCTCAAGATGACACTGCTGTGATCCCTGACCCCTGTGATGTGTGGGGATATCTCACAAAGAGTTGGGGTTGAATTAGTGACATTTACATAGAAAACTAAGTAAACAGGCTGGGTGTGGTGGCTCATGCCTGTAATTCCAGCACTTTGGGAGGCCGAGGCGGGTGGATTACCTGACGTCAGAAGTTCGAGACCATCCTGGCCAACATGGTGAAACTCCGTCTACTAAAAATACAAAAATTAGCTGGATGTGGTGGCATGTGCCTGTAATCCCAGCTACTTGGGAGGCTGAGGCAGGAGAATCACTTGAATCCAGGAGTAGGAGGATGCAGTGAACTGAGATCGTGCCATAGCACTCCAGCCTGGCGACAGAGTGAGACTCCGTCTCAAAAAAAAGCAAAAGAAAACTAAGTAAACAGACAAAAATAATTTTAGGTGGAGGGTGAATAAAAGGTTGTGTAAAAGAAAAAGCAGCAGCAGTGTATACTACTACATGGCTAATCTATGAATGACACTCACAGCATCTTAATGTGAACTCCAGGTACACAAAACCACAATGAGAGAATGCAAAGACAGGAAGCACGGAGGCTGGGGGCAGAAAAGAAATCCTCATCTTTCACAGTAGGAGATCAAAATATAACATCTAAAATGAAAAACTAGAAACAGCAGTGATAAGCATGCTATTTAGCAATGTAGAGGTAAATGCCAAAAAATCAGCAAGGTGACTTGAAAACACTTGACTCTGGGGAGCAGGAAGCAGAGCTCTCAGGCCAGGCTGACTGCTTTGCTTATCAGGATCTCTGCAGACTTGATTATGGGAACACAGAGCTTTCTTAGAAATAAAAAACAACACAAAACAAAAAACTGTTGCAAATTTTGAGGAAAAAAGAAGAACATGCAAACAGAAAAGCAAGCAAAGCAACTGTACTAGTAATTCACAGAAGAAAGATGTAAATGACTAACAAACTGATAAAAAGTGCTTCACTTTCATCTACAATGAAGAATTAAAAGGAATGCCATTTTCTCCTCTTAGGCTGAACAAGATCAAACATGTATCCAGTATTGGGAATGTGTATAATCTTGCACATTGTGTAGAGAAGTGTAAACTAAATAGCCTTACAGGAGAGCAATTTGAGAATATATATTAAAATGGAAAGTATAACACAACCTTTTGCAAAGCAAATTCACTTCTAGGAACTTATTTTACAAAAATTTAGCAGTATTTCACAACTATTTAGCACAAGCATAAAAAGGCACGATAAGTGATATTCATCATTATGGCCATTTTTTATCCCCAGAGATGGTGTCTCTCTTTGTTGCTCAGACTGGACTAGGGTAGCACGATCATAGTTCACTGCAGCCTTGAACTCTTGGGCTCAAGTCATTCTCCATCTTTAGCCTCTTAAGTAGCTGGTACTACAGAGGTTCATGCCACCACACCTGGTTGTTATTATTATTTTTTTTTTGGTAGACACAGGGTCTCATGATGTTGCCTAGGCTGGTTTCAAACTCCTGGCCTTAAGTAATCCTCCCACCTTGGCCTCCTAATGTGCTGAGATTACAGGAGTGAGCCACTGTGCCCAGCCACGACACTTTTAAAAAATAGGGTAAAATACATATATTTTACTTTATTAAAAAAAATTAATCCCCCTCCCTACCTTTCCCTTATGAGTCTCTAAAGTCTACCATACCACTCTGTATGCCTTTGCATACCCACAGCTTAGCTCCCACTCATGAGTGAGAACATACGATTTTTGATTTTCCACTCCTGTGTTACTTCATTTAGAATAATGGCCTCCAGCTCCATCCAAGTTGTTGCACAAGACATTATTTCATTCCTTTTTATGGTTAAGTAGTATTCCATGGTGTGTGTGTGTGTGTATGTATATATGTATGTGTGTGTGTGTGTGTATATGTATATATATATATAGTCACATTTTCTTTATCCACTCATTAGTCAATGGGCACTTAGGTTGGTTACACATCTTTGCAACTGTGAATGTGCTGCTATAAACATGCATGTGTGTCTTTTCCATATAATAACTTCTTTTCCTTTGGGTAGATACCCAGTAGTGGGATTGTTGAATTAAATGGTAGATCTATTTCTAGTTCTTTAAGGAATATCCATACTATTTTCCAAAGAGGTTGTATTAATTTACATTACCACCAGTAGTGTATAAGCGTTCCCTTTTCCCCACATCCACGCCAACATTTATTGTTTCTTGACTTTTTAATAATGGCCATTCTTGCAGGAGTAAGGTGGTCTCTCATTGTGGTTTTATTTTGCATTTCCCTAATGATTAGCGATGTTGAGTATTTTTTTCACATGTTTCTTGGCCATTTGTATATCTTCCTTTGAGAAATGTCTATTCATGTCCTTTGCCCACTTTCTGATAGGATTACTTGTTTTTTACTTGCTGATTTGTTTGAGTTCCTTGTAGATTCTGGATACTAGTCCTTTGTTGGACTGTAGTTTGCAAATATTTTCTCCCATTCTGTGGGTTGTCTGTTTACTCTGATTATTATTTCTTTTGCTGTAAAGAGCTTTTTAGTTTAATTAGGTCCCATTTACTTATTTTTGTTTTTGTTGCATTTGCTTTTGGGGTCTTAGTCATGGATTCTTCGCCTAGGTTGAAGTCTAGAAGAGTTTTCCAAATTGTCTTCTAAAATTTTTATGGTTTCAAGTCTTATATTTAAGTCTTTGATACATCTTGAGTTGATTTTTTGTATAAGGTGATAGATACACAAGTCAATAAATGTGACATCGCATAAACAGAATTAAAAACAAAAACCATATGATCATCTCAATAGATGCGGAAATAACATTCGACAAAGTTCAGCATCTCTTTGTGATAAAAGCTCTTAACAACTAGGCATAAAAGAACTTGCCTCAAAATAATATATATGTGGATATACGACAAACCCACAACCAGCGTAATACTGAATGGGGAAAAGTTGAACACATTCCCCATGAGAACACGAACAAGACAAGGATGCCCACTTTCACCAATCCTATTCAACATAGTTCTGGAACTCCTAGCCAGAGCAATTAGGCAAGAGAAATAAATAAAGCGTATCCGGATTGGAAAAGAGGAGTCATACTCTCTCTATTTGCAGATGATATGATCATATACCTTGAAAATCCTAAAGACTCTTCCATGAGACTCTTAGATTTCATAAACAAATACAGTCAAGTCTCAGGTTACAAAATCAATGTACACAAAGAAGTACCACTGCTATACACCAACAACGACGAAGCTGAGAATCAATCAAGAACTCAATCCCTTTTACAGCAGCTGCAAAACAAAAACAAAAACAAAAACCTAGGAATATATTTAACCAAGGAGGTGAAAGATCTGTACAAGAACCACAAAACACTGCTGAAATTATAGATGACACAAACAAATGGAAACACATCCCATGCTCATAGAATCAACATTGTGAAAATGATCATACTGCCCAAAGCAATCTACAATCTGCTGAATGAAATTCCCATCCAAATACCATCATTTTTCACAGATTTAGAAAAAATAATCCCAAAATTCATATGGAACCAAAAAAGAGCCTGAATAGCCAAAGCGATCCTAACCAAAAAGAACAAATCTGGAGGCATCATATTACTGGACTTCAAATTATACTAGTTACCAAAACGGCATTGTACTGGTATAAAAGACCAATGGAACCAAATTTGTATATTTAAACCAGTTTAAAGTGTATAGTTCAGTGGCTTTTAGTACATTCCCAATGTTGTGCGACCATCACTAGTCCAGAACATTTTCATCACACAATAGAAAACTGTACCCACTAAGCAGCCACCCCACTCTCTATTCCCCTCTCTCCTCAGCCCCTGGCAACCACTCATCTGCTTTCTGTTTCTGTGGATTTGCCTATTCTGGATTTTTCTTATAAATGGACTCGAACAAGATGTAGCCTTTGCACCCAGCTGTTTCACCTGGCAACACGTCTTCAGCGAACATTCATACTGCAGCCTGTGTCAGTGCCTTACTCCTTTTTAAGGCTCAAGAAAAAGCCCATGTTCAATGATCAGAGGGAGGACCTACAGGACGCAGCATGAAGTCATGGCCACAGCTATGCACAAATTTATTACAGTGAAAGGACACAAAGCCATATCCGCAAAGGGAAAAGGCGCAGGGCATTAAGTCCAGAGGCATGAGCTTCCAAGAGTCCTCTCCAGCAGTCACAGGCACGTTTAATTCCCCCAAGGAATTAATTAATTAATTGAGAGAAGCTCATTAGGGACTCTGCATCCAGCGTTTTTATCAGGGGCTGGTCACATGGGCCCCTTCTGCCCAGCATATACCACATTCCAGACTCCTCACAGATAAGCCGCTGTTCAGCACAAACCACGTGTTTGCACAAACAGTTTCAGCACCGTGAGCCCCTCTCATCAGTTCTGGGAATGGTGTGAACCCTCCTGTAATCCTAGTTCTCAGACTCCAGCCAAGGGCCAGCCTTGCAAGCAGCCTTGCTAAGGAGAGCCATCCCAGGCCTCCTGGGTTAACTATTTTCTGCACAGAGGCAAAAACATGCCTGCCAACAGCATCTGGGCTTTGTATTTTAAGGTGATCTTACTCAGTTTTATTTCCAAAATTCCCGAGGAAGAGGCTGATGGGCCCAGCTTAGACTTGTTGGGGCTACTTCTCTGGTGTTTGTGTACATTAAAGTGGGAGAACGCGTCCCTCCCCATCTGCTGTGCGAACAATCTGACAGGTCTCTACACTGTTTGATATTTTTGTTCAGAAAGCCATTTTTATTCCTCAAAGTTTCATACCTCTGGGAGTGCACACACCAGTAACAGTGGGAGCAGGGTGCCCCAGAGCACACTGGCTCATGACAGAAAACCAACCAGAAACATGGCCATCAGGAGAGGACTGTGTCTCCCACAACACGGGAGAGCCCTTCGTCTTCATTTTCAAACAAACTCCACTGTTAGGTTGTAGCACAATGCCTGTACCACTTCAGAAGCCACTGTGTCAGAAACGGCACAGAAGCAGGGAGAGCAGGTAGAAAAGGCCTCAATAGAGTGGAAGCCCACAGTGCCGCGCATCTACTATTGGGGCTCTATCTTCACAACGAAGTCAGGGAAAGGACCACTCTGATGGCAATAAATAAGTCAAAGGATTTATGTTTTTTGAATTGTGCATGTAGCCTTCAAGAGACCTCTCTCAAAAAAGACAAGAAACAGAGCCCCAGGTGGGGTGATATTTCAGGGGTTGCTTGCTGTTGGCTAAGCAGATTTTAGTGCTTGTCTGTGAGAACTCAGAGACAGAAAAACAATTTGCCTGCAACGTGGGTGTTCTTTCCAGATTTAAAACAAGATTCAGTTTGGATAACACTCTGTCATCCAGGATGGAGTGCAGTAGCGCGATCTTGGCTCACTGCAACCTCTGCCTCCTGGGCTCAAGCTATCCTCCTGCCTCAGCCTTCCAAGTAGCTGGGACTACAGGTATGTGCCACCACAATCAGCTAACTTTTTTGGTATGCCCAGCCTGGTCTCGAACTCCTGGGCTCAAGGGATCTGTCTGCCTTGGCCTCCCAAAGTGCTGGGATTACTGGTGTGAGCCACCCTGCCAGGCCCCAAATAGGATTTGAACTACAGGAGATACTTGCATGTATCTTCATCTAAGGAACATGTGTATTAGGTTGGTGCAAAAGTAATTGCAGTTAATGGGAAAAAACGCAATTACTTTACACCAACCTAATATATATCTTCATCTAAGTAAATTTTTTCTATAAAGGGTCAAATTGTAAATAATTTCAGTTTGGTAGGTCATCTAACTGAAAAATTTCTGTTGCAACTACTCAGCTCTGCAGTTGCAGCAAAAAACAGTTCTAGAGAATATGTAAATGAATGTGTGGAGCTGTGTGCTTACGAAACTTATTTACAAAAACATGTGGTGGGCTGGATTTGCCATTCATCTGACTCAAGACTTAAATCTAGTTTAACAGTATCACTCACATCATTACTATTTCAAATTGCAAAAGCTTTGATGACATAAAATGATCACTTGTATTATCTTTATAAAATAAGAAGGGACCATGTCAAAATGAGAAAATTCTGAGTTATAACACAGTATATGTAATTCAGGCTAAGGGCATTTTTAGGTAAGCCACTTGGAAAAATGCCATTTTTCTGAAAAATGTTTTTATCACTCTTTTATGTGTGTATTTTAATTCAAAAAGTAACAGTTTAGGAAGAAATAACTGACTTGTGAATTGTCACAGGGCTGTGAAGTGGGACAGCAGCACTGTGGATTGTGCCCAGCTCAAGAGGCCCCTCAGGTCCATTCCTGACGCTGTCATCCCAGGAGAGCACCCTCCTCAGGGGTTTTATTTCTCCCTTTTAAATCTTTTCTCAGAAAGCATCTGGTTTAATTATTAACCACAATACTTCTTCATGGCCTTTCCTTCAGATTTTCCACCTCCAAATCGTAGGTCATAATATAACCTTTGATACAAAGAATATGCTTGGATTATGAATGATAATAACAAAATAAA
Source organism: Homo sapiens (assembly GCF_000001405.40). NCBI lineage: Eukaryota > Metazoa > Chordata > Mammalia > Primates > Hominidae > Homo > Homo sapiens. The sequence continues at coordinate 20,687,160 of NC_000017.11, read as the reverse complement.
TACTTGTGAATCCTGCCTCCCAAGTAAAAACTAGATTACTAATAACTTGCATCTATCTCTTCTACTTTATTGTTTTGCTTCAATAATAATAATAATTATTATTATTATTATTATTTGAGATGGAGTCTCGTTCTGTCACCCAGGCTACAGTGCAGTGGCGTGATTCTGGCTCACTGCCACCACTGCCTCCTGAGTTTGAGCAATTCTAGTGCCTCAGCCTCCCGAGTAGCTGGGATTACAGTTGTGCGTCACCACGCCTGGCTAATTTTTATATTTTTAGTAGAGACGGGTTTTCACCATGTTGGCCAGGCTAGTCTCGAACTCCTGACCTGAGGGGATCCACCCACCTCGGGCTCCCAAAGTGCTGGGATTGCAGGCATGAGCCACTGTGCCTGGCCTTCAATTATTTTTTAATATACAAAGTAATACATGTAAATTTTTTAAGTTATAGTTTGATAATATTTATAATTTAAATGGCAGCTCCTACTCCACCCGATGTACTCCCTCCCAACATCTTCCTCATCCCTCTACTTAAGCCCTTCAAACTATATTTATTATTTTTAAATAAATAACTTATTGGTACATAAATCACACACCACAAAACATACCCTTTAAAAATGTGCTATTTGGTGGGGTTTTTTTGTATTTTTTTTTTTGAGATGGAGTCTCACTCTGTCGCCCAGGCTGGAGTGCAGTGGCATGATCTCAGCTCACTGCAACCTCCACCTCCTGGGTTCATGCCATTCTCCTGCCTCAGCCTCCCGAGCAGCCGGGACTACAGGTGCCTGCCACTACGCCCAGCTAATTTTTTTTTTTTTTTTTTGTATTTTTAGTAGAGAACGGGATTTCACTGTGTTAGCCAGGATGGTCTCAATCTCCTGACCTTGTTATCCGCCCGCCTCGGCCTCCCAAAGTGCTGGGATTACAGGCGTGAGCCACCACACCCGGCCATGAATAAACAATTTCTTATACAGAATACAACAAGCACTAACCATTAGAGGAAAGACTGATAAATTAGACTTAATTAAAATTAAGAACTTTGTTCATCAAAAGAAGAAATTTTTTTTTTTTTTAATTGATCATTCTTGGGTGTTTCTCGCAGAGGGGGATTTGGCAGGGTCACAGGACAATAGTGGAGGGAAGGTCAGCAGATAAACAAGTGAACAAAGGTCTCTGGTTTTCCTAGGCAGAGGACCCTGCAGCCTTCCGCAGTGTTTGTGTCCCTGGGTGCTTGAGATTAGGGAGTGGTGATGACTCTTAAGGAGCGTGCTGCCTTCAAGCATCTGTTTAACAAAGCACATCTTGCACCGCCCTTAATCCATTCAACCCTGAGTGGACACAGCACATGTTTCAGAGAGCACAGGGTTGGGGGTAAGGTCACAGATCAACAGGATCCCAAGGCAGAAGAATTTTTCTTAGTACAGAACAAAATGAAAAGTCTCCCACGTCTACCTCTTTCTACACAGACACGGCAACCATCCGATTTCTCAATCTTTTCCCCACCTTTCCCCCCTTTCTATTCCACAAAACTGCCATTGTCATCATGACCCGTTCTCAATGAGCTGTTGAGTACACCTCCCAGACGGGGTGGTGGCCGGGCAGAGGGGCTCCTCACTTCCCAGTAGGGGCGGCCGGGCAGAGGCGCCCCTCACCTCCCGGACGGGGCGGCTGGGTGGGCGGGGGGCTGACCCCCCCACCTCCCTCCCGGACAGGGCGGCTGGCCGGGCAGAGGGGCTCCTCACTTCCCAGTAGGGGCGGCCGGGCAGAGGCGCCCCTCACCTCCCAGACGGGGCGGCTGGCCGGGCGGGGGGCTGACCCCCCCACCTCCCTCCCGGACGGGGCGGCTGGCCGGGCGGGGGGCTGACCTCCCCACCTCCCTCCCGGATGGGGCGGCTGGCCGGGCAGCGGGCTGACCCCCCCCGCCTCCCTTCCCGATGGGGCGGCTGGCCGGGCAGGGGGCTGACCCCCACCTCCCTCCCGGACGGGGTGGCTGCCGGGCGGAGACGCTCCTCACTTCCCAGACAGAGTGGCTGCCGGGCGGAGGGGCTCCTCACTTCTCAGACGGGGCGGTTGCCAGGCAGAGGGTCTCCTCACTTCTCAGACGGGGCGGCCGGGCAGAGACACTCCTCACATCCCAGATGGGGCGGCAGGGCAGAGGCGCTCCCCACATCTCAGACCATGGGCGGCCTGGCAGAGACGCTCCTCACTTCCTAGATGGGATGGCGGCCGGGCAGAGACGCTCCTCACTTTCCAGACTGGGCAGCCAGGCAGAGAGGCTCCTCACATCCCAGACGATGGGCGGCCAGGCAGAGATGCTCCTCACTTCCCAGACGGGGTGGCGGCCGGGCAGAGGCTGCAATCTCGGCACTTTGGGGGGCCAAGGCAGGCAGCTGGGAGGTGGAGGTTGTAGCGAGCCGAGATCACGCCACTGCACTCCAGCCTGGGCACCATTGAGCACTGAGTGAACGCGACTCCGTCTGCCATCCCGGCACCTCGGGAGGCCGAGGCTGGCGGATCACTCGCGGTTAGGAGCTGGAGACCAGCCCGGCCAACACAGCGAAACCCCGTCTCCACCAAAAAAATACGAAAACCAGTCAGGCGTGGCGGCGCGCGCCTGCAATCGCAGGCACTCGGCAGGCTGAGGCAGGAGAATCTGGCAGGGAGGTTGCAGTGAGCTGAGATGGCAGCAGTACAGTCCAGCTTTGGCTCGGCATCAGAGGGAGACTGTGGAAAGAGAGGCAGAGGGTCCAGCTTTGGCTCGGCATCAGAGGGAGACTGTGGAAAGAGAGGCAGCGGCAGCGGCAGCGGCAGCGGCAGCGGCAGAGGCAGAGGCAGAGCCAAAAGAAGAAAATTTAAGGCACACTGGAAGAAGGTATTTGCCATATATGTATTTGACAAAGGACTTACATGGAGAATATATAAAGAATTCTTAAAAGCAATAAGGAAGAGAATGACATCTGATTCTTAAAATGGACAAAAGTTCATATGCTGTTTACAGAGCCAATACCCCCGCTCCCCACCACCAAACAAACAAAGTGGGCAAAAAACCTGAGCAGGTGCATCCCAAAAGGGACTATCCACATGGCCAATTTGCATATGAAAAGGTGCTCAATCTCCACTGCCAAAAGAAAAATGCAAATCAAAACCACAATGAGACACTACTACACATTACCCACATGACCTCCAGTAAAAAGACTGATGCTACCAAGTGTTGATGAAAATGCACAGAAATTGACCTCTCATAAATTGCTGAAAAGACATAAATTATACAAATATTTCAGGCATCTGTTTGGTACTATCCTAGAATGTATGCATACCCTAAGGCCCAGGAATTCCATTCTGAAGGATGTAACCAACAGGAACAAGCACATATGTGTTTCAAGAGACATCGACATGAACATAACAGCGCTATTCACCTTAGCCCCAAACTGGACTTGACTCAACGATCTATCAATAATAGAATGGGTAACTAAATAATGCTATAATCCTACAATGGGTTACTAAATGGTGAAGAAAATGAACAAATTACAGTATAGGTGACAACATGAATAAATCTCACTGATTCAATACTGTGTAAAAAAAAGCTCCCCTCCCTCTGTCTCTGTACAGGGGAGCCTCCATTTTCTGCCTTCTCCCATCCTTCTTGCCTATTAAACTTTCCGCTCCCTAAAACCAAAAAAAAAAAAAAAACATGCAAAATTACACAGTTTTTAAAATTCCATTTATAATAAAATTCAAATGCAAGCAATACTAACATAATATTCAGGGCTGCATACTTTTGTGAAAATCCATAAGGAGAATAATTGAGGACAATGGTTATCTTAGGGAGTAGTGAGGGGTTATGATGGGAAAGTTGTAGGAAAGGTCTGTGGGAGCTGGCGATGCTCTTCTTCTGGATGTGAGTGGTGACTGTGTGACTTTTCACTTCCTCCTAGTTCAAGAGACTATCATTTGAGGCCAGGAGTGGTGGCTCATGCCTGTAATCCCAGGACTTTGGGAGGCTGAGGTAGGTGGATCACCTGAGGACAGGAGTTTGAGACCAGCCTGGCCAACACGGTGAAACCCCATCTCTAGTAACAATACAAAAATTAACCAGGTGTGGTGGCTCACGACTGTAATCCCAGCTACTCCGGAGGTCGAGGCAGGAGAATTGCTTGAACCCGGGAGGCAGAGGTTGCAGTGAGCCGAGATCACGCCACTGCACTCCAGCCTGGGCAACAGAATGAGACTCCGTCTCTTAAACAACAACAACAACAAAAAACACTATAGTTTATATTTTGTGCATTTTTATCTTTGTGTATAGTGTTTCACACGCACAAAAAACTTAAACTTATACCAGGTATTAATTCCTTTTCTGAACAGAAAACAGATACTGTCGTAGTAAACAAAAACTCTTTAAACTAAATGCAAACAACTCTGAAAGCAACAGAAAGAAAATATTTGGAGAAGTTTTGGAGGCTCATTTATGTAGGGCCTTTATATGAATTAGGCAAAGCACTCTTCTTTGGGAGTGTAATTTAGCAAAAGCTGTCTCCTTGGGTGGAGGCCCCACTACAGCATTCTTTCATGCATTCCCACTGATCACAAAACCCACACCACTACCTCACTGACGCCATACCCACTAACAGTCACGCAAAGAAAACAGCCATTCTATATTGTTCTTCGGTGCTCTCATAATGTTAAACCTTGCCTTTTACTTAAAGGATTACAGGAACTGGCCTTAGGAGATCCAAAATATCCAACCAAGGTTGCAAGTATCCCACCTCAGGAAGGAATGCTAAACAACTGATTCATACAGCCTTGCTGCCACTAACCAGAGCACCAGATGGCCCATTACTCAAGACAACCATTGCCAGCAGATAAGCTGACCCATGTCCCCTCCCCCTCACGTTCTCTACCCTGCCCAGCCCGCATTCCCTACCTTGACATCAATTTCCGCACATTGCCTAATAAAAGAAATCCCTATCAGCTCATTTCAGGGAGTCAGCCAGAGAATCCTCCCTCTCCTGTGCTTCCTCCCTTGTGCCTGGGCATATGCTCCAATAAAGCCTTGCTAGGAAAACTCTTTTGGCCTGGTGAGAATTTCTATTGCATCAAGAGCCTAAGAACCCATGATCGGTAACACTTTGAGCAAAGGAAAAGGTCCCCCTTCCCTAGGGAGATGCAGCTCTGCATGCACCCATATGTTTGGTGGGTGGAGTGCAAACTGGCTTCCCGTTGCATATGCCTCTCTGTCTAGGAGAACAGAAAGATGATAATTACATGCATATTGGTCCACCAAGCACAGGCACACATGGAACATGTACTGGCACAGGCCTACTACTGCCCAGGGCTGGTGGAAGCTGGCTGACATTGTCCCTTACCATGTAACCTTCTGTCTTCTTCTGGTACCATTTCAGTACAGCATTGCACTTGAAACCGCCATATTCCCGGGCCAAGGCCACCAGAGGGTTTCTTCTTTCCACACTGGTTAGAGAGAAGAGCACATGTTAAGGAGAAGATGCTAATGTTTAGAATCCTCAAATTCACAAGAAATAAATACCTACTTTAGAAAAGCAAATGTCTGGTTTATTCAGCCAGAATCTGAAGAAACAACCACATTAGTTACATTAATAATGTATTTGATGTCTCACAGTGTGAAACAAACATGAAATTGTGCCTCCTGACTGTCATGAGTCTGGGGAGAGTTTTGCTACATTTTGTTTTAAAATCCATCTGTTGCTCATCCATCTAGTCTTTTATTTGTGTAAATATAATTCAGGCTAGAACCTTTAATTCAATCTCATTTGAATTAAGGATATCTATACAAAAGCATTCTACAGCTTTCAAGACTACATCAGTATCTAAATAAATTTAAAAGGTAGAGACTGGCACAGCACAGTGGCTCACGCCTGTAATCCCAGCACTTTGGAAAGCTGAGGCAGGAGGATTACCTGAGCCCAGGAGCTTGAAACCAGCCTGGGAAACATAGTGAGACCTCAACTCTGAAATAAATAAATAAATAAATAAATAAATAAATAAGCTGGGCATGGTAGCGCACACCTGTAGTCCCAGCTATTCAGGAGGCTGAGGTGGGAGGACTGCTTGAGGCCAGTTCAAGGATGTAGTGAATTATGATTATACCACTGCACTCCAGCCTGGGCAACAGAGCGAGACCCCCATCTCTAAAAAATAAAAAAAAATTTTTCAAGGTATATTGGAAGGGCATATTAAAAATACCAGATATCCTGCCATTGCTTTATCTCAATGAGATAAATGTAAAATTGAAATAAATTGATTTTACTAATTTAACTTTTCACTATGAAAGATAAAATATCAGTAGCATATTAATATACCCATAGCCTTCCTGTATGCATTTCTGGTATAATGAAAAGGAGAATTTTAGAATAGCACTAATTCTGGTTTTTAAAACCTCTTTTGATTATTTAAATCTCGCGCACATAAACAGGACAATATGTAATATCTGGGGCTTTAAATTAAACCTCTAAAATATATGACTTCATCTATTTGCGTGCAAATATAGGCTACATCCAAAGGTATAACAATAAGTCCTAGCTTATTCATTCAGACTTTCATAAATCCTTTGATAGTACCCTTATTAGTAATGATAATATGTATTAAAAAGCTACTACTAGCTACTTAGGAGGCTGAGGCAGGAGAATTGCTTGAACCCGAGGCAGAGGTTGCAGTGAGACTCTGTCTCCCAAAAAAAAAAAAAAAAAAAAGCTATTACTCCAAAAGTAGCCAATTTTGTATACTGATAAATAAACAATACATTCATATTGTATATGAATGAGCATACTCATTCGTAAGTTTTACTGAGTGAAATGTTATGTGTGTTGCACAATGCAAGGGGCTGGGAGAGATACCAAAGGTAAGCTGAACATTTACTGTCCACTAAATTACAGCATAAATGGAGATTAAGGCATATATTGTGCAGAAGTTATCCACACCACAAAGCAGTACAGAAATTAAACACCTGAAATAGCGTAAGACACCAAAGTCAGAGAAGGGAGATGTTGGCCAGGAATGGAGGCTCACACCTGCAATCCCAGCGTTTTGGGAGGCTGAAGTGGGCAGATCAGGAGTTTGAGACCAGCCTAGCCAAAATGGTGAAATCCTGTCTCTACTAAAAAAAATACAAAAATTAGCTGGGTGTCATGGTGCATGCCTTTATAATCCCAGCTACTCAGGAGGCTGAGGCATGAGAATCACTTGAACCCAGGAGGCAGAGGTTCCAGTGAGCCCAGATCATGCCACTGTACTCCAGCCTTGGTGACAGAGTGAGGATCTGTCTCAAAAAAAAAAAAAAAGAAAAGAAAAAGAAAAAAGAAGGGAGAAGGGAGATGTCAATGCTGCCAGGTGTTAGCTATAACTTCATGAAAGTTTTGACCTTTAAATAAAGAGAACAGTATTTAGAGTGTGAAAGGACAAAAGGAGGACAATTCAAGTTAGAACCTTATACACAAAGACTTACACTCAAATATGCTTGTGCAATATTGCTATGGCACGGACTAAAACAGGTTCAGGTGGAGGGAGAGGCTGGGCCATTCTGGCAGGTGGGCAGGGGTGGTGCTAAGTAGTGGAGCATCTAGAAGATCAGGATGAGGAGTGCAGAGGACAGAGTCATGGGAAATTTCTGCAAGGTCTGCAGCAGTATGTGCTCAGTGCTTCAGAAGATCAACCAACATGAAGAAGCAGGAAGACATGAGAGAGGAAACAGTTGAAAGAGGTTTGCTGTAACCTGGGTGACCAGGGGCACTGAAAAGGGAGGAGGTGACAGAGGTGTGGCAGCAAAGACCAGCTCTTAGTGACCACCCTGTTGGCCTTGCAGTCCTGCCCTCTGCCAAGCCCTCCTTCACATCCCTGCAAAAGTCCTCCTTAAACACTGATTTCAAAATACCTCTCTAATCCTTACATGCCACTGTTTTCTCATGACTCCTCCTTAAAATATGGGTCCAATCTCACTGTACCATAACTCAAAAACAGGAACAAAATCCCACAAACTTGGTGGCTCCTCAGTGCTTTATCAAAACAAAGCACAAACCTCTTCCTTAGCAATGAAGATTTGCAATATGGCTCCAACCTGCCTTCCAGCTGGAATGTCCTAGTCACCTATCCATCCACCCAACAAATACTGACAGAGAGCCTACCATGCATATATATGGCAGAGTCCCTGGCCTTAGGAAGCCCACAGTCTAGTCCAGACACACATTACCACCCACATTCCCTGAACTTCTACTTCTCTCTACACTTCTTATGCCAACTAACAACTCTCAAGTACTTTGCCTATTTAGTATTGTATTTTTACAGCTCTTAATTTCATCTTGACACTACTTACTGTCCAGCATCTTCCTTTTAAACTCACTGAAGACGGGCACTGCATCTTAATTATTTTCATGCAGCAAATATTTGTCGAAGTCAATTGTCCAGGAGGACAAAACAGAAGGAACAATCAAAGCTGATAAGCCCTATGTTTTTCTGATTTCTTACTGTTTGAGACATGATACCTGAAACTGCTTCGTGGTTCCCTCTTTCTTGGGGCCACTTCCACTTTCCCTCTGGTGGAGGTGCTCAGCAGTCTCATGTCCCCAAAGTCCAGAGAGTGGGGGTCTGCTGAGTGACTCCAGCAAGGAACTCTTGCAGAGGTGGGGGTCTGGCTTCAGTTCCTAGGTCCTTCCCTTTCGAAGATCTGTGGGAACGACCACATAATCACCTATTCCTGAAGAAGAGGCTCTTAATTGCCATCAAACATCATTCTCCAGTACAACACAGTTCTCATTTTATCCTCAAGTATAAACATATATATGCTTCCGATGTAATGAAAATGCAATAGGGACGTGGATTCTCCAGGCAGGACCACCACTTCCTTTATAGGATCTATATGCAAATCAACCCTTGTTCAAAAATTATTGTGAATTTCAAGACGATGTCATCAGAGCATTAAACCCAGCATGCACCTTTCTAAGGGCCTTATGAAATTGCCCTTACCTGGGGAAAGACATTACCTGCCCCCAGGTAATGTTTTAATTGACAGACATCAGAGAGAGAGAGAGTGGCAGGAAAATGCCTCATGTGATGACCAGGTCACAGGCAGCGGCAGGCAAGAAGGAAACTGGGAACCAAGAAGAACCTTTTTACGTGAGAAAGGCCATTCCAGCCACAGGGCCTGGTTCAATAAAAAAGCAGAAATCATTCTGTAGCAGATAAGAGCTGCAGACAAAACCCCTCAGACACTGAGTTAAAGAAGGAAGGGGTTTATTCGTCCGGGAGCATCAGCAAGACTCCTGTCTCAAAAGCCGAGCTCCCTGAGTAAGCAATTCCTGTCCCTTTTAAGGGCTCACAACTCTAAGGGGGTCCGCATGAGAGGGTCGTGATCGATTGAGCAAGCAGGGGGTACCTGACTGGGGGTTGCATACACCAGTAATTAGAACAGAACACAACAGGACACGGATCTTCACAGTGCTTTTCTTATGCAAATAACCGATTAGGTCAGGGGTCGATTTTTTAACTACCAGGCCCAGGGTGTGGTGCCGGGCTGTCTGTGGATTTCATTTCTGCCTTTTAGTTTTCACTTCTTCTTTCTTTGGAGGCAGAAATTGGGCATAAGACAATATGAGGGGTGGTCTCCTCCCTTAATTCTTTCAAGGCTCTTTCTGCTGTCATATTAGTCACAATCAAAACAGATAATGAAATAGACTGAATCCTCCAGGTGATATTTCTTTTTCTTTTTTAGATATGGAATTTCGCTATGTTGCCTAGGCTGGATTTGGACTTAACCTCCTGGGCTCAAGTGATCCTCCCACCTCAGCCTTCTGAGTAGCTAGGACTATAGGAGCATGCCATGATACCTGGTCAGATGATATTTCGTAAAGGACCATAAAAATATAGAACAGGATAAACCTTTCAAGATTGTCTAGTTTATAGTTATAGGGGAAACTGGAGCTGAGAGAACTAAGTGCTTTGTTTAGAGCTACATAGCAAGCCAGAGACCAGGCCCACAGTTGCTGCCCATGACCCACAAACAGTCACGGAAGAAAACAATCCTTCTACAGCTCACAGCCACCAATTATGGGTACTAAAGTTGGGAGTGGGGCTAATTAGCTCTAAATAGCAGAGAAAAACAGTATTTACATCACTAAAGAGAACAACAAAAACAGCCCATTAATCCCTGTTTCTGCAGCTTCTGATGATCTCAATGTTGACAAGCAACTTCTGGTGATTGCTGGAAGCAAGCAATTGTCACTGTGATCCTTTATTACAGTAAATAGAATCATCCAAGCAGACCGGTGCCTGGAGGGGGCTAAGTGAGGAGTACTGTCAATGAGGTATTTACTTCAGGGCAATAGTTGTTGTGGTCTCAACTTTAGTATGCATCTTGGCAACTAAAAGAATGGTTTTTTTGGCCAAGCATGGTAGTTCACATCTCAGTGCTTTGGGAGGCTTAGGTGAGAGGATTGCTTGAGGCCAGGAGTTCAAGACCAGCCTGGGCAACAAGGCAAGACCCTATGTCTTTAAAAAAATCAGCAACAAAGTTTCTGTCTCCCTAGCACAAGCACACTGAGAGGTGCAGCTGGCAGGAGATAAGACACTTATTCCTTGTGTCAGCTGCACTGCTGGATCTAACGTCCATGACACGTCCATTATTCTGGGGTTGAAACTGCAGTAAGTCAAAAGTCTTTTATGTTTATGTAATTTACCTGTAAGGGGAAGGTCAGGAAGGTCCAAGCATTGAGTCATCCCTTTGCTGGCCGACCGCACACTGCTCTAAGCCAGATGCCTCTGTAAAAACCAGTGGGGCAACAGAATGGTGAGCTTGTAACATCAAGAACAGCACCAACACAGGTGCGTGTGTGTGTGCACACGCGTGTGTGTGTCCAACAGTTCTTAAACACAGTGGAATAACTGGGGGAGTTTTTAATTAACTCATTTATTCAAATAGGTAATATATGCAATAGACACAATCCTCAAAAGAAACAAAAAGGGCAAATAGTGAAGAGAAAGTCTCCCTTTCACTCCTGCACCCCAGTTCTCCTTCCCAAGAGTACTCATTACTAATCAGCTTTGTGAATATCTTTCCTGGAATGTTCTCTGTATATTCAAGGACGTGTGTAAAAGCATTTTATTTTGAATGGCCAACAAGTATATGAAAAGATGCTCAACATCACTAATCATCAGGGAAATGCAAATCAAAACCACAGTGACATGCCACCTCACACCTGTTAGGAAGGCCATCATCAAAACCCAGAAAAAAACAAGTGCTGGTGAGGAGGCAGAGAAACCCTTGTGCACTGTTCATGAGAGCGTACAATGGTGTAGCCATTATGGAAAACAGTATGGAGGTTCCTCAAAAACATAACAATAGAACTACCAAATGATCCAGCAATGCCACTTCTAGGTATTTATCCCAAAGAATTGAAAACAGAATCTCAAAGAGATATTTGCACTCTCATGATCATTGCAGTGTTATTCACAAAAGCTAAGAGGTGGATGCAACCCAAGTGTCCACCACCAGATGAATGGATGAAGAAAAGATGGTACATAATATACAATGGAATATTATTACCCATAAAATGGAGATATTCACCCATAAAAAGGAAATCCTGTCTCATGCTACAACATAAATGAGCCTTGAAGACATTATGCTAAGTCAAAGAAGCCGGTCACAGAAGGACAAATGTTGCATGATTCCATGTATGTGAGTATATTAGTCCACTTCACACTGCTATAAAAACAAGTCAGTTACCTCCAAGATACAATGGGAGTACAGGCATTGAATAAATGCTCCTGTTCCAAATGGGAGAAATTGACCAAAATAAAGAAGCCACAGGCCCCAGGCAAGTCCAAAACCCAGTGGGGCAGTCATCAAATCTTAAAGCTCTGAAACGATCTCCTTGACTCCATGTCTCACATCAGGTCACACTGATCCAAGGGGTAGGCTCCTATGGTCTTCGGCAGCTCCATCCCTGTGGCTTTACAGGGTACAACACCCCTTCTAGCTGCTTTCACGGGCTGGTGTTGAGTGCCTGTGGTTTTTCTGGGTGCACGGTACACACTGTCAGTGGATCTACCATTCTGGGGTCTGGAGGACAGTGTCCCTCTTCTCACAGCTCCACTAGGCAGTGCCCCAGGGGGGTTCTGTGTGGGGGCACCAACCTCACATTTCTCTTTTGCCCTGCCCTAGCAGGGGATCTCCATGAGGGTTCCATCCCTGCAGCAGACTTCTGCCTGGTCATCCAGGCATTTCCATACATCCTCTGAAATCTAGACAGAGGTTCCTAAACCTCAGTTCTTGACTTCTGTGTACCCACAGGTCCAACACCACATGGAAGCCACCAAGACTTGGGGCTTGCACCCTCTGAAGCAATGGCCCAAGCTGTACATTGGCCCCTTCTAGCCACCACTGGAGCTAGAGCAGCTGGGACACAGGGCACCAAGTCCCAAGGCTGCACAGAGCAGGGCGGCCCTGGGCCCAGGCCACAAAACCATTTTTAACTCCTAGGTCTCTGGGCCTGTGATGGGACAGGCTGCCACCAAGATCTCTGACATGTCCTGGGGACATTTTTTCCCACTGTTTTGGTGATTAACATTCGGCTCCTTGTTATGTAAATTTCTGCAGCTGGTCTGAGTATCTCTCCAGAAAGTTGGTTTTTCATTTCTATTGTACTGTCAGGCTGCAAATATTCCAAACTTTTATGCTCTGCTTCCCTTTGAAACATAAGTTCCAATTTCAGATCATTTCTCTCAAGTTCAAAGTTCCACAGATCTCTAAGGCAGGGGCAAAATGCCATCAGTCTCTTTGCTAAAAGACAGCAAGAGTGACCTTTGCTCCAGATCCCAATAAGTTCCTCAACCCCATCTGAGACCACCTCACCCTGGACTTCATTTTCCACATCGTATCAGCATTTTGGTCAAAACCATTCAACAAATCTCTAGCAAGTTCCAAACTTTCCCACATCTTCCTATCTTGTTCTGAGCCCTCCAAACTGTTCTAACCTCTGCCTGTTACCCAGTTCCAAAGTCACTTCCACATTTTCAGGCTATCTTTATAGCAGTACCTGACTCTACTGCTACAAATTTACACTATTAGTCAGTTTTCACGCGGCTATAAAGACCTTCCCTGAGACTGGGAATTTATAAAGAGGTTTAATTGACTCACAGTTTCACATGGCTGAGGAGGCTTTAGGAGACTTACAATCATGGTAGAAAGGGAAATAGGCACCTTCTTCACAAGGTGGCAGGAGGAAGGTGGGGGAAGGCGGGGACAGAGAAAGACAGAGTGCATGTGGAGGAGGAACTGTCAAACACTTATAAAACCAGGAACTGTCAAACACTTATAAAACCATCAGATCTCGTGAGCACTCACTATCACAAGAACAGCATGGGGGAAATGGACCCCATCACTTCCCACCAAGTCCCTCCCTAGACACATGGGGATTATGGAGATTACAATTCGAGATGAGATTTGGGTGGGGACACAGAGCGAAACCGTATCAGTGAAGAATCTAAAGTAGTCAAACTCACAGAAGCAGAGAGTAGAGTGGTGGCTGCCAGAGGTTGTGGGGAGGGCAAGTGGGGAGTTGTTCAGTGGGTACAGTTTCAGTCAAGCAAGATAAAAAAGTTCTAGAGGACAAAAAGATGGCAACAATAGACATTGGAGAGTGGTAGAATGGGGTGGGGGGCAAAGGTTGAAAAACTACCTATTGGATACTATGCTCACCACCTGGATGATGGGATCAATTGTACCCCAAACCTCAGCATCCCACAATATACCCATGTAACAAACCTGCACATGTACCCTGAATCTGAAATAAAGTTGAAATTTTAGAAAAAGTTTCTGGAGATCTGCTGTACAACATTGTGCTTATAGTTAACCGTACTTAAAAATTTGTTAAGAGGGTAGTTTTCATGGTGTATTTGTTTTACCACCATTAAAAAAAAGCATTTCAGAATGCAGGTGAGAGTGATATTATTCAAGGAAAACCCTTGAAGAAAAACCCTCTGTTATTCTAAAAACACAAATGTTATCACAGGATTCCATTGCTTTGCATACCGTTTTGCTTCTTTCACTTACTGGTCATTCTCTAACCTTTTTGGTGGCTTCTCATGGGAAGTGTTACACAAGAGGCCAAGCACAGGGCTCTGGGGCCACATAGCCACCAACCAGCTGCACAACTCTGGGTTACTTCATCCTCTGTGCTTCATTTTCTTTATCTATAAAATGGCACTGATATAAATAGTACCTACCCCAGAGGATTGTTGGGGGGGATTAAATGAGTTCAATCTGGTCGGGTGTGGTGGCTCATGCCTGTAATCCCAGCACTTTGGGAGGCCGAGGCGGGTGGATCACTTGAGGTCAGGAGTTCAAGAGCAGCCTGGCCAACATGGTAAAATCCCATCTCTACTAAAAAAATATAGAATTAGCCGGGTCTGGTGGTGCAGACCTGTAATCCCAGCTACTTGGGAGGCTGAGGCAGGAGAATTGCTTGAACCCAGGAGGTGGAGGTTGCAGTGGGCCAAGATGGTGCCATTGCACTCCAGCCAGGGCAACAAGCAAAACTCCGTCTCAAAAAAAAAAAAAAAAAAAAAAAAAGAGTTAAATCCAGTTAGAACAATCAAAACATGGCCTGGTACATAGTAGACATTCAATAGATTTTAGCTATTTTCATTACCATAATTTATTTGATCGATTCTCTGTCAATACTGGCATTGATATTGATATAAGCATAAGGAAATGAATATCCTGGTACATCTGTCTGTGCACATGAGTGAGCAGAGCCATTGTGAGGTTTTCCAAAGCATTCTTTCCCTTAGAGGTCCTACTCCACATCGCATTAAACACAATTCCATGTATCCATGTCTCACGTAAATATAATGGTGTACAGTTTTCAAAAGTAGTTTTATATCTTGCTTTTGAAATGAGCTGAACAAAAGTGACAATATGGGGCATTCCTATCTCATTCATAATCTTGTGGGAAAGCGTCCAATATTTCACCATTAAGTATGATGTATGATGTAGATATATAATAGAGACCCTTCATCAGATTAAGGAATTGCCCTTCTATTCCTAGTTTTCTAAGACTTTTCATTAAGAAAGGTATTAATCTTTATTGAACATATTTTCCTATCATCTAATAAGATGACTATACTTTTTATACCTTTGTTAATGTGGTAAATTAACTCTGGTTGGTTTCAGTAGTTAAAACCACCTTGCATTCCTCGAATAAACCCAATTTAACATGATCTTTTAAATGTATCTCTGAGGCCAGGCGCAGTGGCTCACGCCTGTAATCCCAGCACTTTGGGGGTCGAGGTGGGCAGATCACCTGAGGTCAGGAGTTCGAGACCAGCCTGACCCACATGGAGAAACCCCGCCTCCACTAAAAATACAAAATTAGCCAGGCCTGGTGGCGCATGGCTGTAATCCCAGCTACTCGGGAGGCTGAGGCAGGACAATCACTTGAACTTGGGAGGCGGAGGTTGCGGTGAGCCAGGATCGTGCCATTGCACTCCAGCCTGGGCAACAAGAGTGAAACTCCGTCTCAAAAATAAATAAGTAAATAAATAAATAAATGTATCTCTGAATTAGGTTTTCCAAGATTTTGTTCTGGATTTTTGCATGGAGGTTCATGAGAGACACTGACCTTTTAATTTTCCTGTCTTTTAATGTCCTTGCAAGAATTAGGTATCGAAGATACACTGGCCTCTTAAATGATCTAAGAAAGTTTACCCTTTTTTCTAGTCTTTTTCTAGTCTCTGTATGAATATACATAAGACTGGTGTTATTTCTTCCTTAAATGTTTGGGAGATTTCATGATGAAACCATCTGGGCCTCCTGGCATTTCCTTTGAGAAAATTATTTAAATTACAGACTATCAGGATTTCCTACTACTTTTTATGTCAGTTTAGTAAGTGATGTTTTTCTACGATTTTGACCATTTCATCAACATTTTCTAATTTATAGAGTAGTACTATACAGAGCACTAATCTGTAATCTCCTCATCACTGTTTTCATAATTATGGGATCTTTAGTGATACACCCCTTTAAAAATTCCTGATATAGCTAATTTATGCCTTTTCTTTATATCAGCCTCGTCAGAGGTTCATCAATTTTAATAATCTTTTAAAAGAACAAACTTCGTGCAGAACTTTTTAAGATAATCTTTTCATCACAAGTACACTGGTAAAAAAGAAATCTGTTTTTGTTGTACTGAAAGCATCTTCCTTTTGTGTTCACCTTTGAAGGGTATTTTCACCAAGTACGGTATTCTAGGAAAGCAGGCATTCCTTCTGCATTTTGCAGACGCCACTGCATTGTCTTCTGGCTTCCATCATTTTTGTTGAGAAGGCAGATGTCAGTTTTAGCTCTTGCTCCTTTGATATTAAGGTTTCTTTTTTCCCTTTGAGTGCTTTTACAATGCTTTCTCTTTCATTACTAGCAGTTTTAGCCTAATGTGTCTAGGTGGTTTTCTTTGCACTTACTTTGCTTTCGGTTCATGTTGTTCTTGAATCTAGGGCTTAACATCTGTTTAGTTTTCAAAATTCTTGGCCATTATCTCTTCCAATACTGCTTCTGCCCTATCTGTCTTGTTTTTCTTGTTTTCCCTTTTGGGGACTCCAATTACACATTAGATCTTTTCACCCCATCCCATATAGCTCTTATGTCCTTTTCTCTATTTCCTATTCTTTGTTTTCTCTGCGCTTCAGTTCAGATATTTCTATCAACTTGTCTTTAGTTCCTTAAGCCTCTCTGAAAATGTTTAATCTACAGGTAAACTTTGTTGAGTCTTAAATTTAGGCATTTTATTTTTAAGTTATAACATTTCTAATGGATTCTTTTTTATAGATTGTGGTTTTCTGCTGAAATTATCCACCTTGTTACTTATTTTCTTTACTGGATTAATCTCAGTTGTTTTAAAGTCCGTGTCTAATATCTGGATCTCCTGTGTCTGCTTCTGTTGCCTAGTTTTCTCTTGTTTTTTTCATCATTTGGTATTATCTATTTGTATACTTAGTATTTTTAAAATTGACTATGACACCATATATTTTTTTAATGTGGCTATAAGTTGAGGTTCTGGATGATGTAATCTTCCTTCAAAGAGTATTTACTTCTGAGTCCAGAAGTCAGTTAAGATAGGGAAAGATCACTTAAATTCAAACCCATGTTTCTATGGGTTTTAAGACTGAACAAATAAAAGACTTCTTTAAGATGTTAAGGAAGAATATTTTCATAATCTAATAGCTAGAAAGGTCTTTTTAAGGCAGGAAACAAAACACTTAAAATCATAAAGGAAAGCACTGAATACAAGATGCAACATTTTTCTTCAGTAAAATATAACTTCAAACAAAGTTCAAAGATAAAGAAAATAATAGCATTACATATAAAAAAGTTAAAAAGCACAATATATCAAGATTTCTTACAAATAGGAAAAAGACTAATACCTCAAAATAAATACAGGCAAAGTATGTAAGTTTTCATTCACACATATAAAAGATAGATAAACGGTCTGTAAACATATGAAGTGCTCAACCTTACTGAAGGACAAAGTAAATCAAGTTATTATTGTTCATTTACTTAATCTTTAAAATTTATAGAGTGTGAAAATTCTGGGAAAACAGTACCTTGCATGCTATGAGTGGGAGGGTAAACTGACGGCAATGTGTCTATCAAGTTTTTCAACGTGCCAGGACAGGTCAAATACACTTCCTTTTCTAGGACTCCATTTTCCTTTTCTAGGAATCAATGTGTGGAAGATCTCAGGACAGGCTCACTTGATTCCATCCTCGTCTCTTTGAAGGGTGACTTACTGACTTACATGAGACTGGAAAGCTAAGGGGTGTATTTGCCAAAGTCCTTAAAGCTTGGCTCATTAAGTGGCCTAGTTTCTGTCAAACAGGCCCCTTCTCAGAGGATGTGGAAGGTACAGGGAGTAGAAGGCTGCCCTTCTGCAGCTTCTCCTGGCAAGCATGGCTGGGAAGGCATTTGCTGTTCTGTGGCAGGGAAGTGGAGATTCTTGGGTCTGTTCCATCATCTTCTGGGCAGTATGAGGCAGGCACAGAGCATGGTGTGCTGGCATGGACTGCACCTGTGGCTGTGTGGTCCCAAGGCTGATCCTAGATCTTGGCAGCAGTGGTGGACCTGGGCATGTACCTACAGAAAGACTTCCTGATTCTGGCAGGAACAGAAGCTCCTTTACTGGACCAGCATTGAGATGCTCTGGGAACCCTTCCTGGAAGCTCAGTGGACAGAGCCTACTGCCTTCTCCAGCCCTTCCAGTACCAAATGCCCTGGATTAAATCCCTTTCTGCTTAACTACAGTGATCTCTCATATTTGCAAATGAATCTTGATCCACCCTTATGCAGAAATAGCCCCTTTAGTGGTCAAAAAATTGCATAAGGATCTTCACTTTATTGTTTACCCCAAGTAACCTAAAATCTATCAGTAGAAGTATGGCTATATACATTGATGTGTATTATGTAACCTTTACAAAAAGGAATCATTTCTCCAAATGTTGCAATGTAAAGATGTCTCAGACATATTCCTTTATTCATTCAACAAATATTTGTTGAGCTTCTATCACGATGTGACCATGTTTCACTCCCTGTTATCGACAAAAGATGTGTTAGCAAGCAAAATAAACAAAAATCTTGGTCCCCACGGAGCTCACATTCCAATGATAACGTGAAATGAGTAAGTGTTGGACTAATGTGTAGTATAATCCAATTTACACAACACACACCCTCTCTCTACACACACAGACACAGACACACACACACATATGTATAAAGAAAAACATCTAGAGGGATATAAAACAAACCATAAGCAGTGGTTATTCCTGGGGCTCATCTACCTGGCAGGAGAGACAGCAGCTGCTGGGGAGGTCCTCACTGGTATTTCGCTTAGGAGGCTTCTAAGGGCCTTATGGACAGAAGTATTCTGTCCAGTTCCATCTGCCAAGAAAAGAGATGGGAACATTTACATGTTGTTCCAGTTCAAAATAGCAAATAATACTTTTTGATTTACCTCTTTGGTGACTTGAGAAGTATTCCATGGTGTTTAGTGTGATATTTATTATTCTTTTCTCCTCTGGACTAGAGCTGAATTGGAGAAATGAGAGGGGAGGAGTTGTTAGCTGAGTGGAGGCTAGTCCTAGATGTAGGACAACTGAGTAAAACGAATATGTTTAAATAATGAGGTGCCTAGGGGAGGAAGGAACAGGAAAGTTCTTGCACAAACTGTGACTGTTAATTCACTTCCCATCTTCACTGACTCACTCACTGGGCTTTCATGTCTTTCAATACATGTAGTTTAATCTTCATTTAATTTAATTGCAAACTATTTTAGCAGAGATAATAACCGGGTACATTCTAGGATTAATTTTTACTACAGCCTTTTTTTTTTTTTTTTTTTTTCTGAGACAGAGTGTTGCTCTGTTGCCCAGGCTGGAGTGAAGTGGGGCGATCTCGGCTCACTGCAAGTTCTGCCTCCCGGTTCATGCCATCCTCCTGCCTCAGCCTCCTGAGCAGCTGGGACTACAGGCACCCACCACCATGCCCAGCTAATTTTTTGTATTTTTAGTAGAGACGGGGTTTCACCATGTTAGCCAGGATGGTCTCAATCTCCTGACCTCGTGATCCGCCCGCCTCGGCCTCCCAAAGTGCTGGGATTACAGGCGTGAGCCACCGTGCCCAGCCTACTAGAGTCTTTCAATACAATGGCATGTTCATTGCAGTCCAGGAAGAAAGATACTGTTACAGTGGACAGATGCATATTGTTTCTTCTATTTGCTATCTTTATGTGTACAGTATATGTATGAAGTATAGCTATGCATCTTTCTCATACATGAAGATAAACATGACTAAAGGGGTATTGTGAGTCTATCAGAAAATTCCAGGAAACCTGGGAGCACACCAAGATCAGAAGTGACAGATCAACACAGGTGCTCACATACAAGACCAGGTAGAAAAATGTCTAGCAGGCTGCAAGATGGGGATGGCCAAGGGTGCCTACAAAAGGGTCAGGTGCACAGTTGTGACGCCTGGTTTCCTTGGAGATGAAGCCTCTGGCTGACCGTGCTATTTCTCATGAAATAAGAAAATGGCAAATAGTAGTGACCTGAATTTAATGGCTATGAGAGGCAGAAAAGAAATGAGGCAAGGCAGGAACTGGAGAGGAGGAAGAGGTAGAGAGGAAGAGGCTGCTTTTGTGTTACTCATGAGTCAGGCTCTCCATGAGTGCCTCCCCGGAGCCTGGGCCAGGCTCCTGCCTGCAGCCGCTCCATGTGGTAGTACCTGGAAAGTGCCCTTGTGGTTGTAACAACGTGGGGCCAGGGTACAGTCAAGAAACGTTTGATATGTCGGGCCAAAGTTTGAATTTGGAACTTTGCTTATAGAAAAAAATGATTAAATACCAGGGCATCCCAAGTCAAATGACTTGATGAGTGACTTATGGTGGTCATGGGCTCTGAGGGCGTTGGAGATGTTCTGTTAACACACACACCAGGCCACTGGCCAGCAGCATCGACCTTGGGGGACTCTGGCTCTTCATCCACAGGTCTGCACAGCAAAGGTCAAATCAAACTGAAAAGGTGGAGGACGTCCCCATGGGAGAAAAAGACACAGAGGAAAACAGAGCTGATGTGGAGAAAATAAACAAAGCTGGAAGGGAAATTCTAAATTTAACATCCTATCTTCTCTACCAGCTTTGCATCAGGAAATAATGTAGGCATTGCTCTTGATTTTTTAAAAAGCTGTTTCTTGAGAAACGGTCAAAAATGATATTTTTATATGTAGAATGACTTGACATTAGCTCTAATTAAGAAGCCTGTATGCTGCAAATTGTGAAAAAATGCAAATGTTACTGATCATAAACATTTTGCTTATTGTCAATGGTGAATGCAGTGGATTGGCTTGTTGGCAAATGCTCCAAACCCCAGGTGGCACACAGAGGCTGGAAAGATGAAATCTCAGAGCTCTCCTGCAGCTGGGATTTTGGGCGTGATTTAAGTTCCATCATCAGAAAGACTTGAGCGAGACCCGGAGTGGCACCTGAGTCAGGGGGAGAGAGGCAGGGCACAGGGCATTCACTATGTGCACAGAGACTGTAGCAGAGACAAGATGCTTCTGGTGCTGGTAACTGTGGTGGCAGCTTTCCAACTGGGTGGGCAGCTTTCTGAAGTTAAGGCTCCTGTCCTGGTGGAGGGAGCAGGTTCCCTGGTGGTCCAATTCTGTGTGGAGACTTTGGGAGCTGCTCCTGGAAGCTCAGCCCTCCCAACAATTCTGCAAGCCATTTAACGCTTTTCCGTCTAAGCCAACGAGAGTGCAATCCATTATACACAACAGAATCCTGACTCAGACATTCTGTCTTCTAAGCCTAAGAGTCGTAACACAACTCTAAAATAACACTGCAATTCTGCATGAGCTGAAGCTCCTGCTCTCACCCAAATTCCCTGGTGTGTTCTTTGTGAGGTTTCTAAGTGTAAGCACAGACTCATAGAAAGTCTTTTATGATAGATCATTGACCCAATCCTCAATCCTCTCATGTATGGCTCCCTTATCTAGGGGACTTTGGCATGTCATGTGATCTCCCTGTGAATGAGCCAAGACAAGGACTCCCAGCCTTCTGACTGCTAAATCATTGCTCTCTTCATTACATCATATTGTCACAGCTGTTTTGCAAGATGACTAATTTATGAGAATAGTTCAAACAACGTATCTGGAAGTAGATTTTTAAAAAGGTCAGTGGAAGTTTAAAATATTTATTTACTGATTGTTTTGAAGTTAATCTAGCTACTCATAAGCTTCTGTGGTTAAATTTACGGTGTACTTAATTCTCTAAGCTTTCCTCTGTTGCTCTGTAAACATGAATAGAATACATTTCACAGAAACAGAACTTAAAACAGTTAACCCACACTGTCTTACACTCTTGACTTCACAGCCCCTGCTTCTGAGTGGAAAAAAAAATCAGTGAACTGAAAACTTCATTGGAAGAAACCATTAGGAACTTAACAAATTGTAAGGGGTTGGGCTTTTAAATAATTTTTAAAGGTTTACTGACAGGAACTGGTTTTCACATTTTCCCCTTTATGTTACACAGAATAAAATCAGGTTGACAAATATGCAGAAACAGAATGAAATCAGGTTAGGTCTGAGGAGAAAAAAATCTCTGTCTGTGCCAGCCATTCTCAGGAAGGTCATCAAGACACAAAATGGGCCACCTTCTTATCAGTCCATTTAAATGACTTGGTCCCAAAGGCCTCCAAGGACAATCATTTTAAATAACTCATGTTCATTTTCTTCTTTGATAATTTAATAAGAACAAAATAGAGAAGCCTACATTCTGCTGAGGTATTCCTTTCAGTTATCTAAGTTTCTCTGCAATTCAAAATATTGAATGATATATAGACTCATTCAGAGTGTATAAGAAAAAAGCAAGGCCACAAAAATTAATTTCCAGTACCCCTGTCTTTGGGCATCCTAAAATGTTATTTCTAATGCTCAGTCTGCTTGGCTAGAACAATACGAGTCAGTATGAGAAAGCCCTGCATCATTTAAGCAGATTAGAGAAATACTCACTAAATACTCACCATGTTATATAATAGCAATTGTGTGTGTGTGTGTGTGTGTGTGTGTGTGTGTGTGTGTGTGTGTGTGTATGTGTATGTGTAGGTGTATGTGTGTAGGAGGCATTCACAAAACAAAGCCTGAACTGAATAACCAAAGAAAATTGTTATTAAGAATGCTATTGGTGGCTGGGCATGGTGGCTCATGTCTGTAATCCCAGCACTTTGGGAGGCCGAGGCGGGTGGATCACTTGAGGTCAGGAATTCGAGACCAGCCTGACCAACAGAATAAAACCCCGTCTCTACTAAAAATACAAAAATTAGCCCGGTGTGAGTGGTGGCACACATCTGTAATCCCAGCTACCTGGAAAGCTGAAGCAGGAGAATCACGTGAACCCGGAAGGCAGAGGTTGCAGTGAGTGGAGATTACTCCCACTCCAGCCTGGGTGACTGAGCGAGACTGTCTCAAAATAAAAAATAAAAATAAAAATAAAAAAAGAATACTATTAGTGTCCAGGCCTGGTGGCTCACACCTGTAATCCCAGCACTTTGGGAGGCCGAGGTGGATCACTCAGGCTGGAGTGTAGTGGCAACACCTTGGCTCACTGCAGCCTCAATCTCCCAGGCTCAAGTGATTCTCCCACTTCAGCCTCCAGAGTAGCTGGGACTAGAGATGTGCACCACCACACTTGGCTAATTTTCTTTTTTTTTTTTTATAAGAGATGAGTTTTCGCCACATTGTCCAGGATGTTCTTGAACTCCTGGACTCAAGCGATACATCTGCCTCAGCTTCCCAAAGTGCTGGGATTACATGCATGAGCCACTGAGTTTGGCTCTTTCTGTAGTTACATCACTGATGAAATAGTTGCTTTGTGTTTAGGGGCTACATTTAACACAACAAAATGAAGCATGTGTTCTGCTTGTCCCCAGCATATAAAACTATGTTAATAACAGAAAATTTCACTGAAACAAATATACATACATAATATGGTTTGGTTCTGTGTCCCCACCCAAATCTCATGTTGAATTGTAATTCCCATTGTTGGAGGTGGGGCCCAGTGAGAGGTGATTGGCTCATGGGGGCAGTTTCTAACGGTTTAGCACCGTCCTCCTAGTGTTGTCTTGCGGTAAGAGTTCTCAAGGGATCTGGTTGTTTGAAAGTATGTAGCACCTCCTGTTTCATTCACTCTCTCTCCTGCCAGCCATGTGAATATGTACCTGCATCCCCTTCACCTTCCACCATGATTGTAAGTTTCCTGATGCCTCCCCAGCCATGCTTCCTGTGTGACCTGTAGAACTGTGAGTCAATTAAACCTTTTTTTTTTTTTTTTTTTGAGATGGAGTCTTGGCTCTGTTGCCCAGGCTGGGGTGCAATGGAGTGATCTCGGCTCACTGCAAGCTCTGCCTCCTGGGTTCATGCCATTCTCCTGCCTCAGCCTCCTGAGTAGCTGGGACTACAGGCACCCGCCACCATGCCCGGCTAATATTTTTGTATTTTTAGCAGAGACGGAGTTTCACCGTGTTAGCCACGATGATCTCGATCTCCTGACCTTGTGATCTGCCTGCCTCAGCCTCCCAAAGTGCTGGAATTACAAGTGTGAGTCACTGTGCCTGGCAATTAAACCTTTTTTCTTTATAAAATACCCAGTCTCAGGTAATTCAATTTTTTTTTTTTTTTTTTGAGACTAAGTCTTGCTCTGTCTCCCAGGCTGGAATACAGTGAGGCAATCTCAGCTCACTGCAACCTCTGCCTCCCAGATTCCAGCGATTCTCCTGCCTCAGCCTCCCAAGTAGCTGGGATTACAGGTGCATGCCATCATGCCTGGCTAATTTTTGTATGTTTAGTAGAGATGGGGTTTTGTCATGTTTGCCAGGCTGGTCTTGAATTCCTGACATCAAGTGACTCTCCTGCCTTGGCCTCCCAAAGTGCTGGAATTACAGGCATGAGCCACTGTGCCCAGCCTCAAAGTAGTTCTTTATAGCAAAGTGAGAACAAACTAATACAGTATAACTCCACTGTATATGACAGGCACAGTACCATGTGTCTTAAAAATGTTATCTAATTTAATTTTCCACAAAACCTCCACACATTATCTCTTATTTTAGAGGAAAATTTGATGATGGTCACATGGTTCATGAATGGTAAATCTGGGATGCAAATCCAGCTCTGGCCAGGCCTTTCTCAAATTTTCTGTTGTGCACAAGTGTTCTATGAGAGGTATACAAGGTTCCAAAAATAATGCTGATGGTATTTCTTCTTAAAATATAATAATATTTAAGAAAAAACATTCCCAATATTTCTTTCAACATTCCTATTTTTGTACAATAATCTGTTCTTACAAGGTGGCAACCCATACCTGTGAATAACATTTGGAGGCCAGACTTTCTGATGGTGTGTCACACACAGCAGGTGACACGCACGCACCCTATAAGCAGGCAGCGTCTCCACAGAGCACAACAAGATGCACGGCCCTCCTCACTGAACGTTGGTCTGCCTTCTACGTCTTACCTTGTCATTTAAGACCACATACATATATGTCTGTAATTATTTCCCTTTGAAACTTTTATTTAACCTCTCTAAATTTGTTGCTTTCTTTGTTATATTAGGGAACAGAGTCTTCAACTGCCAGTGATTGTCTATAGCTTTTACTTCCTCAAGACACCACTTTATGTTGTTTATTCTGATCCAGGCACAGGTGAGCTCCTATACAAGATTTTTTTTTTAATGTTTAGTAGAAACAGGGTTTTGCCATGTTGGCCAGGCTGGTCTTGAACTCATCACATTAAGTGATTCATCCACCTTGGCCTCCCAAAATGCTGGGATTACAGGCGTGAGCCACCATGCCCAGCCCATGATGATTTTTTAAGTATTCAAGGGTAACTCCATTTGGGAAGCGTTGCATGGCACCACTGCTACCTTCACAACTGGCAGATTAATATTTGTGAAGAGGGCAGGTTGTGCCAACCACATGCTCATGCCTGCTGGGATCTTTCCTGAACACCTGGATGAAGCCCAGCCCCAGGCCTTTCGATTGATCTCCCATGAGTCCCCTCTACCCGTCTAGTTTTTGGACTATACACCCAGCCACCTGAAGTTTTTTTTCTTTTATGTCCTGCCTCTGTGCCTTTGCTCATTCTATGCCCTTGCCTGGAGCGTAATTTTCTCTAAATACTTCTTATTGTTTTACACAAAACAAATCTAAGAGAAGTTTGTCCCTCTATTGTGAGACAGAAATTATGAAGTACTCTCTCTCCAGATGTCAAAACAGTATCTTCTGAATTTCACTTTCAAATTTCAATATAAGCATATTCAACAATAAAATCAAACAGGATAAGATGGCAATTTGAACATAAGCATCTTCATCTACAAATCTGAACAAAAAGAATCAAAGAAACAGTAAAAATCTTGTAGTCAGGTATCATCTACAAGCCTACACTTTGAAGAA
Source organism: Homo sapiens (assembly GCF_000001405.40). Classification (NCBI taxonomy): domain Eukaryota; kingdom Metazoa; phylum Chordata; class Mammalia; order Primates; family Hominidae; genus Homo; species Homo sapiens. Next base: position 20,661,151 of record NC_000017.11, on the reverse strand, counting down.
TTTCTGCTAATAGAGAGTATGTGGTGGGGGGGAAATTAAAATAAAATACCAAGAGCTTTCCTCCAAATCCCTTCCAAAGAAAATGGAGATAAGGGAAACCCTCCACTAATGTCCCCCACCCTAGAAGGCCAGGGCTGGTGAGGAGCACGAGAAGCCCAGAGAGATGCAGGGCATTCTGGCAAAGGATCAGGAACAAGAGGAATTTACATCTGAGGAGGCCAAGGTTGGTTTACCCCAGACACAAAGGACAGTAGTGACAAGGGACAGGGCAGGAAAAGCCATGGCGTGCATCTAAAATGGACGAGGGGCATGCAAATGTAGACCCAGAGAGTTGGCTCTGTATTCCAGGCTCACCAAGCAGAGAACAAACTGGGCACAGGTGAATTTCCCCGTTAGGCACTCACCCTTTTCTACTCTACCTGAGCTTCTGTACCTTTCAATATGTAATATATATGCACCTTCAAGAGCCTTCCAACGCATTTCAGTCATAAGATCCTAAGCACTGTCAGGTAAAGGCAGTGGAACTGAGCAGGATCCAGACACTGACCTGGGCCAAACGTCAGGCCCTGCCACACCTGGATCTGCTTCAGCAAGAGAAGGTGATGAACAAAATAATGCCCTGCTTGATGCAAATATTTCTTTTTTAAATTATTATTATTATTATTTTTTGTGATACAGTCTAACTCTGTAGCCCAGGCTGGAGTGCAGTGGCACAATCTCAGCTCACTGCAACCTCCACCTGGGTTCAAGAGATTCTCCAGCCTCAGCCTCCCAAGTAGCTGGGATTACAGGCACGTGCCACTACGCCCAGGTAATTTTTGTATTTTTTTAAGTAGAGACGGGGTTTCGCCATTTTGGCCAGGCTGGTCTCGAACTCCTGACCTCAGGTGATTCACCCACCTAGGCCTCCCAGAGTGCTGGGATTACAGGCATAAGCCACGACGCCCAGCCGATGCAAATATTTCATAATACAAAGTGAAGGGGAAACTGCACTCAAGAGAGGACCAACATTTGTAAATTCATGACCAGAAACAATTTGACACTGATAGTATCTACCTTAAAATTCAATAAAATAAGAAGACATAAATTAAAGATGACAATTTAAAATGAAAGGTGAGTTAAAAATAATATAAGCAATCTAATAACTCATTAATATTTTAAAGCAGAACTAACTCAAAAGAAAAAGAAATGGGGGCATACTTAGGGCAGTTCTCTCCGAATGCAGATGAAATGAATCATGTAAAGGTGGGATTTCAATTCAGTGGACAAAGGATGGTTCTGGTAATAGTGCTGGCATGACCAGCTATCTAACTGGGAGAGAAAGACGCACAGCTCACATCAGATTAAATAAAGAAAGGTGGATCAAACGCCTGCGTGTGTGTGTGTGTGTGTGTATCTGTGTGTGTGTCTGTGTGTGCACGTGCATAAAACAGAGAATGAAACTTAATAGTTTATTTGTAACAAATAAGATTGGAGAGGGAAAACCTTCAAACAAACAAAAAGAAATAACAAAAGAAAACACTAAGTTAACATTATATAAAAATATAAACTTTTCTATGATACGGATGTTAAAGCCAAAGGCCTGTAGTGCACTGGGGATAAAAACACATCTTTGGGCAAGCACAGTGATTCACAATTATAATTCCAGTGATTTGGGAGACTAAGGTGGGAGGATCACTCAAGCCCAGGAGTTGAAGACCAGCCTCGGCAATAAAGTGACATCCCAGCTGGACAAAAATTCGAATTAGGAAGGCATGGTGGTGTTCGCCTGTCGTCCCCGCTATTTGGGAGGCTGAGTAGGAGGATCATTTGCGCCTGGGAGGTCAAGGCTTCAGTGAGCTGTGATCGTGCCACTGCACTCCAGCCTGGGTGACAAAGCAAGACCCTGTCTCAAAACAACAACAACAAAAAACAACCCCCCCAAAACAAAACGAAACAAAAAAACCCCGACATCCCTAATAAAATACTGACTTATAAACTGATGAGAAAGAAACAATCAGCTCAGTGAAATAATAGGCAAAAGTGCTAAACTAGCAACTCTAGAAGAGAAAGTGCAATTGGTTAGTACACATAAAAATATGCTCAGAGATATACAAATTAAAATCTAATAAGATAGTATTTTTCACTTATCCTATTGGCAAAAATAAGATCAACACTTTCTGTGGCTGCTCAGACTATGCAGAGATGGGCACGTTCATCAAGAGTGAAATGTCGGCCAGGTGCGGTGGCTCACGCCTGTAATCCCAGCACTTTGGGAGGCCAAGGCAGGCCGATCACGAGGTCAGGAGATCGAGACCATCCTGGCTAACACGGTGAAACCCCGTCTCTACTAAAAAATACAAAAAATTAGCCGGGCGTGGTGGCGGGCGCCTGTAGTTCCAGCTACTCCGGAGGCTGAGGCAGGAGAATGGTGTGGACCCGGGAGGCGGAGCTTGCAGTAAGCCAAGATCGTGCCACTGCACTCCAGCCTGGGCGACAGAGCGAGACTCCATCTCAAAAAAACAAACAAAAAAAAGAAAGTGAAATGTCACAGCAGTCAGGTGAGTAACCTGGAGACATCTATTAAGATAAAAATGTGTATATTCTCTAGAGCAGCAGTCATAGTTTTAGAAATTCATGCTATAAAAATAAAATCACAACTATATAGGACTATATGAATAAGGACTCGTATTATAGCATTATTCGTAACAAAGAAAACTATAACCTTGCTGGCATTAGTAAGACAATATTTGAATATTCCAGGGCACATCCCTCCTGTGGAAGGCCATGCAGCTCTTAAAATGAGTTCTCTTTGTATGTATTGACCTGGAAGGATGCCCATGTTACATGAAATAAAAAGTGAAGGTGCAGCATACTGTGTAGAACATAGTCCTGTTTATATTTAAACATATATAAATGAAGCCTATACATTTTATGATTAACAAAAAATATACACACTGTTACCAGTGATTTCCTTGCAGGGTGAGTACTGAAGGAGGAGAAAGATTAGTATTTTTCTTGACACATCTCCATTTTGCTACCAGTATACCTAAATATTACTTCATAATTAGGAGAAAATCCAATACATTAATTCACCAATCTATTCATTTTTAAATTTCAACAAGAAACATCTAGACTAAAAAGTCCATACTATATTTTCTGAGATTCTACAGTTTTGCTTAAAAATTAATTTATGCAAAACTAGTGTTTTTGCTCCACGTCCTCTTGTTCTAATAATAAAATCATTCATATCCCAGCTCAACCTTCTATCTACAACTTATATTTAAAGTCCAGCTTGTTTCTCCTTCAAATTCTATTATTTGAGGAGGCTTTGAAGTTCTGAAACTATATTCATGAAAAAATGTAGAACAAAATGACATAAAGGCCCTGCAGAAACATAGCTGGTGATTAAAACTCAAGCAGCAGGCCGGGCGCGGTGGCTCACGCCTGTAATCCCAGCACTCTGGGAGGCCGAGGTGGACAGATCACAAGGTCAGGAGATCCAGACCATCCTGACCAACACGGTGAAACTCCGTCTCTACTAAAAATATAAAAAATTAGCTGGGTGTGGTGGCCAGCACCTGTAGTCCCAGCTACTCAGGAGGCTGAGGCAAGAGAATGGCGTGAACCCGGGAGATGGAGGTTAGTGAGCTGAGACTGCGCCACTGCACTCCAGCCTGGGCGATAGAGCGAGACTCCGTCTCAAAAAAAAAAAAAAAACCTTAAGCAGCAGACGAGCTTCTGTATAACAACATTATTTAGCATTTTACAAATGCTTACAGATAAAAATACTCAGCAGTACCTGGAGTAAAGATAGGACAAAATGTGGGCTGCAAATACAGTGGTGCCTTTTAAGTTGAGGTTGCAGTTTTCTTACTGTTTATATTTAAAAACATCCAGCAAATGAGTTTTAAATCATCCCAACAACTCTGAATACGAGATAAAGAGCTCCCAGAATCTACAGTCCTACTCGCAAGTATTTATTTTTACACAGAAGATATCAATGTCTCTTCTTTCTCACACCAAGCTAATGTTTCTAGTGATTCTGTGCTGTCTGGTTTGACACCCCAAAACATCTTCCTGAGTTTAAAGAGCACTCCTGTTCCTAATTTTCCTTTTATTAGACAGTAACTCTTGCCTTGTCTCATCCTTTGGATAAAATAGATACTAGCTTTCCTTTGGATAGCTAATAGCTCCATGCTGAGAACTGCAGGAGGTTTCTGCCTGATGGAGGTTGCTGAAATGGATTTGGATCTTCACAAACACAGGTATTCCCGGAAGTTTAAAATCACATTTCTGGAAGTTTAAAATCCACATAAAATTGTGGATCGCTCTGAGTTGAACACTAAGTTTCCAGGCTGAGTTTCATCCATGAGGCTTTTGGTGTAGTTGTCATTCAACCGTTTTCCATTAGATTTCTATTGCCACTGTCACCATGCTTACCTATCTGGCTTAACAGCATCCTTTATGATCAACTGCTGAGACCAGCTTGGTTGGGAGACCCTAACCCAGTGGCACTAGAGGAATTAAAGACACACACACAGCAACATAGAGGTGTGGAGTGGGAAATCAGGGGTCTCAAGCCTTCAGAGCTGAGAGCCTCAAACAGAGATTTACCCACATATTTACTGACAGCAAGCCAGTGATAAGCATTGTTTCTATATAGATTAACTAAGACTATTCCTTACGGGAAACAAAGGGATGTGCCGAAATAAAGGGATGGGCTCTGGCTAGTTATCAGCAGCAGGAGCATGCTCTCCTTAAACAGATCGATCATGCTATTGTTTGTGGTTTAAGAACGCCTTTAAGCGGTTTTCTGCCCTGGGTGGGCCAGGTGTTCCTTGTCCTCATTCCGGTAAACCCACAACCTTCAGCGTGGGCGTCATGGCCATCACAAACATGTCACAGTGCTGCAGAGATTTTGTTTATGGCCAGTTTGGGGGCCAGTTTATGGCCAGATTTTGGGGGCCTATTCCCAACAATGAACGAAACATCTACTTGCGTTTAGCCCAGCAAGATTCTGGAAATCAAACCAAAGCTTAGTGGTACTTAGTTTCAGATGAGGTAATGAAGTCAGACCCTGTGTGAAGAGGCACAATCAAGACCCCACAGAAGGAAGCCAAACTTTTTGACTTCTTCGGAATAAGCATTACTCAGATCTGCTCTGCCACTGTGCCTTCTCAACATTCCAGCTGCAAATAACTCTTCTTCATGAGACCTGTACTTTCTTTTTTCAGTACAACTTCATTTTATTCTCCAAATAAAAGACTGCTGAAGCTTCTGAGAAAAAGAAAAAAGAGTGAAGGATCATCTTTGATCATGCAGTGAGCTGATTCCAAAATGTGGACAAAAAGCAGACTCAAAGGCAATGGTTCCGAGAAACAGTGAATGTCACAAGGAGACACCTGGGCTCTTTATAAAGAGGTAATTTCTCTTCTACACATTCCCCCTTTCATACAGAGATGGCTGTGGATCCCAATCATGGGAAGAGCTGGGCTGTCTTTCTTCCACCAAATGCTCTGCTAGCTGACAGAGCCCACTGAGAGGTGAAAATAGAAATGGGGAGGGAGAGGCTGTAAAGGAGTTACCCTAAGGCAACACGGTCTTAGTTCACAAACGCAAGAATTTCCAGCTTACACTGCCCTACGGGGACAAGCTAATGTCCAGGACAGGCCAATGGGTTTTAATTCCTACTGTTCCAATTTTTTGGAAGCCAAAGGTTTTCGGACATAAAAAAATGTCAGACTACAAATGCCTGTACTAGGCTCCTCCACCAGAACTTCTCCAACAAAGAACTGTGTGGTGAAGCAGAGATGCCCATGATGAACACCACAGGCCCCTCCAGAATTTACAGAGAGGCTTGTGCTTCCCCTCTACTGTCAAGGCCAAAAAACTTTTTTTCTTTCATAATTTCAACCTAAAAATCCTAAAGGCCTAAGAGAAGCTTATGTCCACACCGTTCAAATCTGTAAAGATGCGGATTAGGGAATAGGGAGGCAGACACAGCTATTTAGAATTATAGACTGTGTATGTCATAAATCTAAACTATAAAAAAAAAGTACTATGTGAGTCAACAGATAAGGCTGGCTAGAGTAAGAGGATATGAGAGGACCAGGTTCTACATTAAGGGCCAAATTAAATGCCAGAAGCCCCTGTTCGTCATGGGTGCTAAGGTGAAGTCTGTTCAGAAACTGTTTAGGAATCCTTAGCGGAATGGGCCCCCTCCACCTGGGACAGGGGCTCGGTACCAGAGCATCTGCAGCAAGAGAGCTTGAAAAGGGACCTTAGGGACCCAAGAATCTATACCTCCAACTTCTGCCCTTCCCCTCTCCGCAGCAGCTGGAGAACATGTGCTAAGCGGCTGTGACCCATTAGAGCCATCAGAGCAACACAGAGGGCAGTGCGGGCACATGCAGCGACGCTCGGGCTGACACTGATGTGCACACACGGAGTTAAGCCAATTCCAGCGGAGTCTGCACATGCTGTGCTGCCACAGTGCTCACCTCCGAGAGGGGACAACCCAAGAACTGGTGGTGCAGGCAAAACACATTCGAATCACAGACATTCTATTTAGATACCAATAGCATTAATTAGGCACAGATGTTAAGTGTGTTTAATGATCTCTTTTAAAGATGTTTTCCTTCCATGGATGTTTACTGGTGTTATATAAACACTGTAAGAATTAGGTAAGTCACCCTGAAATAACAGCATTTACTGTTTCAGAACAAGAGAAATAAACAAACACAGTAAATGCAGAGGTCTTTCCCCGCTGCTGTTAGAGAAGCCTTGTGTCATGCACTGCTCATCAACAATGGGGAAACCACTGTGTCAAAGAGGTTCAAAGGATTGCATCAGAAAGATGCTAAGGCTGGCACAGGAATTTCTGACTCTCCCACCAGGGAAAGGTCAGCTGACCAACCAGTCCAGAGAATAGCAGAGCTTAAACGGACCTTGAAAACTACTCACTTTTCCCACCTCTTTTAACAGAGGCAGGAGACGGGGCTGGGAACGAGATATTGCTAGTTGGCTGCAAACATGAGGCTGAGAATGAGATACTGCTGGTTGGCTGCAAAGACGAGGCTACCACCTTCCTTCCCCATATACCTTAACATCAGTTATTCTAACTCTGAAATAAAAATATTTTTGAAGTGTAACAGGGCTGAAGATCATTGATGAGTTAGATAATATCCCACTGTGTAGTCACTGAGTTCCGGTAATAAATGCTGATTTGCATTCCTGCCTGGGCGCTTCATCTCATGCCTATCAGCCTGGCTGCAACCATCCCTGTGAGTGCCCACGGGGGCAAACAGTTTAAGAATCAGGTAATCCCGTGTCAGGATCCAGGTGCTTTTTGGGTGTTCTTACCTTCTCTCAGTTGTACTTGAAGATCTCATCAGAGAATGTTCTGCAAGTTCTTTTGCTGTGGCTGAACCAAGGATGACTTTTGAGTTCTCATTAGATGACTGCCAAAGTCAAATTGAGTTTCAATCAAGAACTCATTCAGCCAAGACGGAAACACTGGCTGGCTTCGGGAGCTTGGAGGGTGTGAGTTGGTTCTAGTTCTTGCTCATGGGGTAGGTTCCAGGAGTGACCGAGCCATGAGCGAGTAATTACCCAATAGTCAACTCTTCAGAGGTGACAGCTTGCCAGAGAAGTGCAAAATCAGACAAGAAACCATCACTGGCACTTGTCTGACTTCCTGCCAAACACAATGGCAGGCAAAATCATCATGATGCCTGATTTCAGTACCATGACACGTTCTCATTGGTGTCAGTTCCAAAATTTGAAATGTTTTGTGGTAAGGGATTAAACTGCTATATTGAGAAAGTAATGTTGCAAATCACCGGAAAATCAAAAAAGAAAATTCTGTGTTTAAAAAAACAATGACGTTAAGACTGAAGATGCAGGATGCAGCATAGGGAGTCCTAAACTGCCAGGATGCATGCGGAGATTTCCTAGAATACCAGGGTTCACACTGCATGGTATGGCCTGTGTCTCACAGTATACATAAGAAATGAAGCAGCTCATACAAGAACCTGGTTATTCAGGGCTACCATGGAAACTTAGGACTTACCTTTTACCATTTATCATTAAAATAGCGTCCATGTGAAGCAACACAAGTTCTGACTGGGATCTTCTTCCAATGACAGACAATAGGGAAGCAAGACAGAGGCAAACAAACAACAGCAGACACAGAGGCCACCCTGAATGGCCTCACTGCTGTTTCAACAGGGAACACTGCAAAATCTAGTTTTCCTAAAATCCACATCCTTTGGTGGCCAGAGGGTAGAGGTCCGGCTATAAAGTAATGATCTTGTCTGGTGCAACTGTAGTCCCAAATACTCTTAAATGTCACTATTAGCAGAGCTCTCTGGGCTGATAGGCTGTGTGTTTCTTCCCGTCCAGAGCAGAGGGGAATGTCATACATCAGCCAAATGCATGTTTTCCACTCTTTTTAAAATAAAGTGAGTTATGTCAAGGCCTGTTGAAGTAGCCCATGGGTGTTGTCAAATAAGTAGACACATCCCTGGGCCGGGAGGAATGTGTCCTTATTTGGTGGCTCCTCCCCTCAGGAGTGATTCCAGCTTCTCCCACTGCATGGGAGTGACCTGTGCAAGGTGGTGGGCTCGTATTTATCAGTGTGCACTCCCTGCACTAATAAATACTAAGATTCAAGGAGCATCCTAGACAGGACTTCTATTCTTTAAGCCTAGCAGGATACTTGGCTAGAACTCGCCCTTCATATGTAAGTGAGGAGCTTAGCAGCCCCTTATGCTGCTAAGCATGGCAGAAACTGGGCACTGGATGGAATGTTCCTAGTGATGCGGTAGCACTGGTAATGCAGACTGATCCCAGAAAAGAAACAGCAGAGCCTTGCACAGAGAGACATGAAGCGTCTCATCCCCACCAGGGAGCCCCACGCACAGTAATTAAGTGAAAAGCAAGCATGGCCTGGGTGCCCACTAGACTCACGGAGGGGCAGCTCTGCTGGAAACCACCCTGCCGCAGCCCTGCACATCCCCCAGCTCCTTCTGCAGCCAGGCATTCTCCTCCTCCTTCTCCTCCTCCTCCAGCAGTTCAGCAGTTTCCTCTTCACAGTGCCCAGCTCCTGCTGGGCTTCTCACTTGACATTGTTGGCCACTGCCACCGCAGTCTGCAGATCTGGCTGGAACCACCTCCATTCCATGGTCTCCTTCTGAAAATGCCAGAGCCCAACCCTGTGTCAGATGCCTGCCAGGGCTGGTGCCTGAGCAGAGACTCCAGAGCCCCTGTATCAGTCACCAAGAAAGAACAGCCAGCAGTGCTTAGTGAGGCCCTGCTTTCACGGTGTCTTGCTGCTAGGAAAAGGCACTGGTGGAAATTACACCTTCAGGTTATGAGAGCTCTCCATCCTGACAACAAATGACTGCTTTGACTTTACTTCCTGCTGGCAAGAACTTACAGTTTCAGGGCCCATGTCATGAAAATGTTCCAAGATAAAGCAGGATAGAGAGAGTGATCCCGACTTTGGAGGGGTAATTTATAGGAAGATGGTGGTGAAGGCTCCTGCCACATCTCCCCTGTATCTGCTCAGTCAGAGTCTTTAGCTGCCTCCCCAGATCTGACTTCTGTTTCTCCAGCTTGATCACATTACCTAGAAATAGACAATTCAGACAGGCCTTGGAAGAGTTGTGAGACTCTTGAGAGAAGGTAAGTCAGGTAGCAAAGGGGCAGCTCCACATGCCACAGCAGGTGTTCAAATCTACTCTAAATGCATTCTACTCTAAATGCAACTTTTAGCAATTTCAATTTACCCTGCAAAGAGGGGCTGGAAGCAGCAAGTTCCTCCAAAATAGGGAACATGATGATCTGAAAAATACATGGTGCATATTGAGGTTACAGTCTCAGCAGACAGGATGCACAACCAAATAGCAGCACTACGGGAAGAGGCCTCCGTGGCCACACACACTTGCACACCGAGCCCGGCCTCCCTCGCACTCACACGCAATCATCCTGAGTGTCCTTTATTGCTGTGAGATAGAGGCTTTCACATAACAGAGCACATGACTGCTTATTCCTCCTGTGGTTTGTAAAGCACTTTCCAGAGTCGTGGGTCTCAATGGCAGTTAAGCCTCTGAATCATTGGTGAAACTTTTCAAAAGCACCGATGTTCTAGTCCACACTCCAGACACCTGGAGGCAGAATCTCCAAGGGCAGACAGAACCCGAGGATGTGTGCGTTTGACATCTTCCCAGGTGGCTTGCCTGCCTCTCCCTACTTAAGGACACCTGCAGCCCCTTGTTCTCCTTGCCTCCCATTCTCTCCATACGGCTATCAGAGTCATTCGAGTTTAAATCTGATGGTGTCAGTCACCAAGCTGAAATTCCTCAATAGGTCGTCATGCTCTAACCTAGAGCAGTTTTCTATGAAGGCTGTGAATCAGAATCACCAGAGAAGGCTAAAAAGATGCTTGTGGGCAGGTCCTACCCCAGCAGTTCTAGTTCTAGTGGGCCTGGGAGTCTGCGTCTGGGATTATTCTGCTGAGTAGAAAACACCCCCTAATTTCCTTTCATTTTTCAGTCCATTTCTCTCCCATCAGGATCTCATGGGAAGGAGTGATCGGTCTAGGGCTGGATCCGTGTGTCTCGGGGTCTCTGAGCAAAAAGATATCTGAATAATACTTCAAAATCCTTTTAAAAAGTTTAACAGCTTTTCAAAAGATGGCTTGGGTTATTGTCAGTCCTGGATATATGATGATATAACCACAGCGGTGGGCCTAAATTTTGCTGTGGACATTAATTATACGCTGGTTTTCTTGGTGTGTCTGTGCTGACTTTTAAGGATTTAGGGACAATACAACCCCATTCTCAACAGCAAAATATCACAAAAACAAAAACAAAACAGAACAGAACTTGTCTTCTTTGACTTTTCTTCACAATCATGGTGCTGGGTTTGGAAGGATACACTGATGATAATGGTGTCCAGGTTTTCAGCTGTATCCTGAGAACAGCCTGGATGGCACCGACACTGAATGCTGAGGTTCCACAGTTCTACTGCGTGTCATGTTCAAGAAGAAACGAGGCAGGTGCTGTCAACTCTCACTCTAACCAACTAATCAATATCTGGAATACACAGTCAATTCTCAGGTTCGTGCACAGAGTTGCATCTGGCAATATCTCCATAAAACAAGCAAGTCTCATCAGTAGTGGAAACTCATTCTTCCTATTTCCTTCTTCCTAACACTGAGCAAGTATTTTTAAATTTTTCCTCAGTCTCCTGATCTGTACAACCTGCCCTGCCTGCAACGTTAACCATTCTCACACCTTACAGCCTTTTGAAACCTAGGAGCCGACCAGCACTAGCCAAGAAGGATTTAATATTTTCCTGACCTGAGACGATGTGCACGTACGTGTCTTTGGTTTTCAGTCTCACAATAATGTTGCCCACTGCTTTTTAAAATTGGCTGTCTTCTCATGAATCCATAAATTTGGCTGCTTTTCCATCTTTTCCACAGCTGCATCACACTCTACAGATGTCCCTTTAGCATGTCAGGGCAGCTTTACATACATATTGTCGAACTTCCTCTCCCTTTCTCTGATGTACTGTGTTGTCGATTCAGTAACTCAGGCTTAACAGCACAGGAGCTCATGCCTTCAAGAAACTTCCCTAACATACGTGTCTTCTCTGCAGGTCTCTCTCAGCCTCCCTGCGCTTAGGGACAGTGGACAGCACTGCAGCACTGCACTTGGGGCCATTTTAAACAGCGAAGTCACCAAAACCAAGCAAAAGAATGCTAAAAGCACAGTACTAAACAGACCATGGAAAAGATATATGTACAGCATGAGAAGGTAAAGTGTCTGTCTGACCTCAGTGGGGAGCATAAGCACTGGATGACTCAACTTTTTCACTTCTCTGTGCATGTCCAAAAATGACAAAAATGACTCTGTGGAAGTACTCTGTGTGTTGATTTGGGGGTTAAAATACATTTGAGCAGCTGGACGCAGTGGCTCATGCCTGTAATCTCAGCACTTTGGGAGGCCAAGGCGGGTGGATCACCTGAGGTCGGGAGTTCAAGACCAGCCTGACCAACATGGAGAAACTCCATCTCTACTAAAAAAATACAAAATTAGCCGGGCATGGTGGCGCATGCCTGTAATCCCAGCTACTCGGGAGGCTGAGGCAGGATAACCTCCAGTGAGCCAAGATTGCACCATTGCACTCCAGCCTGGGCAACAAGAGCAAAACTCCAACTAAAAAAAAAAAAATTTTTAGCAAGCAGGTGAATTCACAAATGTGCAATCTGTGAATCTGTGAATAAGGAGGATCAACTGCACGGTGTGGGGAACTTCTCAGGCAACTGACCAGGCTATTCTTAGTAATGGCTGGTGTGACCTAAATGCTTTGCCCATTAAACCTTTTCTTTTTTTTTTTTTTTGAGGCAGAGTTTCACTCTGTTTCCCAGGCTAGAGGGCAATGGTGTGATCTCAGCTCACTGCAACCTCCACCTCCTGGGTTCATGCGATTCTCCTGCCTCAGCCTCCTAAGTAGCTGGGATTACAGGCACCCGCCACCTCACCTGGCTAATTTTTGTATTTTTAATAGAGACAAGGTTTCATCATGTTGGCCAAGTTGGTCTCGAACTCTTGACCTCAGGTGATCCATCCACCTCGACCTCCCAAAGTGCTAAGATTACAGGCGTGAGCCACCACACCTGGCCATGTCCATTGTCTTTTGTCACAAAAGCGAAGCACATTAGATGTGATAATTTGATAAAGGTCATTTGGACAAAGCAGGCAACGTTTAATCCCTTTTAAAAATTTCTTTTCCCAAGTCAAAGTAAACAATGAGCTCATAAGCCTCATAATGATGCCTCTTCAGCAACTAAGTGGCCAACATCTGTAAGTTACTTGATATCCTACCATCAATGGCACACATGCAGGAATTGTTTTCTTCTTTAGACCAAGAGCACACATTTTTCATCCACTCTGACACCTATCATCCATCTCTATCAGCTCCAAGAGACAACACAGTGTCAATGCTTGGTGACAACACAGTGTCAATGCTTGGCAAGGTATTTCTTCTGAATAACCCATTCCTACCCCACAGAATGTCCTTAGGAAAAGTCCCTGTGAACTCTCATACAGTCACAGCTGAAGTGTCCCAACTTGTGGCCTCCAAGCCCATCAGGCTGCTTAGAGACAGTGGCAGCAGCATGGCTCACACACAGCACATCTAGCACAGACAAGAAACATTTGTGGCTGGGTACAGTGATTCACATCTGTAATCCCAGTGCTCTGGGAGACTGATTTGGGACAATCGCTTGAGCCCACAAGTTTGAGGCTGTGGTGAGTATGGTCATACCACTGCACTCCAGTCTGGGCAACAGACTGAGACCCTCTCTCTAAAACAACAACAAACAACAAAGCATTTGCTATTTTTCACAGTCACTTATGTTGCTTACTCTTTTCTTCTGTTATCCAGTTTTCAACTTAGTTTAAGAGATTAATGATTGTTTCTTAGGTGACATTCTTCCCAGGAGATTATAGCACACTCAAATGAAAGACTCTTCATAAACCCCAGCCAACACACAGTCAAAAACCTTCCCACAGTCACCCACTGCTGCTGGGTTCTTTAGTGTCCTACTCACTTCCAATCCACATTTCACCTGGGCTTGACCCCACTTATTTTTTAGCTCACTGATAAGTTGAGTACTGTGTAACTTGATAACCCAGTGCTGTTCCACCTGATCTTCCAGTGCAAACATGGTTTCTTTCATGTCTTTGATCTCTGCATCACTCTCTGATGATGCTTCTTGCAGCTTTAGGCTGGTTCTGTTTAGCTGTTCTGCTTGGTGATTATCCATCTCCTTCAGGTATGAATATTCTTTTTCCACTTAAAATAAAAGGAAAGTTCCCTGGTCGGTTTAACAACAAAGTTCCCACAGCGATCAGTCCACTACAAGCCAAAGCCCCATCACGACACAATACACCCATGTAACAAACCTGTACACGAACCCCCTCAATCTAAAATAATACATCACAAAAAGCCCCTGGCAAGTGAGCAGCAGGCTCATGGACACAGTGGCAAAGACGCCTTTGGCATGTGCTGTTTCTTGCATTATTAGCCTCAGAAACAGCCGAGGCCACGAACAGTCAGAGAAACATGATGTATGCTTCCAAATGGCTGGATTCTGTACCCCTTCCTACAAGCGAAAGGGAAATCTGCACGCACTTAAATATTTCTCTTTCCTGCAGCTGGGGGAGCAGTGCTTCCCTGGGAGGCACTGGCCCTGTACCAAGAGGGCTGCCTGGTGTGGCCGCCCCACCGCACATCAGCTATGGGGTGGCGCCCTCTGCGGCTAAGCTGTGAACAACACCCCTGAAGCAAGGCTGATCTTCAATCTCCTTAGCCAAAAGATACTTAGCAGTAAGTTACAATGTTTCTTTAGAGAAATACACTATGAACCTGATAGAGAACCACAGTGGAAGGCACAGAGCACTGAAACATACGCATACCAGAAGCAGAAAAGTGGCACAGTACAGTCCTTCCACCTGTGCAATTTTTGATTGTTAATATTTTAAATATACAGGAAACTACCAAGAATAATGATAAACAGGTACCCAGACTTAACAAGTTAAATTTTGCCACACTTGCAAAATCTTTTTAATCTAGGAAGAATTTTTTAAAGCTTCAATGTACCCTCCCACCTCAGAGAGTAATAAGCATTATCCTAAAATTGCTATGTGGTCATCCCTTGAATGGTTTTTCACTTTTACTATAATGTATGTATCCATGATAATGCCTAGTATTGTTCTGGGTGTTTTGAGTGTTTTACACAATGTTATATATACTATATTGTGCTTTTAGAGTGTCGGGTTTGTAACATGGTAATATGCTCTATCCCTCACCATCTTATGCCTATTATGCCCTTGCACCTTGCTTTTAGCTGTGTTTTCAAAATGTATCCATACTGGTACACATCCTGCTAGGTGGCTACTTTAGTTGCTGCACAGTATTCCACTGTCTTCAGAAGAAACTATCAACAGAGTAAACAGACAACCTATAGAATGGGAGAAAATATACATTGTTAAGGTATATATTAACAAAGGGAAGCCAGGCAGGTGGCTCAGGACTGTAAACCCAGCCCTTTGGGAGGCCGAGGCGAGTGGATCACCTGAGGTCAGGAGTTCGACACCAGCCTGGTCAACATGGTGAAAATTCTGTCTCTACTAAAAAATACAAAAAATTGGCCAGGCGCGGTGTCTCACGTCTGTAATCCCAGCACTTTAGGAAACCGAGGCAGGTGGATCACTTGGTCAGGAGATCGAGACCATCCTGGCCAACAGGGTGAAACCCTGTCTCTATCAAAAATACAAAAATTAGCTGGGCATGGTGGCATGTGCCTATAATCCCAGCTACTTGGGAGGCTGAGGCAGGAGAATCACTTGAACCAGTGAGTCAGAAGTTGCAGTGAGCCGAGACAGCGCCACTGCACTCCAGCCTGGTGACAGAGTGAGACTCTGTCTTAAAAAACAAAAAACAAAAAATTAGCCAGGTGTGGTACCAGGCGCCTGTAACCCCAGCTACTTGGGAGGCTGAGGCAGGAGTATCACTTGCACCCTGGAGGTGGAGGCTGCAGTGAGCTGAGAGCACGCCATTGCACTCCAGCCTGGGCAACAAGAGTGAAACTCCATCTAAAATAAATAAATAAAAATAAAAAGGAACACAGCAAGAAGATATAACAATTATAAATTTATATAAACCTAATGGCAGGATCCCAAAATATATTTTTAAAAATTGACAGAATGAAAGGGAGAAATACTCTTACACTAATACTAGGATATTTCAATACTTCACTTTCAACAGTAGAACAACCAGACAGATCAATAAGAAAATACAGGACTTGAACAACACTACAAACCAACTGGACACAACAGACATATACACAACACTCTACCCCACAACAGGAGAATACACATTCCTCTCAAGTGCACATGGTACGTTCTCCAGGATAGACCACATGTTAGGCCACAAAACAAACCTTAACACATTCTTAAAAATTTAAAATAATTCAAAGTATCTTTTCTGATCACAATGTTATAAAACTACAAATCAATAACAGAAGGAGAACTGGAAAATTCACACATGTGGAAATTAAACACACTCTTCTTCAACTGGTCAAAGAAGAAATGACAAGGGAAATTTGAAAATATCTTGAGACAAAGGAAAATGAAAAGGCAACATGCCAAAAGTTATGGGATACAATAAAACAATGTGAAGAGGGAAGTTTATGTAAACGCATACACTGAAAAAGAAGAAACATAACCAGATCATAACCTAATTATACACCTTGAGGAAATAGAAAAGGAAGAGCAAACCAAACCCAAAGCTAGCAGATGGAAATAATGATTACAGCAGAGATAAACAACATACAGATGGAAAAACAATAGAGAAAATCAATAAAACCAAAAGCTAGCTCTTTAAAAGATCAACAAAATTAGCAACACATTAGCTAGACTAATAAAAAGAAGACTCAAATTATCAAAATCAGAAATGAAATTTGTTAAGAAAAAGAGAAAACTCAAATCATCAAAATCAGAAGGGAAATTTACTAAGAAAAAGAGAGAAGACTCAAATTATTAAAATCAGAAGTGAAATTGGAAACAGTATTACTTATTTTATGAAAATAAAAAAGATTATAAGAGAATACTATGAACAGCAGTATACCAATAAATTTTATAACCTGGATAAAATGGGCATATTCCTAGAAACACACAATCTACCAAAACTGACACATTAAGAAACAGAAAATCTGAATAGACCTACAACTAGTGAGGAAGTGAGGAGACTGAGTCAGTAATAAGAAACCTACTGGCCAGGTGTGGTGGCTCACACCTTTAATCCTAGCACTTTGGGAGGCCGAGGCAGGCAGATCACTTGAGGTCGGGAGTTCAAGACCAGCCTGACCAACATGGAGAAACCCTGTCTCTACTAAAAATACAAAAATTAGCCAGGTGTGGTGGCACATGCCTGTAATCCCAGCTACTCAAGAGGTTGAGGCAGGAGAATCGCTTGAACCCGGGAGGCAGAGGTTGCAGTGAGCCGACATTGTACCATTGGACTCCACCCTGGGCAACAAGAGCAAAACTTTGTCAAAAAAAAAAAAAAAAAAAAAAAACCAATGACAAGCACAAGACCAGATTGCTTTACTAGTGAACCCCACCAAAACATTTGAAGAATCAACTCTAATTCTTCTCAAACTCTTCCCAAAAATCAAAGAGGAGGGAACACTTCCTAACTCACTCTATAAAGTCAGCATTACACTGATACCAAAGCCCAATGAAGCCATCACAAAAAAGAAAATTACAGACCAATATGCCTTAAGTATTTAGATGCAAAAATTCTCAATAAAATATTAGCAAAGTGAACCCAACAGCATATCAAAGAAATTATTCACCATAACCAAGTGGAATTTATTCCTGGAGTGCAAAGATGGTTCAACATAAAAAAAAATCAGTAAAATGCACCATATTAAAAAAATTAAAAGGCCAGGCATGGTGGCTCATGCCTGTAATCCCAGCACTTTGGGAGGCTGAGGCAGGTGGATCATGAGGTCAGGAGATCAAGACCATCCTGGCTAACATGGTGAAACCCCATCTCCACTAAAAATACAAAAAATTAGACGGGTGTGGTGGCGGGTGCCTGTAGTCCCAGCTACCTGGGAGGCTGAGGCAGGAGAATCGCTCAAACCCAGGAGGCAGAGGTTGCAGTGAGCTGAGATTGCACCACTGCACTCCAGCCTGGGTGACAGAGTGAGACTCCATCTCAAAAAAAAAAAAAAAAAATTACAGAAAAAACTATGTTCATCTCAGTTGATGCAGAAAAAACAATTTAAAAAATCCAATATTTTTTCATGATAAAAACACAAGAAACTAGGATAGAAAGTAACTTCCCTATCATGATAAAGGCCATATTTGAGAATCCCACAGCTAACAACATTCTCAGTGGTGAAAGAGTGAAAGCTTTCCCCTAAGATCAGGAACGAGATCAGAATGCACACATGTCACTTCTCTTCAACATAGCCAGAGCACTTATGCAAGAAAAAGAAATAAAGGTATAAACACTGGAAAGGAGAGCATAAGAATATCTCTGTTCACAGACAACATAATCTTCTATGTAAAAAACACTAACAATTCCACTCAATGGGGAAAAGGACAGTCTCTTCAACAAATTACGCTGGAAAAACTGGCTATCCATGTGCATGAGAATGAAGCTGAATCCTTATCTGACACCACACACAAAAATTAACTCAAAATGGGCTACAGGCTAAAACTATAAATGTTTTAAAAGAAAACATAGGAGAAAATTCTCCATCAACTGAATTTGGAAATGATACTTTGGATATGGCAACAAAGGCATAGACAATGAAAGAAAAAAATTAGATAAATTGAACTTCATGAAAATTATAACTTGTTTTAATTTTAATAGGACCAAAGGATACTACTGAGAGAGTAAAAAGACAAGTCACAGAATAGAATCAAATATTTGCAAATCACATATTTGCTAAGGGATTGATATCCAGAATACATAAAGAACTCCTAAAACTCAACAGTAAGTAGTGTGCAAAATGAAATTAAGGGCTGTAAAAAACAATACTGAATAGGCAAAGTACTTGAGAGTTGTTAGTTGGCTCAAGAAATCTAGAGAGAAGTGGAAGTTCAAAGAACGTGGGTGGTGTCGTCTGTCTGGACTAGACCGTGGGCTTCCTGAGGCCAGGGACTCTGCCATATATACGCATGGTAGGCTCTCTGGCAGTATTTGTTGGGGTGGATGCATAGGTGACTAGGACATTCCAACTGGAACGCAGGTTGGACCCATACTGCAAATAGTCTTCATTGCTAAGTAAGAGTATCCAGAATATATTAGTATCCAGAATATATTAATATAAAGAATGCTTATAACAGAATAACGAAAAGACAAATTTCAAGAGACATTTTACCATAAAAGACACATGACTGGACAACAAGCACATGAAAAGATGCTCAACATCATTTGTCACTAGGGAAATGCAAACCCAAACCACACTGAGATACCATCTCATACCCCCTGGGAAGGCTAGAGTGAGAAAGATGGTCAATAACAAGTGTCGGTGAAGATGTGGAGAAATCGGAACCCTCGTGCACGAAGTAAATTATAAAATAGTGCAGCTGCTCTGGAAAGCAGTTTGGCAGGTCCTTAAAATGCTAAATGTAGAATTATCATATGACCCAGTAATTCCACTTCTAGGTATCCATCTACTCAAGAGAAATGAAACATGTTCACCCAAAACTTGAACCCAAAAGTTCATGGAGGCATTATTATTCATGGAGGCATTGTTAACAATCACAGTGACCAAAAAAGTAGAAACAACCCAAATGTCCATCCACCGATGACTGGAAAAGCCATATGACATATCCATAAAGTGGAATGTTACTTAGCCACAAAACTGAAGCAAGTACTGATACCTGCTACAACATGGACGGCCCTTGAAAACATTATGCCAAATGGAAGAAGCTAGTCACAATACATCACATATTGTATGATTCCATTTATGGAAAATGTCCAAAACAGGCAAATCTATAGAGACAGATAATAAATTAGTGGTAGCCTAGGGTAGGGGAGGAATGAAGATTGACAAGGTTTCTTTTTGGGGTGATCAATATGTTCTAAAATTAGTTAGGGTGATTGTTGCATAACTGTGTAAATACACTAAAAAACAGACTTGTACACTTTACACAGGTGAACTTTATGGCATGGAAATTACATCTTAAGAAAACTGCTTATTCGAGGGGAGGCGAGAAGGGAGCAGTTGGTGGACAAAGATGGAAAAAAGACTTTATTAATAATCTTTCAATACATTCTGAGTTTCAAACCATCTGACTATACTATCTATTCAAAAGCAAATCTAAAATCAAAGGATCAAACAAAATTAAAAACAGACTCCTAATTCTCCCCCAGTTTGGGCTGGGGAGTGGAGAAGGAGGGAGCTACCACCCACCCTGCCATAGTGTGAAGCAGTGGCTGAGTAAGTCCGGCAGTGGATCTTATGTGACAAGGGCAGCCTTGGGGAGGCTCCAGGGCCCATTCATGGCCTGGAAGCCACCAAAGCCACCGGACCTGAGGGGGAGATAATGCCTGACTGACCCGATGGCAGATGCCCAACTGATCAGAGAAGCTGTCCATGCCCTTCCTCCTCTACCACTATCTCGACCTACATAAAACCCCAGAACCCCCATCAAGCCCAAAGAGGAGCATGAAAACCCTAAGACTGACACCAGCCAGGCGGAGTAGAAGCTTGAGGGAGAAGCTCCATTAACAGAAAGGGAAGAAAAGGAATTCCTCTCTGACACTAGCTCTGTGGGCTGGGCTCACACCCTGAACTACTGCAGACTGGGATGTAGCACAGAGACTCTTTCCTGCACCCTGAGACCAGAGAGCAGCCAAGGAGGGTGATTCTCAGAGCTCTCTACTTGTGCCTCCTCACACACTTGGCCGGTTAACAGGTGTTGCACCAAGAAAGAGCTCTGTGGTCAATTAGCTTGAAAAATGTTGGGTTAAAGAAAGTCAAAAAATTTTTTTAACTGCAGGACTTCTCAGAGCCTTTTCTTGTGACTCTTCAAGAGGGAGCCTGGCAGGTTCAAAGCACTTTTGTGTTTTTGAGGGATATCTAATAGGAAAGACAGTCTTCTTCATTTTACAGCTGAGGGGAAGTGGCTCAGCCAAGGTCCCAGAGGGGGTCAATGAACAACTGGCCAGGGCTGATTTGGCAGCACCAGACAGCTTCTGCCACTGCCAGGTCACAGTTCTGGCTGGGTTCCGACTCGTGGTGCCAGAGCACTGGGCAATTTCATCCTATGTCGAGGCAGCCTCTGGTCACTGCCTTATCCAGCTCGCTCAGAAACTGTATGTATTTGAGCCCCTGGTCGGGTACATGTCCGGGATATGGGTGGTGAGCACAAAAGATGATCAGAGAAAAGATTTGCTCCCCGCCTGGGGTGTGGGGACAGAGCAGCAGGGAAAGGCTGTGAATCTAGGCTGTCTCCGGGGTCCATCTGGCGGTGGGTTCCATCTGGACAGCGAGGCACCTGCAGTTTTCCCCTCAATCTGTTGAATGTAAATCAGCTGCAACCCCTCCCAGCCCCGTGCCTGCACCTCGGGTCTCAGGAGCCCAGGTGGGTGGCTGGGGTCTAGGCTTCTAGCATCCCATGAGGCACTGCCCACCAGTGCGCACAGAGCAGTGGAAGGCCTGCCTGGCCCTGGGATAAGGTATCAACTATGGGATGGCCCGAGTCTTCTAGATCTGGCCTTGGCCAAACCCTTGGTCCTGATCTCCTGCCCCCCTCCGCCACACACCCAAGGCCAGCTCTCCAGCCTCCCAGCATCACTCAGGCCTTCCCTTTTTCCTGGACATACTTATTCATTGCCTGGTCAGCTCCTCCTGCTCCTCCTTCAAGGTTCCACTGAGGTTGTCACCTCCTCCAGGAAGCCATCCCTGACTTCCCCAGCCCAAGTCAGGTGGTGTTCATTCTCTGTGTCTCGTTTGTCCTGTCCAACATCTAGCAGAGCACTTGAGAGGCTGAACCCCAGGGCCAGACAGCCTGGGTTTGACCCTGCTGCACACCAGCGGAAGGCCTTGGTAGCAATTTATGAAACTCCTCTGTGCCTCTGTGTTCTCTGCATAAAAGTGGATGAGAACATTGCCCATCTCACAGGTGGTTATGAGCATGAAGTGAGGGAGCACAGTTACATTCTTAGAGCAGATTCTTGGCACACAGCAAGTCCTCAATACAGGCCGTGGAGGATGAACATTATGGCCCATATTGCACTGCATGGCAACTGCACTCCTCTGTCTTCCCCATCCTCTGAAACCTCCCAGGGGATGGGAAGCCCAGCAACTGTCAAAGGTGGAGTGAGAGGAACGTAAAAGCCAAAGAAAGCCCATGGGCCCTTAGGAAGAAACTGAAGGACAAGGAGGACGCGGGCAGGTGGAGAGGAAGGAGGGAGGCTCCGGGAAGCAGCTGGAGCAGGGAGATAGTGCACAGAGCAGGAGAGGAGATGCAAATGGTCAGGAAACACAGGTTTTTGTCCAGTCTACCAAAAATCAGAAAAACAACTGAACAATGAAAAATTCCCAGCTCATAATTATAGAATAGTCCATACAAAGAAAAACACTAAAATGAAAATAAAGATAATATTTAAAAAATTTTTTGTGTAGCTGGCATTACATTGAGGACACAATTGGACCAGGACACATTATGGGACACAAATAAACAAAATTATGTCACCTCTTTCATAAACAGTATGTATCTCCTTTTTAATAAACAGAGCTGGGGCCGGGCATGGTGGCTCATGCCTGTAATTCCAGCACTTTGGGAGGCCGAGGTGGGCGGATCACGAGGTCAGGAGATCGAGACCATCCTGGCTAACACGTGAAACCCTGTCTCTACTAAAAATACAAAAAAAAAACTTAGCCGGGCATGGTGGTGGGCGCCTGTAGTCCCAGCTACTTGGGAGGCTGAGGCAGGAGAATGGCGTGAACCCAGGAGGCGGAGCTTGCAGTGAGCCCAGATCGCACCACTGCACTCCAGCCTGGGCGACAGAGCAAGACTCTGTCTCAAAAATAAATAAATAAAACAGAGCTACAAATATTCTAAGCAAAATATTATATGAATGAAGTCACCTATGAAAATACAGTAGATCAATACTAAATGGAATATACACCAAAATGCAAGGTCCTTAACATTCAAAATGAATCGTGTAAGTCATCCCATTAGCAGAAAAATACAGGAGAAAATAGTAAGATCATTTAGCTGAAAAGTTTTTTAAAGCATTTAATAAAATTTAAAACTGAACCACAAACACACAAAAAAACTTGAGTAAAATATAAAAAGAGGACTGGCCAGGCGCGATGGCTCACACCTGTAATCCCAGCACTTTGGGAGGCTGAGGCAGGCAGATCACCTGAGGTCGGGAGTTCGAGACCAGCCTGACCAACATGGAGAAACCCCATCTCTACTAAAAATACAAAATTAGCTGAGCGTGGCTCAGGCACGTGGCTCAGCACTTTGGGAGGCAGAGGCGGGGGGATCACCTGAGGTCAGGAATTCAAGACCAGCCTGGCCAACATGGTGAAACCCCGTCTCTACTAAAAATACAAAAATTAGCCAGGCATGGTGGTGGGTGCCTGTAATCCCAGTTACTCAGGAAGCTGAGGCAGGAGAAAACACTTGAACCTGGGAGGTGGAGGTTGCAGTGAGCTGAGATCGAGCCATTGCACTCCAGCCTGGGTGACAAGAGTGAGACTCCATCTCAAAAAAAAAAAAAAAAAAAAGCAACTTCCTTAATTTGATGAAATCTGATATCTGAAGAAGTCTAATACTAGCCAATAACAAAAACATAATTAATAGAGAATTATGGGAAGCTTTTTCCCCCAGTGCAGGAACAGACTAGGCTGCCTGCTATCACTCTTTAGTCAGCATTGTAGTGGAGAAAACAATACAGTAAGAAATAAAAAGGCATTAGGATTAATTTTTAAACCAAAAAAATTGTCATTATGTGTATATGACACTATTACATGCCTAGACAATCCCTGAAAACCCCAAAACTGTTACAATTAATAACTTACTGGATACATTATTGTTATCAACCAGATTACTATATACTAGTATGAAACCAGTAGAAAATAATGATCAAACTAGAGAACAAGTATCTATGACAAAAATGAGCCAATAAAGGATCAATGTGCAGATTTAAGATAAATCCTTCAAATCAATATTAAAAAAGGACCCTAGAAAAACACACAAAATACGCAAAGCATATGAAGAAAAGTAAGGCACAGAAGCCAATAAACATTTGCTAAACTCTACCTCACATGAAACCCGCCACTGCAAGTTCCAGGTGAGAGGATCCCTGCAGAAACACTGCAGGGCAGGATCCCAGGAGGCAGGACCACCGGGGAAGTGACGGAGCCCCTGTAGTTGGGAGGGTCTCAGGCCCAAGAGGGCCAGGTGGCTCCAAACCTCCTGCTCCAGCTTCCCCTTACTCCCCACACCAGGCACAGACCCACGTGAGTGCCCCGATGCAGGGAGGATTCTGACTGGCCATGTCTTCTCTGCCACTGTGCAGCCTGCTGAATGGCAGCCTCCTTGCCCATTACATCATTCCAGGCTTCCCTTTCATGGGTCACCTTCTCCCTCCCAACACAATGCCAGAATCCACCCCAGGAGGATAGGGACCAGGAACCAAACTGTGGCACCATGAGTGGAGACCCTGGAGGCAGACATGGGTGTAGTCACAGAGTGGAAACATGCTAGGCCTGGCTGACGGGTGACAAGCACAGAGGATGGGGACATTCAAGGGCAGACACGGGTTGTAGTCACAGGAGAGAAGACCTGGGCTACAGTCACAGGGGATCCAGACAAAAAGGGAGCTCGCTGGCTACAGCTGCATGGCAGAGAGGCACACCAGGGACAGACATGGGTACAGGTGCAGGAAAGAGGAGTAGGTGACGGTTGGCGTGGGCAGAGGGCACAGAGATAAAGACACCCGAAGGGAGATGTGGCTGTAGGCTGAAGGGTGGAGTCACAAGAGTCCTAATGTGGGCTGCATGGACAAGGGCTGGAGACACAGGAAGACAGGCATGGGAAGCAGGCACACTCAATGGCAGGCCTCTGCTGCAGTAACAACAGATGGAGATACCCAACGAAAGAGACTGGCTGCAGGTACAAACACTGGGGATAGAAGTTTTGGGCATAGTCTCCTGGGAGAAATGATCCAGAAAAAGGAAAGAAATGGGCTGAAGGCACAGGGGAAGGAGACACACCAGTGCAGACATGGCCCAAAAAGCATGGATGAAAACACTGACTGTGGACATGGATTAGGGGGACAGAGAATGTAGCAAACATAAGCTGGCATGGGCAGAAGCTCAGGGGACAGACAGACAAAAACATCGGAATGGGCTGCAAACACAGGGATTGAGGCACTGGAGGACTGCTACTGCCTGAAGGCTGAGGAGATGACAACATTCAAGGCAAGCAATGTGCTGCAAGCACACAGCATAGAGACTCACACAGCTGGCAGGGGCTGCAGGAGCAAGAAATGGAGAGGCATAAAGTGCAGGCAGAGGACAGACCACGTGACAATACACAAGGGCAGACATGGGCTTCAGTCATTACGGGATGGTGATACTGGTGAGAAGATACAGGCTTCAGGCACGAGGATGGAGACACACAAGGCCTGGTATGGCTGTAGGCGATACAGGGTGGAGACACTGGGAGGTCAATGCGGCTGCAGACACAAGGTTTGGAAACATCTGACGGAAAATATGGGCTGTCAGATAAATCCCTGCTTAGAGAGAAATTTACAGCCTTAAGGGAATGTGTTAGAATAGAAAAAGACATTGACAATCAATCACTTAAATTTCCTTCTCAAGAATTAAAAACAGTCAAAATGAAAGAATGCAGAATTAAAGTAATGAAGAGTAGACATCAATGAAATAGGGAAAAGAATGCAACAGAAACAAATCAAGGCTAAAAGTTGGCTTATAAGGCCGGACGCGGTGGCTCACACCTGTAATCCCAGCACTTTGGGAGGCTGAGGCGGGCGGATCATGAGGTCAGGAGATAGAGATCATCCTGGCTAACACGGTGAAACCCCGTGTCTACTAAAAATACAAAAAATTAGCCAGGTGTGGTGGTGGACACCTGCAGTCCCAGCTACCCAGGAGGCTGAGGCAGGAGAATGGTGTGAACCCAGGAGGTGGAGCTTGCAGTGAGCCGAGACCCCACCACTGCACTCCAGCCTGGGCAACAGAGCAAGACTCCTTCTCAAAAAAAAAAAAAAGTTGGCTTATAAATATTAATATACTTAATAAACCACTAGTGAAACTAATTAAGGCAAAGAGAAAAGACACAAAATATCACTATCAGGAACCAAAACAGAAGCCTGCCCTATAGAGCAGTGTATTATTAAGACACTAGGAGGGTTCTGTGAAATACTTAGGACTAGAAGTTTGACAACAGAGATTCAAATAACATTACATTGAAAAATAAACTTCCTAGGCCGAACACGGTGGCTCACGACTGTAATCCCAGCACTTTGGGAGGTTGAGGTTGGTGGATCACCTGAGGCCAGGAGTTTGAGACCAGCCTGGCCAACATGCCGAAACCCCATCTCTACTAAAAAATACAGGCGGGCACGGTGGCTCACACCTGTAATCCCAGCACTTTGGGAGGCTGAGGCAGGTGGGTCACGAGGTCAGGAGTTCGAGATCAGCCTGGCCAACATAGTGAAACCCCATGTGTACTAGAAACACAAAAATTAGCAGTGCGTGGTGGCACGCACCTGTAATCCCAGCTACTCAGGAGGCTGAGGCTGGAGAAATCCGGGAGGCGGAAGTTGCAGTGAGCCGAGATCGTGCCACTGCACTCTAGCCTGGGAGACAGAGCGAGATTCTGTCCCCCCAAAAATAAAAATAAAAATAAAAATAAACTTAGTAAAATGGGCACAGAAATAACATAAAACAAGAAAACTCCTACATATACCAAAGGATTTGAATTATTAGAAGTCAAACCAGCCAACAAAAATACTGTTCCACATGGAAAATTCCATACCTAAAGAAATATTCCAAATATTTAAGGCAGAAAACACCTAAATTTCTCAGACTCTTCCAAAGAGAAGAAATACAGGAAATATTTTTCAGTTTGTTTTGTGAAGCCAGCATTACGTTGGCACCACAATCTGAACAGGACATTAGAAAAAAAATTATAGGCCCTCTCTTTCATTAACAGAAATACAAATATTCTAAAAAAAAACATATGAATTAAACCACATATGAAAATGTAACACATGGATACGAAGTGGGATATACTAAAAAAGTCAGGATTAGTTAACATCCAAAAATAGCTCATGTAAAATATCCTATTTGCAGAAAAATAGGAGAAAAACTTATGATTTACAGCATATGTAAATATACTGTACAGCAAGAAAGAAATGTTAAATAAAATTAAGGTACAATGACCAGACTAAGAAACAACTATCTGCACTAGAAATGACCCCGTAAAGGATTAATTTATAGAATACCTTTTTAAATTCTTCAAATCAACGTAAGAACACAAATGACCCAACAGAAAAGCCAGCACTGAAAATGAAGACAAAGACGCAAAAGCCAATAAATATTCACAAAACTTCGCTTCACTAACTTATTTCCAGTTCCAGATGACAGAAGGCCCTCAGGGACCCAGAAGGCAGGACCACAGGGAGGTGACAGCGCCAGCAGCAGGAGGGCGGGCCTCTGCCTTGGCCCAAGCCGGGCCACAGCTCCTGGCGGGCTGCGGGGGCCGGGAAGCCAGAGCAGCCTGGCGCTCCTGGCCCCTGCACACGCTTCCCTCCCTCCACCCCGTTCCTCTCTCTCTCTCTGTGCCTTGGGCCCCGTGGGATGCGCTCACATCCAGACTCACCAGGCCCGAGACGCTGGGAGAATGGAGAAGCGCTTGCGAGCCGAAAGTCCTCCAGGAACACGTGAAGGACACTTCCTCTGCACCTGGGAACACCCTTCCCTGATGCTGGCCTCAAGGCAGGCGCGCTGCACACGCTTCCGGTCCATGACGACCACAGCGCAGAGAAACACGCGAGCCCAACCTCCACGAAAAGAAAATCGCGAAATGGGCCTTCACCTCCCTTTTATCATGGCTGTACGCAACTGCTGTACTTGTAAGCTTGGTTCTGATTGGGTGAGAAGGAACTTTTTTTGACAACTCTTATTGGATAATAGTCTCCATCTCTGACTGGATAATCTTCACTAATCGGAGTTGGAGACTTATCCAATCTGTGTTGTAGTACAGAGTCTGCTCTCATCCTATCAGAAAGAGGCTTCCAGGATATGTCATTTGAGTGAATACAGTCATTGTAAAAGGGAGGCAAAGATCTGCACCTGCCATGGCGGTTGGGCTCATGTGCTCCTCTGCATTGGAGTTAGCCAAGGAGCGTGTGCAGAACACTTGCCTCGTAGGCCAGCCGTAAGGAAGGATGTCCCAGGTGCAGGCGAAGTTTTGTTCATGTGTTCCTGGAGGATTTTTCCCGTGGCAAGCGCTTCTCCATCCTCCAGCATCTCAGGCCTGGTGAGTCTGGATGTGACCGCTTCCTATGGGGGCCCCAGGCACAGAAAGATGCAAAGGAGGGTGGATGGAAGTGGAACGTGGGCAAGGCCCAGAGAGCATCAGGTTGACTGTTTCACCAGGCACCCCTGCTCCGGTGCAAGGCAGAAGCCGGCCAGACCCCCACTCAGCGCCCCTCCTGGGCTCTGGCCCTGGCACCTAGACCCATCCCGCCATTCTCCGCAGCTCCACTGCCCGCAGGCAGGAGCTGCCGGCGTGGAACCTGCGGGCTGCAGTGAGCAGTGGAGGCAGTAGCCGCTGCTCCCTGGATTCCCGGGATGTTTTTCTTTGGCTTTTTTCTTTTTCTATTTTATTTTAGATTCAGAAGGTACACGTGCTTGTTTGTTATATGTATATCACATGCACAATGGGGGGGGGGTTGAACTTCTAGCATACCCATCACCCAAATATTGGAGGTTGTACCCAGTAGGTACGTTTTCAACTCTTCCCCCCAACTTTTTGAGTCCCCACAGTGTATTCTCTCCATCTTCATGAGAACATGCAGTATTTGGCTGTTTCTGCATTCACGTAGGATAATGACCTTCAGCTGCATCTGTGTTGCTGCAAAGGACATGATTTTGTTCTTTTTTATGACTGCCTAGTACTTTGTGGTGTATATGCACCACATTTTCTTTATTTAATGAACCGTTGGTGGATACTTACCTTGGTTCCATGACCTTGCTGTTGTAAGTTATGCTGCGATAAACATGGGAGTGCAGTGCCTTTTTATATAATGATTTCTTTCCCTTTGGGTAGATACCCAGTAGTGGGATTGCTGGGTCGAAAGGTAGTTGTACTTTTAGTTCTTTGAGATACCTCCCTACTTTTTCCATAGAAGTTGAACTAATTGACATACCCACCAACAATGTATGAGCATTCCCGTGTCTGGAAGAGTTTTCCTAGGTTTTCTCCTAGGATCTTTATAGTTTTAGGTCTTACATTTAGGCCTTTAATCTATCTTGAGTTAATTTTTGTACAGGTGAGTGAGAGGGGTCCAGTTTCATTCTTAAGCATATGGTCAGCCACTATTCCCAGAACCACTTAGTGAATAGGGTGTCCTTTCCACGTTAAGTGTTTTGAAGAGCCATTGGCTGATTTTTTTCCTAGCATTATTTCTTGAGCAAAATCCTTCAGTAGAATGTTGATGAAAGTGGTCAAAGTGATTATTTATGTATTGTTTCCAATCTTATGGAGTAAACATTCTTTACCCACTAACTTAGTTGAGGATGTTTATCATAGGTTTTCTTAGATGCACTTGACCAGATTGTGGAAGTACTCTTCAATTTCTAGTTTGGTTAGGGTTTTAATCATATGATGGATTTAGCCAAATGCTTTTTTTCCTGTGTCAATCAGATTATCACATCCAAGTCTGGTGGTCAAACCTGTAGACGTGTATAGTCTTATTACACACTGGATAATGGGTCATTCTTATCTCTGCTTTGCCCATGCAGTGCACCAGCCTTCCTGTGCCCGTTGATGGACTGAGAGGAAGATGAGCCCTTAGGATGCCTGCCATGCTCACTGTTAAGGTAGGACTCATCCTTCTCCCTTGAGCACCAGTGTTTCTCCTGCCCATTTCTCAGTGACCATTTCCTATCATTGGCCTGGACATTCTGGCACTTCAGTTCCCCAACTGAGGGTCTCACCACACCAAGTTCTTTGCATGGAAGTACGTCATGCCTACTGGGAACTTTTACAGCTCCCCAGACTCCTCCAGGTGGTCAGTACCTCATAATATCACCCAAGCAAGGCACAGAGGGGGTCTGCCCAGTTAATAGAGCTTGTGTTCTGAAACCCACCATCTCACCTTTTAACTCACCAATGGCCCTTTCTCAAGGCCAGGGAAAGGAATGAAGGCTCATTGCTAAAAACCGCAACCTCAACAAGGCTGTACTTCCTTTTAGAGTCCCCTTACCCAGCATTGTCATTGTCTTGGAAGAAGTTCAGAATGCTTCTCCCTCTTGGTTTTGTTACTGACCTGGCAAACATGTTCTATTGTGTCTATTTGTGAAGAAGATCAGGTGCAGTTCACCTTCAGATTTGAAGGCTGACAGTACACCATTAGGAGGCATCTGATGGACTACCTCAACAATCCTCTGCTGGCTCAAGGTTGCAATGACTAGATCTAGCTACCCTCTGACTGCCACCTGATGTCCACTTGTGGCACTATGTGGATAATGTCCTTCTGCCCGATAACAAAGAGGGAGAGGTTCAGTGGGCCCTCATATTGACAACTAACCACACAACTCAATGGGAATGAGCCATCGTCCCACATGATACAACAGCCTGCCATTTCCATCAAATTGTGGGGCTATATTTACTTATTTTTTTGGATGTAAAATGTTAGTTTTACAGGAAGAATGGAATTTAAAATGGCATTCTTTAAATGTGGAGTATCCAAGTTCAACAGTCTGTACTCATTGATTTCTTCCAAAAACAGAAAAATTTAAGGGGCAGACCTGAACAAGTCACTAATTACTTGAAGCTATATGGTTTGCAAATGTTTTGCTCTTATTTCAGTACAGTTTCATATAATGAGATGGGATTTTTCCAAAACTGATACACTATAAATCTCAGTGGACATGCTAGTATCCTTTCAATAAATTTGCATTTCAATAATATGGACAACATCCATGTATTATATACAGAAGGCTAAGAAACCGAAGAAATTGCCAGACTATATTATTCAAAACATCAAGAAACTGATGTCTGACTAATGTATTCAATCCTTGTTCTGGAGATCAACATTATGAAGGTATGAATTTCTAAGGGAAAATTTTAAAATTATAATTTACTCATATTATAAATTTTGATGTTGAGAAAATTAGTTTTTGGAATACATCTTTGATTTTTGTCACATAATAGAAGAAAAATTTCCAGTGTACTAAACAGCATATGACATTATTTATGGCAAAACAAAATGATTCTAATTGATGTTTCCTTTAAAAAATCTAAAGAGTACTCATCCCTTGACCTTTCTGAATTCCCAAATATACTCCCTTAAATTAATAAAATTGAAAATGTAATTGTATCAGGAAAGAACTATTGTATTGTTATATTCTTTTCAACACTGTTAAGCTATTGTTACTTTTTAAAAATTTTAGTAGGTTTTTGGGGAACAGATGGTGTTTGGTTACATGAATAAGTTCTTTAGTGGTGATTTCTGAGATTTTGGTGCACCCATCATCCGAAGAGTCTATACTGTATTCAATGTGTGGTAGTCTTTTATCCCTCACCCTGCTCCCACCCTTTCCCCCACGAGTCCAAATTGTGCGGCTATATTTAGAGTAAGGCAGGCAGACAAAATCTACAACCAGTCGGCCTCAGGCTCTTCACCCTCCTCAGGCCACATTGAGTTTAACCCTTAGGCCACCCTTATCACTGTTTCTACAGCCTGTGCCTCCTAGAGACACTTGGCATCTCAGTTGTGCTTTGCAGCCATTAGAGATGGATAGGACCCAAAATGGTTGATTGGGCCACCTCCAAGATCAAGTTTTTGTGCCTATGACATCACCTCCAGCACACACAGTGTGTTTAGACCTTACTGCTTAGTTCTGAGTCCTCTCGGTCCTGTCCCATTCTAGCCTGCCATTGCTCACAATGCAGCAACTCCAAGCCTACTACCACCCAGACCTTTCAACTCCTTTTACATCCCCATGGAACCATTTTTCCAAGCCTCAGTGTGCCATGGCTTTTGCTGTCCCAGGTTTCCCAAAGTTCCTCACATAATTGTGTCTTCTCCAGGCCTATTCACCAATTACTCGGCTCTCAGGTCATGGACAGTTTTTATCATAGGGTCATTTCAGACACCACCCAGTAGCCGGCCTTTTAGCTCACTAGTCATGCCTTTGCTGACATCCTGCCACCTTACGGTCAGACCCTGGTTATGACTCATTTGCTGCTCTTCCCTCACCATTGGGGAGTCTGCCTCAAGTCTGCAGCTGCACCTCACTCGCAGTATCTCCTCTAATAGGTTAGCCACCAATGGACCTACTATGCCCTCTCTGCTGATGGTGCTGTTCAGTTCCCAGCAACCGTTTCAAGGATGCCACTGATTTCTGTCTCACCATCACAATATGCCCCCCTATGAGAGACCCTCACACTATTTCTAATTTTAATTTATCTTGTGTTGTCTTCTTTGACCCATATTTTACTTACAAGCATATGCTTTAAATCTCCAAGTATCTTGGGATTTTCCAGATCTTTCTGTTACTGATTTCTAGTTTGATTCCATTGGGTATGAAAACATAGAACATACGTTTTGTGATTTCTATTTTTTTTGCATTGTTCAATGTATATGTTATGGCCTAGAATGTGGTGTATCCTGGTAGACGTTCCCTTATTCTGTTGCTGGGTGGAAGTATTCTATAGATATCTATTATATTCAGTTGATTAATTATGCTGGGGGAGTTCAACTAGGACGGTCCTGATTTTTCTGTCTGCCATGTCTGTCTATTACTGATAGAGAGTATTAAAATCTTCAACTAAAATACTGGATGTATCTAGTTCTCTTTGCAGTTCTATCAGTTTTTGCCTTGTGTTTTGATGCTCTGTCATTGGGCATATACATTGAGGCATATATATGTACATTGATATCACTGATTGAAAAATTGACCCTTTTAAAATTAACAAATGTTCCTGTTTATCCCTGATGAATTTCCTTGTTCTAAAGTCCCCTCTGTCTCAAAACAAGCTTTTTTAAAATTAGTCTTAGTATAGTATATGTTTCCGTATACCTTTACTTTTAAACTATATGTGTATTTATATTTAAAGAGTGTTTCTTGAAGATGACATATAGTTGCATTTTGTTTTTTGATTCACTCTACATCTGTCTTTTA
This sequence comes from Homo sapiens, assembly GCF_000001405.40. Classification (NCBI taxonomy): domain Eukaryota; kingdom Metazoa; phylum Chordata; class Mammalia; order Primates; family Hominidae; genus Homo; species Homo sapiens. The sequence goes on along the minus strand of NC_000017.11, from coordinate 20,628,162 downwards.
ATAGATGAATTTAGACCATTGATTAGTTATTGGCATAACTGGATTAATATCAACCATATTTGTTAACTGTTTTCTATTCATTGCACCTGTTCTTTGTTTCTATTTTTCCTTCTATTATTTATCTGCCTTTTACAAAATGAGTTTATGGAAGAATGATTGACTTACAAAAAGCAGTAAATATTTAATATGTAAGTTGGATAGTTTTGGAGATAAGTATGTATCTGTAAAACCATAAACACAGTCTATTCTGTAAACATATCCAATAACTCCAAAATTTTCCCCAGTGCTCTTATTTATATTTTATGTGATAAAAACACAACACAAAATACACCTCTAGGCAAGTTTTGTTTTGTCTTGTTTTGTTTTGTGTGTGTGTTTTTTTTTTTTTTAGACAGAGTCTTGCTCTGTTGCCAGGCTAGAGTGCAGTGGTGCGCACTCGGCTCACTGCAACCTCCGCCTCCTGGGTTCAAGTGATTTTCCTGCCTCTGCCTCCTGAGTAGCTGGGACTACAGGCATGTGCCACCACACCCAGCTAATTTTTTGTATCTTTAGTAGAGACGGAGTTTCACCATGTTGGCTAGGATGGTCTCAATCTCTTGACCTCATGTTCTGCCTGCCTCAGCCTCCCAAAGTGCTGGGATTACAGGCATGAGCCACTGCACCCAGCCCCAAGTTTTTTAAGTATAAAGTACTGTAAAATTTACTGTAGGACCTATGTTGTATAATAGATCTCTAGGACTTATTCTTCTTGCACGGATAAAATTTTGCACCATTTTTTCATTTTCTTTTTACAGCTTTATTGAGATATAGTTGACAAACCTTATGTGTATTTAAAGTATACAACTTCATTTCTGCTTTATTTATTTTTCTTCTAATCTTTTTATTTATTTCCTTCTACTAAGTCTAAGGTGAGTGTTGTTGACAACATATCGTTGGATCTTGGTTTTCTATCCTTTTGGACAATCTGTATCTTTGGATTGATGCATTTGATCTATTTGCATGTAAAGTAATTATACTTAAGACTTACTATTGCCACTTGGTTAATGATGTTCTGTTCAGCAATTTTTTTCCCTCACTTTCTGCTTTCTATCTTCCTTTGTGATTTGATTTTTTGTTTTTAGTGATTATATAGATTAATTTCTCTTTATTTTATGTATCTAGTGAAAGTTTTTCTTTTTTCCTCTTTTTTTTTTTTTTTTTTTCTTTGAGACAGAGTCTCGCTCTGCCACCCAGGCTGGAGTGCAGTGGTACGATCTCGGCTCACTGCAACATCTGCCTCCTGGGTTCAAGCAATTCTCTGCCTCAGCCTCCTGAGTAGCTGGGAATTCAGGTGCCTGCCACCACGCCCAGTTAATTTTTGTATTTTTAGTAGAGACAGGGTTTCACCGTCTTGGCCAGGCTGGTCTTGAACTCCTGACCTCGTGGTCCACCTGCCTCAGCCTCCCAACGTGCTGGCATTACAGGCATGAGCCACTGTGGCCAGCCGAAAGTTTTTCTTTATGGTTACCATGGGGCTTGCATAAAAGTTCTTATACTTCATAGTCATCAGTTTTCAGTGGACAACCACTTAACTTTAATCACATACAAACACTCTATACTTGGTCAGATGTGGTGGCTCATGCCTGTAATCCCAGCACTTTGGGAGGCTGAGGCGGGTGGATCACCTGAGGTCAGGAGTTTGAGACCAGCCTGACTAACATAGTGAAACCACGTCTCTACTAAAAATACAAAAATTATCTGGGTGTGGTGGCACACGCCTGTAACCCCAGCTACTTGGGAGGCTGAGGCAGGAGAATTGCTTAAACCTGGGAGGTGGAGGTTGTGGTGAGCTGATATCATGCCACTCCACTCCAGCCTGGGCAACAGAGTGAGACTCCAACTCAAAACAAACAAACAAACCAACAAACAACAAATACTCTGTACTTTTATTTCCTCCACTCATGTTATGTTAATTAGATCAGAATTTCATTTTTTATATATTGTATATCCATTAACAAATTTTTGTGGCCTCAGATATTCTCAATGCTTTTTGCCTTTTAACGTTTATATTCTGCTTAAAATTATTTACATACCACTATCACATAGCATTCCATTATCCTGTTTGTGTCTACATACTTACCTTTAACAGTGAGATATATATTTTTATATCTTTTTGTTTTTTATTAGCATCCTATCTTTTCAACTTAAAGAAATCCCTTTGGCATTTATTGTAAGGCAAGTCTAGTGTTGATGAACCCCTTCACCTTCTAGGTCTGTTGTAAGACTATACATCATCCTGAATATTGACATGAAACTGTAAATTCCCAGGAATTGGTGGATGTTTTTCAAAGCCCTAATCTCATAACATTTAATTCCCTAGTCTTTCCACTTAGGCTTTTCAGCATGTACATTGTTTCCCCCAACAGATACATTCTTTGCCTCAGGTTGTGCAGGTAGTTCATTTGCTTCTAAATGTTTTTAACAAATATTAGGCTGTTGATATATTTCTTCCTTTTTTAGTATAGACATTGACTGATACCTGTTTTCCTCTAAGTACTCTTTCACAGAATCCCCTACTTTTTGGTACGTTGCATCTTCACGTTAAGTAATCTCAACATATTTTGAATTTTCTTTGTGCTGTTTTTTGACCCATTGATAACTTAGGACTATGTCGTTTAATTTCCACATATTTGTGAGTTTCACCAAATTCACTTACTTAACTGGTAATTTTCTTCTGTTGTAGCTGGAGAACAGATTTTCTTTTTTTTGAATTTTTTATTTCAATAGTTTTTGGGGAACAGGTGGTTTTTCGTTACATTGATAAATTCTTTAGTGGTTATTACTAAGATTTTAGTGCACCCGTCACCCAAACAGTATACATTGTACCCAATGTGTAGACTTTTATCTGGCAATTCAGAGATTTCTTCTTGGTTTGGATCCATTGCTGGGAAGCTGTTGTGATCTTTCAAGTCCTGCTGTTCAGATTCTTTTGTCCCACAGGGTTATCGTTTCAGATGGTGCTCTCCCCCTTCCCCTAAGGATGGGGCTTCCTGAGAGCTGAACTGCAGTGATTATTATTGCTCTTCTGGGTCTTGCCACCCAGCGGGGCTGTCGGGCTCTGGGCTGGTGCTGGGGGATGTCTGCAAAGAGTCCTGTGATGTGATCCGTCTCCTGGTGTCCCAGCCAGGGGTACCAGCACCTGCTCTGGTGGAGGTGGCATGGAAGTGAAGTAGACTCTATGAAGAGTCTCTGGTTGTAGATATGTTTAGTGTGCTGGCTTTCCTGAATGCTGGTTATGCTAGCAGTGACGTTGTCAGGTGGACACGCTCCAGACCTCTGGTTAGCCAAGTTGTTGCAGGCAGTGGAATTAGGTGTTGTCTTCTGCTTCCTGGGATCAGAGTTGTTCTGTCATGAGTTGCTGTAATGACCTGAGTTGGTTGGCCTCCAGCCAGGAGGTGGTGCTCTCAAGAGAGCACCAGCTGTGGTAGTAGTAGGGGGCTCTAAGCTTGCCCTCAGATGGCCAGGGTAAGTATTTTGGATTCTTGGTGATGGGCAAGGCCATAAAGCTCCCAAGAGTTTCTCGTTTTTCTTGTTTTGTTTTGTTTTTCAGACAGAGTCTTACTCTGTCGCCAAGCTAGAGTACACTGGCACAATCTCAGCTCGCTGCCTCAGCCTCCCAAGTAGCTGGGACTCCAACTCCTGGGCTTAAGCAATCCTCCTGCCTTGGCCTCCCAAAGTGCTGGGATTATAGGCATGAGCCACCGGGCTCTCAGCCAGCACTTTTCATGAGGACAGGATCTGCTGCAGAATCAAGTCCTGTTGCTGCCTGGAAGTGGACTCAAGGGAAGAAAGAAAATGTTTGTACTTGATAGATTAATAAAATCCCAACCACCTTATTTTAGATCAGAGAAAGCAGAGCCTAGAAAAAATAAATGTCTGGGCTGGGCGCGGTGGCTGACACCTGTAATCCCAGCACTTTGGGAGGCCGAGGTGGGTGGATCACCTGAGGTTAGGAGTTCGAGACCAGGGTGACCAACATGGAGAAACCTTGTCTCTACTAAGAGTACAAAATTAGCCAGGCATGGTGGTGCATGCCTGTAATCCCAGCTACTTGGGAGGCTGAGGCAGGAGAATCGCTTGAACCCGGGAGGCGGAGGTTGCAGTGAGCAGAGATTGTGCCATTGCCATTGCACTCCAGCTTGGGCAACAAGAGTGAAACTCCATCTCAAAAAAGAAAGGAAGGAAGGAAGGAAGGAAGGAAGGAAGGATACATGTACGAGACTCTTAAGTTCACACATTAAATCAGAGTGAGGAGTAGAGGCCAGGTCTTCTGGATTTCTAAGCCATTTTCAAGGAGTAAGTGACTCACATTAAAAAGACTGTTTGTTCTTTTTGGCTAAAATCAACAATTATTTTCCTCTTCTCCTTGTAGTAGCTAATGGTAGAAATCTTAAATCAAAGGTTCTCAAACTTCAGTGTGAAAGAAAATCACTTTAGACGTCAAAATGCAGGTCCCAGGCCATGGCACAGAATTATGGTTTGCACATTTGAGAAAGGGCCCAAGAGAGTTTGCATTTTTTTTTTTTTTTTTTTGAGATGAAGTTTTGCTCTTGTTGCCCAGGCTGGAGTGCAATGGCGTGATCTCGGCTCACTGCAACCTCTGCCTCCCAGGTCCAAGCAATTCTCCTGCCTCAGCCTCCCGAGTAGTTGGGATTACAGGCATGTGCCACCACACCCGGCCAATTTTGTATTTTTAGTAGAGACAGGGTTTCTCCATGTTCAGGCTGGTCTCGAACTCCTGACCTCAGGTGATCCACCCACCTCGGCCTCCCAAAGTGCTGGGATTACAGATGTGAGAGTTTGCATTTTTAATAAGCATCCTTGATTCTGATATAACTGGCACAGATCTACACTTGGATACACATTGCCTTAGTCCTAGCATCAAAACTGGCACACTTAAAGTGAGGTTTAACAGATTATTTCACTTCTTATATAAACAACTTCTCCAGTGACAACTGTTACTACTTGCCTTGAAATGATATATCAATAACGATATCATTAAGTATAAGAAATAATAAAAATTTTGTAGAGTAGTAAGATATTTGTGATCTACTTCAGGAAATTGTTAGAAGGATTTCTTAGCTCTCTTGTTGCATAAAAACATCCATACTATAGCAGTTATAAGGGAGTAAACTGAGCAATTTCCAATTTAGTTTTTTTTTTCTTTTTTTTTTTTTTTTGAGACAAGGTCTTACTCTGGCACCCAGTCTGGAGTGCAGTGGTGCGATTATGGCTCATTGCAGCCTTGACCTTCTGCACTCAAGTGATCCACCCGAGTAGCTGGGACTACAGGAGTGTGCCACCATGCCCAGCTAATTTTTTGTATTTTTTGTAGAGATGGGGTTTCATCATGTTGCCCGGGCTGGTCTTGAACTTCTGGATGCAAGTGATCCGCTCGCCTTGGCCTCCCAAAGTGCTGGGATTCCAGGCATAAGCCACCCATGCCCAGCCTCTTGTTTTCTCAGAAGAAGCCTGAAATATTATCAGTAAGATAGAGTGAAATTTAAGAAGTGAAAAATGAGTGGACAAAAATACAGGGTTAATAAGAAATGCTGAACACATAAGAATATGCAAGTTGGGAGAGCAAATTGAAAACAATAGTTCCAGAATGGACCCTAATGGTTTCAGCCCACTCAAGTGTTTTGTAATGGTCTGTATAGATCCTTAATTATAAAGAGAGTACAGAGTACAGGATAAACACTGAATGGTATTATAGTTGTGAAAATAATTGACATTACTTAAACCTCACATTATTACTTTATTTCAGGCCAGCAAACTGAAAAAATATGGGATTTGATATACTTTTTAATTCAGTTTTTAAATTTATCTGTGAAATACATGATGGTTTCATTTTGTATTGCTATTATAAAACTCCTCTCTCTATATATATATGTGTGTGTGTGTGTGTGTGTGTGTGTGTGTATATATATATATATATATTTTTTTTTTTTTTTTTTAGACAGAGTTTCACTCTTGTTGCCCAGGGTGGAGTGCAATGGCATGATCTCGGCTCACTGCAACTTCCGCCTCCCAGGTTCAAGTGATTCTCCTGCCTCAGCCTCCTGAGTAACTGGGATTACAGGCATGTGCCACCACGCATAACTAATTTTGTATTTTTTAGCAGAGACGGGGTTTCTCCATGTTGGTCAGGCTGGTCTTGAACTCCTGACCTCAGGTGATGCACTCACCTCGGCCTCCCAAAGTGTTGGGATTACAGGCATGAGCCACCATGCCTGGCCAAAAACTCTTCTATATATTTTTAAAATTTTATAATTAGACATTATTTTCTGAAAATCTTGGAAACTAACCACTTCTAGGAATGAAAGCCTGGATCTACTGACAGCCAGCCCTGGACACAAAGATTCATCCACCCAGGTGCAGAGGCTCTCAGAGTGCATTGGATGCTGTCTGTCCATCCTTCCCCACCCCTGGAGGTTCATCTTTGGCTGGGACAGGGTTGGAGGGCAGCAAGAATGGCTGAGACTGGCCTCAGAATGTGGCTTCGTGGTGTCTGTCCTATGGGTGGCCCTGGGCTCGGGGGATGGTTTCTGCCATCAGGATCAAGACTCTCTCTCATGCTGCAGGGTCCAGAGGGTGGGCCTCGTCACTACCCTTTGCACCCCTCCTCCTAACACGAACAGTAACAGAACATTCCCAGAAACCCAGAACCTCCCTCATGCATCATTCTAGTCACTGTCTCCCTCTGCACTAAGGATAATCATTGCCCTGTCTAATACCATGTATCAGCTTTGCCTGTTTTTGAATTTTCTATAAATTTCATCCATGTACAACATCCTCTTTTGGGTCTGGCCTCCGTATTCCAATACAATGTTTGTGAGATCCGGTCACATTATTGGGAGTTAGAGTTTATTTGTGCTCGTTGCGTAGTAGTAGTTCGTTATAGGAACGCCACAATACTGTGTTTATTCCACTTTAGGTGAACATTTGGGTTGTTTTGAGTTTTTGGCTCATAATATTGGTGTGAAAATACTTGTACACGTCTCTTGGTGAACATATGTGCACATTTCTCCTGGGCCTGGGGGTGGACAAAGCTTTGTTTTTAACCATTAACTTGATATCAGTGTTAGTAAATTTCTAATGATTTAATCCAAATAACTTTCAAAGACCTTTCCAAGCCTAAAGACAACAAAGCCTGTGCTTTAATAATTATATATCCTGGAAATATTTCTGGAACATTTTCTAGAAATGGAGGCAATCATGACTTTGATTTCAGATGTCAGAATGCCCTTGGGCCTAAAGATGGGTTCATGTTGCAGGGCCTCCTCTCCAGGTGGTTTCTTTTTCACTCTGCCCAAGGTGCTTCTGTTTTCTCCCTGGGAAATGGAAGGAGTTCAGAATGATTTCTGTTGTCATAGTTAGGAGACTGTGCATACCTGGAAATAATGGTCAGGAGAAACCCTTTGTGTTGATAAGGGGGCAATTTTTTATACGTCTTTCACTGAAATAAAGAAAGGGCCAAATTAATTCCATATCCAAGTTAAATTTATGATTTTTGGACAGGTGCGGTGGCTCACACCTGTAATCCCAGCACTTTGGGAGGCCGAGGCAGGTGAATCACCTGAGGTCAGGAGTTCGAGACCAGCCTGGCCAACCTGGTAAAACCCTGTCTCTACTAAAAATACAAAAATTAGCTGGGTGTGGTGGTGGGTGCCTGTAATCCCCACTACTCGGAAGGCTGAGGCAGAAGAATCACTTCAATCCAGAAGGCGGAGGTTGCAGTGAGCCGAGATCACGCCACTGCACTCCAGCCTGGGCAACAAGAGCAAAACTCCGCCTCAAAAAAAAAAAAAAAAAGTAAAATAAATTTATGATTTTCAAAGAGGAAGCCTTGATAATTAACCAAATCTAACCATTAATTTAAGCTATTTGGTACATTGTGTCACTTTAGATGGAGGAAGCTAAACAAGAATTACATAGTTTCCTTTTCACATGGAAAAGCTATGTGTAAATCTGTAGAAAATGCCCCTGTGAGGACTTAACACATTTTCTTTGATTGGATTGTGCATCTTGTTTAATCTTTACTGAATGTTCTGTTTAAAATCATCTTTTACCAAGCTTACTTTTGTTGATAGATCTTTGAAAATTAATTTGCATTGAGACCAATATTTATGGTCTCTTACATATCACAGACAATAAATGCACATCTTTAGGACAAAAGTAGTGCCTAGGCTGGGGCTTTAAAGTCCTACAGACCTGGCTGTGAAAATAAAAACCAGTTATAAACTGTAGATTTGAGTAATTTCCCTTCTGTAAACTCTAGTTTCTTCATCTATAAAACAGTCATTATTATTGTGGGGATTAAATGAGATTTAACCATTTCAAAGTTGTGCTCAATGCTTGGCATAAAGCAAGCACACAGCAATTTCTGTTCTTCCTACCATTATGTTATTGTGATTATCACCTTCAACTGTTCCCTTCAACTGTGCTCTTGAAAAGTGGGCATCTTTTCGATCAAGCAGTTCTTCTATTTACCTAAAGGTAAAATCGTTTTGGCCATGTCAACAAAATGTCATAATATAAATATAAACATTATATACAGAAGCTAATGTTCTGTAAATAATCTTGCCTCATTTTCTACAAATCTGTTGGTCTCTGAAAAAAGGAAATTAAAAACAATTCATAGAGAGAAAAATCAGAGCAAACATGAGATTGTGCTTTGACACCCTTCTCTCCATATATGCATGTGCAAGGACCTGAAGCAAGTCGTCACCGAGAGATGAAATGCCTTAAATACATGTCTTCTATGATATCACCAGGCTGTGCTCTGAGGCTCTTTTCTTCATTCTTCCTGTCGTTCTAAGGTCCTACATGCCGATGTCCATCTTTTCTCACAAGTCAATACCAGAGAGGATTAACCTGGATTCGTCTTTATTTTGGTGGCAATAAGTTTCTTTATTTAGCCCTTATTCCAACCTTCTGGCCTCTTTCCTGTGTCTCTATTCTTACTTTCAAAAGTTATCAGGCACATTAACTTAGAGAAGGGAGTACAACAAGAAGCATAAACATTAAAAACAAAGTAAAATTATCTTTATTTGTTTCTTGGAAACATAAGCCAGTACCTTGAAAAACAACATTAAGAAAATTCAGTAAAGGTCTTCCCTGTGAAAGTAACTTCAGAAAACAATTGTTCATATGTATGCATAATTAGTTCAAAATAAAGGAAAAATTGACCCCTGAATCTGAAACAAAAAAATTAAAAATGTCCTAAGCTTTCCATGAAGAAATATTCAAAACACCACTGAAGGGCATGATAGAAGACTTAAATACATTGCATCCTTGGGTATCAAGACTCACTATTACAAAGATGTTACTTTCCCCTAAATTATCCCTCAAGTAAAATGAAATTATTCAATTTGTATCTCAAAATATTTACATGCAAGAGGCCAGGCACAGTGGCTCACACCTGTAATCCCAGCACTTTGGGAGGCTGAGGCAGGCAGATCACCTGAGGTTGGGAGTTTGAGACCAGCCTGACCAACATGAAGAAACCCTGTCTCTACTAAAAATACAAAAATTAGCTGCGCATGGTGGCACATGCCTGTAATCCCAGCTACTTTGGAGGCTGAGGCAGAAGGATCACTTGAACCCGGGAGGCAGAGGTTGCAGTGAGCTGAGATCAAGCCATTGCACTCCAGCCTGGGCAATAATAGCGAAACTCTGTCTCAAAAAAAAAATATATATATATATATATATGTGTGTGTGTGTGTGTGTGTGTGTGTGTGTGTGTGTGTGTATGTATGTGTATATCTATTTACATGCAAGAATAGCCAAGGCAATTCGTAAATGGAGTAGTAATAAGAATTTTTCACTCCCTTAGTTAAGAAAATACATTATATGTTTCTAAGTCAACGCCTAATAATTTATGTGACCATGAGTAAGTTACTTCACATCCTGAGAGTCCTTTTCTTGGATTACAAAATGAGGAGTGGAGGAGTGATCCAGGGTCACCTGTAGGTTCAACCATATGAAGTCACCTGTACTCAACCGACTTGATTTACACCACAGAAATTTCATGTGGTTCAACTTAGTAGGTGATCACTAATTCCAAAATGAATGTCAATGTAGCTTAACATTCATTATCAGTAGCTATATTCACTTTTTTAAATGTTGTAAAATTTTCCTCATGCTAATATTGCATGAGAATACAAATTTAGCAAAAGAGTCATGCTATAATATCTTGAAGGAAGGAAATCCAGGAGGCTTGCATAGTGGCCAACTTAGCTAAGTTTAAATATTACAGAAGAGCTAAATTTTGAAAAAGATTCAAGAGTCAGGGAACTTGCCCAGGAGTAGCTTTGAGCATAAAAAAAGAAAAATAGGCAATAAAAATACCAAACAAAGCCTCACCCACCCCAGCCACAGATGCACAGTCAGCCACCTGAGTAGCTGGGATTACAGGCACCCGTCACCATGCCCAGCTAATTTTTGCATTTTTAGTAGAGATGGGGTTTCGACATGTTGGCCAGGCTGGTCTCAAACTCCTGACCTCAGGCAATCCACCCGCCTTGGCCTCCTGAAGTGCTGGGATTATAGGCGTGAGCCACCGTGCCCAGCCAGAGTCCCCTACCACTTAAAGGTATCCACCCTCTGTTCACACAGCAGATGAATGGTGGTCCAAGGTTGGAACCTACTCCATCTGGCCACAGTCTACATTATCACCTGCCTGCTGCCTTGCCCTCCTGCTTTCTTCCATTTGCTAGCTCCTGAAATGGGACCCTGTCCTAACCTGACACCCAGGCATTCAAGTCACTGTGAACTAGAGAGCAGAGGTGAGGCCATATTTCCAAAGAGCCACTGGTAAGTTACATGCATAGGTTAAGAGGGGTGTCCTGTGATTGTCACTGACCTTTGTCCACCAGCACATAAGTTTAGAGCTCCAGCCATGTTCACTGGGCCTCCATGCAAAGAGCCTGGACTCGAGGAGCAAGGGTGGGGCAGAGGAGATGCCCTGTCCAGCAAGACTTCCCTGGAGCTCTGCTAGAAATGTCATCCTTCAGGTTCTGCCGGCCAAAGGCCAAGGATCAAACCAAGGCCCAGTCTGCAGCTCCAGCTTCAGTTCTAGCTCAGGCTTCCAAAGGTGTCCAGGCCACCAGGCAGCCTTCAGAGTAGAGGTCTCTGTCAATCTGAGAACAGAAGGACTGGTGTGACCCCTGGGCTGCTATATGCATGGGGCTGGTGTCCTCCTGTGCTATTTGTACAAATAAACCTGAGGCAGGATTTAAAAAAAAAGAAAAACCATCCTACAGAACCTCTGACCGCTGGAATCCCTGGGCAATGCCCAAGCAGGTATCACAAAGGCAGTTGGAATGAGAGAGAAGAAATCAGCCTTCCTTCCTAAATGTTGCCTACAGCGTGCCATGCTGATCTACATCTCACCAAAGAATTCCTTTCCAGTAAGATTTTTCTTTAAAGCTTTGAGTCAGAGGATAATCTTCAAGGACTTGTCTAGCAACAATAACAACCACTGTGCATCCTAAAGCTGTAGAGAAACTCAATGTGTGTGTATTCCAAGGTTTAACTTTAGGAAGTAGCTGAGCTGGCATAGACCTGATTCCTTCAGTGTTGAGGCACCTGTGGCATCTTTAGCAGGTTGGTTGTTCAAGATAGCCTGGAGATTACTGTGAGCTTCTTTGAGTAATTGGTAAGTATACTTATTTTAAGGGTTGAAATGTGGCTCATTGATCATTTTGCTTATTATTACAGATATAAGAATGGAAAAATACTGCAACAGTAATTTTGCATTGAGTTTGGGATTTTTTTTTTTTTTTGGCAACTACCCTTAAACTTTCTTACAATAAATATGAGGCTTTTCCTCTATTTGAATTTTCCCTCAACAGGAACCTTAGTAATAAAGCTTTGGCTGGAGAATATCACAATATCTCCCTGGGAATCTCTTCCCACTGCTGAAGCAATTTAAAAAATGATATTGAGATTGGAGTACCAAAATGAAGATAAGCTGTGCGGGTTCTTTCTGGTTTTTTTTTTTTTTTTTTTTTTTTTTTTTAAAGGACATATATTTAATGAGACAGTGACAGCAGCATTGTTACAACTGGGCATCCCTCAGGCCAGCTTGGTCCCATGCTGTGGGACCACCCATATGTGGTCTTCCATGAGGTGCTGGCGGCACCAGGCTCTTCCTGCTGTGCTACGGACCCATAGAAAGACCCATACGTGATTCTGTTTACAGACTGTATCACCCAGAAGGGGCAGGTGGGGGAGATGCTGGGTGGCAGGTAAAAATAAAAGGGGCCCAACCCTTTGTCCAGCAAATACCAGCACAGTTTTTCTATGCACACAGTGATTTGTAACTTGAATAATGTGAAGTTGATTACACAGATTTCGGAATGGCTAATATCCATATGACAGAAATGTGATGCATTCAAGAGACATGTGCAGACTTTGGGGTGTTGGGAAACAGCATTTGGCCTTTAACCCCCTCCTCAGCCCCAAAGAGGAAGGGGAAGCAGGACAGGAACCCACACTGTTGATCCAACCTCACATCACACTCTCTAAAGGACTCCCTGCTCACTGTTCCACCTGACGTAGGTCAGTACCCCTGCCCCCATTTTCCAGATGGGGAAACCGAGGCAGAGCTGACAGTAAGAACCTTGCCTAAAGCCACCACAGTGGGGAGAGGACACCATCCCCTTCCTGATGGTGGAGGGCAAAGAGGAGACCCTGCCGTCTCTCCCACTCCTGGAATGAGCCAGTGAGCCAGGCGGCCTTTCTGCTGACTGAGGTGTCTCCTCTTGGGTTTTCTGGTCAAAGAGGACAAATATCCAAGCAGTGGCATTCTCTTCCCTCTGCCCACCGTGTGTGCCAACCATGTGCACCAACAGCCAAGCACAGTCCAGGGTGTAGGGGAAAAGGACAGATAGGAGCACCCCCACTGCCCAAGGCAGAAGGCTGGGAAGCCACCTCCTGACACATCCTCTCCTGAGGCCCCTCGTGGACCGCAGGATCTGTAAAGTGCAAACACCAAAGCCAAGTATCCCCTCACCCAGAGCTGTAGGTTTCCTCTGCTGTCCAGGGGCCTCTGTCCCGTGGAGTGAGGGACCTCCCACACGCCCCTGCCCTGATCTTCCTGAATGGGCTCAGTCGAGTGAATACTCTCAGCTCTTGATCTCAGGCCCCCAAACAAAAGGCCATTGGCTGGTCATTTCTGAGCTATCTGGAGCCCTCCACAGGCAGCAGGACAGATCTCCTTGGGTAAATCTGGTTCCAAGAAATGCCACCAGACCACTGCAGGATCCCATCACCTAACTGGAACCTCCCCCAGTGCACAGTCCTTGCTCCACACCTGGAGACCAGGACACCCTCTTTAGGCTGGGGCCATGGCCTCCTAGCTTGGAGCACCAGGAAAGCTGGGCTGGGCCAAAGCAGGAGCACCCAGCAGGGAAAAGCTCCATGGTCCCCTTCCTTGCTGTTGTACAGGAACAACAGGTGACCCCACTGGACTGACCACCCAATGAGGCCTTTGAACCTCAGGCCAGGGAGAGGCAGGTCTACAGGTGACAACTGTGAACAGCCCCAGCTGGGGACAACCAGAAATCCCCAAGGCGACGAGTGGCTGAAAGTGATGGAGCCCCCAGGCAGAGCCGAAACCCCACTGCAGGTGAGACTCGGCCCTTGGCTGAGTGTGTGCAGCCGCATCCTCAGGTGTTACTCAACACTCCTCTGAAGCTCTCTCGGGGTCTTGGCCTGATGAGTTTCCAGGGTGGTCAGGATGGGAACTGTGGAATCTCTAGGGCCCGGATGCTCTGGTTCAGGAGTGTGGAGGGCTCTGTGCCATGGGGGAGGTGAGATATCCCCCCAACTCCCTGCCCATGGAGTTCTGCACTGGGGGAAGGATGGGGGCCACGCAAGGACCCCTCACAGCAGCACACCCAGGTGACAGCCAGGTGCGGCCACCCCGAGTCCCAGCAAGCACCTGGGAGACAACGGGCCTTGACACTGCCCACCCGCTCTGGCCCAGCAGGGGTGGAGGGGTCCAGGGGCCGCAACCCAGGGGTCTCCAGAGCAGAACGAACAACTTGACGTTGGCAGGGTGGGTCCCGGTGGGCCAGGTGGGGTGCCCAGCACTGTTCCTCAGCGCTAGGCCTCCACGTCAGGACCTGGCTCCTGGAAGAGTGACTGCTTCCTCAGGCTGAGCTGGGCACACTTGGGACACGTGGTGGAGTTGTCGTAGTAGCAGTCCCTGTGGAAGACGGTGGAGCAGTCGGTGCATACAGACGTGTGGCTGTCGAATGGGAACAGCACATCGCCCTCTCTGCAGAGCTCACACACGAAGCCCTTGGCCTGGCACCGCTCGCGTTCCAGCTTGATGTGCTTGGTGAAGAGCGTGTGAGTCTCGGTGAGTGAGCAGCCCAGGTGGCCGGCATGCACGTCCAGGAGGTCCTGGACAGAGTACATCTCATCGTTCTCCACAAAATGCTGCTGATCCTGGAGCTGCAGCAACAGACGAGCCTCCATGGCCTCCCTGCAAGTGATGAAGTACCGCTTCATGAGCAGGATGTCCTGGCGCAGCTTGCAAATCTCCACCAGCTCCTCCACGTAGTTGAACAGCAGAAGGTTGATCTCCCGGAGCCTGAGCACGGGCCGAGACACCATCAGCGCCAGGTAGCACATGCTGCAGCGAGAAACCTTTCGAGGTGCAAAGTCCCAGTTGCGTACAATGCATGCAGGGATGACAGCCAGGTCGTTCCAGTGGCAATGGCTGCAGTAGTACTGGCCGGTGTAGTCACACTGCCTGGCCTCACTGGGCACACCCTGCAGAGAGATGGGCGCCTGGCACTCAGCACAGCGGTAATCCTGGCTGTCCAGCCCTGTCTCAGGGCAGATGTTAAGTTCGTATTCAGCTTGGTGGCTGACTTTGGAGCTCACACAGGGCTTGGAGATGAGGTTCAAGCACTTGCTGTGACAGCAGTAATAACACCCTGTGCAGGTGTACCAGGTCTGAATGAGCCCCCAGATGATGGTGTTACACTTATCACAGGTCTGCTTGACGCTCTTGCTCTTCTCCTCGTAGAAGCCGTGTTCAAGGAGCACTCAGATGTTTGGCTCATCCTCATTGGGGTCCTTCAGCTCCTGGAGCTTCAGCCAGAGGTGGATGAGTCACACCACGGCATCCTTCTGCTTCTCCGACTGCTCGGGCAGCTCCAGAATCACCTGCTTGCACTCCTCGATCACCTGCCGCAGCACAGGGCGGGAGAAGTGGTCCTCAGACAGGCCGAGATCCATCACGCGTTCAGGGCAACGGAACTCCGGCTCCCCAGGGGGCAGCTCAGGCAGGGCCTCTTCAGGAGTGATGTCTGGGGCCTCCTCCCCAGGGCCCCAGCTCATGCTGTCTCGGCCCAGACTGCTTGTTGAAGGGGTTGAGGTGGGCCTGCCGGAACCGGGCCAGCTTCTCATCATATTCCATGGCATCCCACCTGGATCGCCTGCCAGGGCCCAGGGGCTCGCAGGGACAGGACGGCCATTCCTCTAGGGCTGCTTGCCACGGAAGCCTGGCCGTGGGTTCGCCACCTGCTGACCGCTCCCGCGTCGCTCACCTGACCGCCGCTGCGCCGCCTCACATCCGGTTTCTTTAATAAGGGTATTAAAGAACAGAAAACAGAAGACTGAAATACAAATCCAAATCAGTTTTTTGTTTGTTTGTTTTTGTTTTGAGACAGGGCCTCACTCTGTTGTTTAGGCTGTGGTGCCATCATAGCTCAATGCAGCCTTGAACTCCTGGGCTTAAGTGATCCTCCTGCTTCAGCCTCCTGAGTAGCTGGGACTACAGGTGGTGCCACCATATCTGGCTTTTATTATTATTATTTTTAGTAGAGAGAAGGTGATATGGTTTGGATCTGTGTCCCCACCTAAATCTTATGTCGAACTGTAATCCCTAGTGGTGGAGGTGGGGCCTGGTGGGAGGTGACTGGATTATGGGGAAGGTTTCTCATGAATGGTTAACACCATTGTCTTGGTGCTGTTCTTGCGACAGTGAGTTCTTGTGAGATCTGGTTGTTTAAAAGTGTGCAGCGCCTCCCCGCTTGCTTTCTATTGCTCCTGCTCCCGCCGGGTGAGAGATCTCACTCCCCTTCCCCTTCTGCCATGATTGAAGGCTTCCTGAGGCCTCCCCAGAAGGAGAAGCTGCCATGCTTCCTGCATAGCCTGCAGAACCTTGAGACAATTAAACCTCTTTTCTTAATAAATTACCCAGTCTCAGGTATTTCTTTATAGCAGTGTGAGAATGGACTAATACACAGGGTCTTGCTGTGTTGTCGAGGCTGGTCTTGAACTCCTGGGCTCAGGTGATCCTCTCACATAAGCCTCCCAAAGTGCTGGGATTAAAGGTGTGAGCCACCATGCCCAGCCTCAAATTTTTCATTTACACCACACAGATCAAATTGGGTTCTTCTGAGCATCTTGTGTGTTAGAGATGCAGCCTGGAGGCTTTGTCCTGGTTATTTCCATTGCCCATTGTCTCTCCTGTCACGTGAAGCCACCTGAGAGGGCCTTTGGAACAGCACTGCCCCTTTCTGCAGAGAGCCAGTTGGCCATGTGTGACGGGGCATGCTTCCTCTCGGCATGGCTGTGCCCCTCCACTGAGGAGTAGAGTGAGTCCCTCCAGAGGCTGCCGGGAACAATGCATGTGCTGGACGCCCCATAGGAATTAAAGGGGACACATGACGCTTGGAGGCTCTGATGACCAGGCCAGGATGTTCTCCAGAGGTGACAAGAAGTGTTCTGATAAGAAAACACATCAGTTTCTAAAGCAGCCCTCAGTCCGTAGGAGAAGCACGTGCCCCAGCCTGTGATCCTGACAGAAACTAGATGGCCATGAGGAGCGGCCTTGAACACATGTTCTTGTCACGGCTTCATCCAGCACCTTCTGTTGACCCACTAGGCCTTGGCTCATCCTGGGTCCCTCTGTCGTTAGCTCTGCAGATCCCCTAAGCTCTTCCCTCCCCAGCCTCTCTTCCCTCTGGGCCCATTTTCAGAGGCCCACATTGACCACTTTCGGTGAGACTTTTCCTGAGGGTCATCTTTTTGTGACCCTAATCCAGGGCTGAGCGATGCCCGCTATATGACTCACCAAATGACCAGTTTCTACTGGGTTGTGTCCTCACAGCCCCGCAGTCCTGACGAGCACCTGGCCGAGGCTGCTGGCAAATGCCAGGCACCAGTCATTAGGAGCCTTGGGGCCACCCCAGGGCAGCCTCCCAAGCCCACCCCTTCCTAGGAGAGACTCTTGAGCAGGGAGGCAGGGCTCCCTCTGAGGAAGGAGGACACGCTCATACTCTGGCCTCAGGCTAGGGAAGGACACAGGTTCTGAGACGCAGGAAGCCTCTGCAGCAGAGTCATTGTCACTGCAAAATCACCACCACTTTGATTTAATCATAGCTGTTTAGAAAAGGAGAAACAAAAAAAGGACAAAACCTGAATGTACACCAAGAGATAAATGTGCTACTGTACCACCTCCAAATAATTGGTTAAATTCCAAATGACATGGTCTCTATATTAACTTATTCTTGATTGTGAATTACCTTCCAATTAGATCTGTATGTAAAACGGAGCTGTAAAGATTCCCACTCTTGGCCGAGCGCAGTGGCTTCTGCCTGTAATCCCAGCAGTTTGAGAGGCCGAGGTGGGTGGATCACGAGGTCAAGAGATTGAGACCATCCTGGCCAAGATGGTGAAACCCCGTCTCTACTAAAAGTACAAAAATTAGCCAGGCATGGTGGTATGCACCTGTAGTCCCAGCTATTCGGGAGGCTGAGGCAGGAGAATCACTTGAACCCGGGAGGCGGAGGTTGCAGTGAGCCGAGATCACACCATTGCACTCCAGCCTGGCGACAGAGCGAGACTCTGTCTCGAAAAAAAAGATTCCCACTCTAGGAGTGGCATACATCTACAGATTTCCAAAGCAAGTCTCCCCGCCCTGACTCCTGCAAGCCTCTCCTCCTGTCCCAGGCCCCAGGCCCCCACCAGGTCCTCTTCACACAGAACAAGTTGCTATTGTCTCTCCCTCCTTAAAAAACTCCCTTAACCCCACCTTGCCTGGAGCCAGTCTCTGCTCCATATTTTGATATTCAAGGCCCCTTACAATGTGGCCCAGCCCACCTCCCAAGACTCAGCTCTCTGCAGCTCTCTGTAGTTTCCTAAAATACAAGTTCCATCCTGTTGCACTGCCCTGTAAGCTCACAGTGTCCTTCCGTGCCTCTGTGCCCTGCATGGAGGTTTGTTCTGCCCGAAATGCCCCATCCCCTCGGGGCAACTGTTTAAATCTCTGATCGCTAATGTGGCACATCTGCAGTCTTGCCCTCTGTGGAGCAGCAGTGCCTGACCTCACAGTAAACTCCTCCACTTTGTCCTCCCTGTTCTGATGGTGTTTCTGTGTGGACCCAGGTGCAGCCCAGGCTCTGCACTGTGCTTGTTCTCATGCCTGCAGCTGGCACCAGATATTCTGCAGACTCATTGATTCCTTTCTCTTTTATCTCCCAGGGTTTTCAAAAGAAACACAAATGCAGGCAGCATGGTGCACTACAGACTCCAGCCTCCCTTTGAAGCCAGGTTCCAGAGCTTCCTCCCTTTGGCCTGGAACCTCAACAGCAGGATTGGGATGAGGATGGAAGTGTACAGATATGCATATAGTATTGCTTATCCCCAGCTGAAATCAATGTTGGCATGACATGTTGCAAAACCAAACTGACATTGAACATGACTTTTTTCAGCCCTTTAAATAGCTGTTCACGTAGAACTTAGTTTTTTATGGAAGACCTTGATAATCCTGTCTTTAGTTACTTTAGAAGTTAACTTCCTGGGTAGACTTGAATTGAGTCTTATTCATCTTTAAATTTCCAGGGTTTAGCAAAGTACCTGCTTCAGAGTAGGCGTTAATAAAACTAATGCCCTTCAAATCAACAAGAGGATTTCCTGTGAGGGGTGGTCCTGTTTTCTGACACTCAGATGGCTCTGAGTATGGCATCTCAGAAAAAAGAAAGAAAGAAAAAAAAAAGATTGGGCTGGGCGCGGTGGCTCATGCCTGTAATCCCAGCACTTTGGGAGGCTGAGGCAGGTGGATCACAAGGTCAGGAGATTGAGACCATTCTGGCTAACACAGTGAAACCCTGCCTCTACTAAAAATAAAAAAAATTTAGCCCGGCATTGTGGCATACGCTTGTAGTTCCAGCTACTTGGGAGGCTGAGGCAGAAGAATGGTGTGAACCTGAGAGACGGAGCTTGCAGTGAGCCGAGATCACACCACTGCACTCCAGACTGGGCAACAGAGTGAGACTCCATCTCAAAAAAAAAAAAAAAAAAGGCCGGGCACTGTGGCTCACGCCTGTAATACCAGCACTTTGGGAGGCCGAGGAGGGCGGATCACGAGGTCAGGAGAGCAAGACCATGCTGGCTAACGCGGTGAAACCCTGTCTCTACTAAAAATACAAAAAATTAGCCGGGCGTGGTGGCGGGTGCCTGTAGTCCTAGCTACTCGGGAGGCTGAGGCAGGAGAATGGTGTGAACCCAGGAGGCGGAGCTTGCAGTGAGCCGAGATCGTGCCACTGCACTCCAGCCTGGGTGACAGAGTGAGACTCCATCTCAAAAAAAAAAAAAAAAAATTGGCTGCTTCAGTGGAAAAAAATAGGTTTTATTTAACAGCATCAATACATGTTAATATTTATAAACCTGTTATTCTGTAAAAATAAAGAATATGTATTTTGAAATGTTTAGGGAGCATATGGAGAAAAAAGAGGCTACCTATAGAACCTCCTTCTATTCAGTACCGGGCCTGCTCTGAGTAGATTTGAGTTTAGAAAATGCATTAATGGGAAGATAACAACATGGGAGGAAAGTGGATGTAGTCACCTTCCCTGATGAAGGAAAACCTGGAAGCTAATACTGATGTTTAGTCATATGAGAGAATGCTGCTCCTTGTTATCTACTCCCAGTGTGGAAAACACAGAAAATAGTCAAGCTAATTAGAAAAAGCACTAGCTCAGGTCGGGCGTGGTGGCTAATGCCTGTAATCCCAGCATTTTGGGAGGCCAAGGCGAGTGCATTACTTGAGGTTAGGGGTTCAAGACCAGCCTGACCAACATGGTGAAACTTAATCTCTACTAAAAATAAAAATAAATAGCTGGGCGTGGTGGTGCGCACCTGTAATCCCAGCTCCTCAGGAAGCTGAAGTAGGAGAATTGCTTGAACTTAGGAGGTGGAGGTTACAGTAAGCCGAGATTGTGTGCCACTGCACTCCAGCCTGGGAGACAGAGCGAGACTCCGCCAAAAAAAAAAAAAAAAGGAAATAAAAGAAAGGGAGATATAATAGGAAAGAAAGACAGAGAGAGAGAAGGAAGGAAGGAAGGAGGGAGGGAGAGAAGGAAGGAAGGAAGGAAGGAAGGAAGGAAGGAAGGAAAGGAAGGAAGGAAGGAAAAGAAGCGAAGCGAAGCAAAGCAAAGCAAAGAAAAGAGAAAAGAACACTAGCTCAATTCGGTTCAATATCTGCTCATGGAACTTTTCCCCTGTGCAGGGCACGGTGCTGAGCAAGATGTGCGAAGCACGGTCCTGTGTCCAGGTGCTGAAGAGCTGGTGCAGGTGAGGGAAGATGTGGATTTATTTGTAGCCAAATTTGAGAATGAGATTCTGATTCTCAGTTTATTCAAACATATGAATAGAGGATATATTTTGATCTAAGAATAAATGGGATACATTTCTCTAAACTTTAATAGCCTTAAGCTTTTTATTTGATGTTAAGTAGGAAAGTAGTATTAGTAATCCTAGAATCATATGAAACACAGCACCCTCTCATACTTTTCGATATGAGATCCTATTTTAATACTATTTTATTTTTTCTAATTCCTGTTAAAGTTATTATGCAATTAGTCACTGATTTATTTTTAATCACTTCCCAAATTAAACTTGCTAGCAAACTATTCGTCTAAGAGTGTAACTAAGAATTTGTTGAAAGAAAATGTTGAGACACATGAATACACATTTAATAAGGTATAGCAGAACCAGCATAGTTGGATTACATAGCAATAACTAAATTAAGTTAAAGATATGTAACTTTCATGCATTTAAAATGCTATTTTTTTTTTTTTTTTTTTTGAGACGGAGTCTCACTCTGTCACCCAGCCTGGAGTGCAGTGGTGCAATCTCGGCTCACTGCAAGCTCCGCATCCCGAGTTCATGCCATTCTCCTGCCTCAGCCTCCCAAGTAGCTGGGACTACAGGCGCCCGCCACCACGCCCGGCTAATTTTTGTATTTTTAGTACAGACGGGGTTTCACAGTGTTAGCCAGGATGGTCTCGATCTCCTGACCACGTGATCTGCCCGCCTCGGCCTCCCAAAGTGCTGGGATTACAGGCATGAGCCACCGCGCCCAGCCTTAAAATACTTTTTTTTTTTTTTTTTTTTTTGAGACAGAGTCTCGCTCTGTCCCCCAGGCTGGAGTGCAGTGGCGCAATCTCGGCTCACTGCAGGCTCCGCCCCCCGGGTTCATGCCGTTCTCCTGCCTCAGCCTCCCGAGTAGCTGGGACTACAGGCACCTGCCACCTCGCCGGGCTAACTTTTTGTATTTTTAGTAGAGACGAGGTTTCACCATGTTAGCCAGGATGGTCTCAATCTCCTGACTCGTGATCCACCCGCCTTGGCTTCCCAAAGTGCTGAGACTACAGGCTTGAGCCACCGCTCCCGGCTTAAAATGCTATTTTTAAATACCAGGCATTGTTACCAGACTTTGTGCTTTTTTTTTTTTTTTCAATTACACTTTAAGTTCTAGGATACATGTGCAGAATGTGCAGGTTTGTTACATAGGTATATGCATGCCATGGTGGTTTCCTGCACCCATCAACCTGTCATCTACATTAGGTATTTCTCCTAATGCTATCCCTCCCCTAGCCCCCCCACTGTCAGGCCCCAGTGTGTGATGTTCCCCTCCCTGTGTCCATGTGTTCTCATTGTTCAACTCCCACCTATGAGTGAGAACATGCAGTGTTTGGTTTTCTGTTCCTGTGTTAGTTTGCTGAGAATGATGGTTTCCAGCTTCATCCATGTCCCTGCAAAGGACATGAACTCATCCTTTTTTTATGGCTGCATAGTATTCCATGGTGTGTATGTGCCACATTTTCTTTATCCAGTCTATCATTGATTGTTACCAGACTTTGAAGCCTGAAATGACCTATGATGACTGAAAGACCTCAGAGTTGGACAATAGGACCAGTGACTAGAACACAAAGGCATCTCTAACAAGTAACATTGTTGTCTCACAAGCACTTAAAATGTAACAAGTCCCAACTTGCTTTCTTCACCTGGCTCACACACCCCTAAGCCTACTCTTCCTTCCCTATTCCTTGTCTCTGTTAGTGGTTCTGTCATTCACCAGGAACTTACACTAGAGACTTGGGAGTCATCCTTGACACATCCAGTAAATAGCAAATTCTGAATACTTTATCTCCACATTATACTCAACTGCATTTCATTCTCTCTAGCTCTACTCACCCACTTAATGCAAAGCTGCACTCACCTCGCTTTCTGCAATTGCTTTCTTACTGTAGGTCTCCCTGTCTCTGAACTCAGTAGTACATTATGTTCTCCACATTGCTGCTAAGTTACCTTTGAAAAATGCAAATTAGATATAATTGGTTGCTTGTTTACAACATTCAGCAGCTTTCCATTGCTTCTAAGATAGCACACACTTCTCAGCAAGGTTCACCATCTCACCTCCTGACAGCCTTCGTTTCACCTCCTGCCTCCTCCCCACCAGGCCGCCTTTCAGTCCACTGAGCCACACTCTCTTCTCACCCTTTGCACGTGGGTTTACCTGCTGAAAATGCTTCTTCCCATTTTTTCCACCTGTCTGTTTACATCCCACCATTCAAGTCTCTGCTTAAATATGACTCCTTGGAGATGCATTTCCTGACCTCTAGTCTCAATTTGGACTCTCCCTGTTGAGTTGCTGTTCAGTTGTGTCGGCTAACTTGAGGATTTCTTGAACCATGATTGGGCACTTTCTGATGCATATTTGTAAATGTTATGTGAAGGTAGATTGGTGTATTAAGATTCCCTTGTTTCTTTTCATTCTTGCCTTCTGGACACTTTCAAGAAAGGCGAGCCTTTTTCTGCCTACTTCTTCCATTCTGAGCTGTAAATTGTCACTGTAGTTTCTAGGATTTTAGGATGTTTCCTGTGAAATATATTCCTTCCTCATAGAAGTAAGAAAGTGTGGGAGCACTGTCCACTCAGTGAGGGCAGGGCCAGGCCTGTCCTGTTCACTGTTTTCTCCCAGCCTCCAGCACAGTGAGTGATACCCAGAAGGGGCTGCATCAATGTTAATGGAATGAAGCTGTGCTTGTGGAATGACTGGAATTGGGTCAAGCAGAGAGAAGATGGGGAAAATAGGATTTTAATAAAACAAACTATATTATTAATATCCTTGACAAAGCAGAATTTCAAGAAGACTGTCTATGTCAAAACCAATCTTTTATAGTATACACAGGAATATATGGCCAGGAACAGAAATATTGATGTATTCTTTATATAATATATATTCCAATGAAAGCCATCAGTGGAGTGTACTGAATTACACAATATGGAGGTCCAAAAGAATAATTTATTATGTGAGGTTCTCAACAAAATAGGGAATTCAACTTTCAGATCAAAGATGGCAAACTATCTGCCTGTGAGCGGTTCTCACCATGGCCACCTCAAAACAATCAGAGCCAGGCTCAGTAACCACAGCTAGAGGATTCTGCAGTGCATGGGGTGGCAAACACCTTCCACGAAGGGCAGCCAGCGAGTATTTTAGGTATTTTGTTTTGTTTTCATGTTTGTTTTTTTAATAACCCTTTACAAATTAGCTCTCAGGGCTGTACAGCAACAGGTTTCAGAATGATGAGAATAATTTCAGATGAGCAGCCTAATACTCCATACGTCTAAAAAAATAATTCCTAAATTTTATCTGTTGTTTTTTAACCCCCCAAATTGAGCTTAAATTCATTGTCGCTTAAGATTTTAGTTAAACTACTAGGGCTATGGCAGGGTACATTTTTGAAGTGGTTTTGTTACATTTATGGTGCTTCCTATCTGTATTCTATTTTGGTCATTCTATAAGCTTAAATCTGTCAACATATTGAATATGCCTTATAAATATAATTTGATGTTGAGGATGTGGTTAATTGTTCTAGGTACAAGTGGTAGAAGCCACATTAGAGAGAAAGTCAAAGCATTAGGATAAAAGGTTTTAAGGCCATTATTTTGTGTCTCAGTTACCCAGCAAAAATTTTACTAGTCCATTTTGCCTGAAGGGAACGTTTCAGAAAACATAATTTAGGTGCTTTAGAGCAGTGGTTCTCAAAAAATATAGTCACCAGACCAGTGCTTCAGCGATCTGGGTTTAGCAAACACATCAGGACCTCTCATGCAAAGAGGATTAGTGTAACCATTACCCAGCAGTAGTGGCAACAGGGGAGCCGAGGACAGAAACCTTTTGACCAAAGTAGCCTTGGCAAACTCATTTGTGGCAAAGAAATTTCTTGTTAGCTACCTGCAAAAAATAAACCTTAATTATAATTCTGGCTTTCAGTGACATACATAGAGATACGCTATACTCCTAAAATGTGAAAATACTTAGATAAGACTTCATTTGAATTTGACAGAGTTATGTTTTTATCAGGCATGTTCATTTAATTATTCAATAAAATAATTTAGTTGACATGATTGTTAGTGTGCAGTGTTTGTGTATTATACACTGGGTATAAATCAAACTAATGAATTTGACAGAGATTGCTGCATAAAATGTGTTACTATGAGTTCTAAACACAAATATTGTACTGTAAATATTTTAATCTGAATGAATTACATGTTCATGTATTCATTAGCCATAACATGTTTTTTGAAATTAAAAAGGCAATATCATATTACTGGCTTGAAAGACCTCAGCTTCATATTTTATTGTTTTTTTTTTCTTGCACCTAGATTGATTACACAAGTTTTTTGTTGGTGGTGGTGGTGGTGGTTTTTTTTTTTTTTGAGACAGAGTCTCGCTCTGTCGCCCAGGCTGGAGTGCAGTGGCGCAATCTCGGCTCACTGCAAGCTCCGCTTCCCGGGTTCACGCCATTCTCCTGCCTCAGCCTCCTGAGTAGCTGGGACTACAGGTGCCCGCCACCACGCTCGGCTAATTTTTTGTATTTTTAGTAGAGACGGGGTTTCATCGTGTTAGCCAAGATGGTCTCGATCTTCTGACCTCATGATCCTCCCACCTCGGCCTTCCAAAGTGCTGGGATTACAGGCGTGAGCCACCGCGCCCGGCCTTTTTTTTATTGAGAAAGAGTCTCGCTCTGTTGCCAGCCTGGAGTGCACTGGTGTGATCTTGGCTCACCGCAACCTCCAACTCCCTGGTTCAAGCGATTCTCCTGTCTCAGCCTCTCGAGTAGGTGGGATTACAGGCATATGCCACAGACATTAATTTTTCTTTCTTTTTCTTTTTTTTTTTTTTGAGACAGAGTCTCGCTCTTTCGCCCAGGCCGGACTGCAGTGGCGCTATCTCGGCTCACTGCAAGCTCCACCTCCCGGGTTCATGCCATTCTCCTGCCTCAGCCTCTCTAGTAGCTGAGACTACAGGCGCCCGCCACTGCGCCCGGCTAATTTTTTGTATTTTTAGTAGAGACGGAGTTTCACAGTGTTAGCCAGGATGGTCTCGATCTCCGGACCTCGTGATCCGCCCGCCTCGGCCTCCCAAAGTGCTGGGATTACAGGCGTGAGCCACCGCGCCCGGCCTAGTCATGTATTTTTAAAGGACAATTATAACTTTTTTTCAGCTTGTGAAATATGAAAAATGGCCGGGCGTGGCCGGGCGCGGTGGCTCACGCCTGTAATCCCAGCACTTTGTGAGGCCGAGGTGGGTGGATCATGAGGTCAGGAGATCACGACCATCCTGGCTAACACGGTGAAACCCAGTCTCTACTAAAAATACCAAAAAAAAAAAAAAAAAAAAAAAACTAGTCGGGCGTGGTGGCGGGCACCTGTACTCCCAGCTACTCGAGAGGCTGAGGCAGGAGAATGGCATGAACCGGGGAAGCGGAGCTTGCAGTGAGCCAAGATTGCCCCACTGCACTCCAACCTGGGCAGCAGAGTGAGACTCCGTCTCAAAAAAAAAAAAAGAAAGAAAGAAAAGAAAAGAAACGAAAAAAAAAAATGGCCAGGCACAGTGGCTCAGACCTGTAATCCCAGCATTTTGAGAGGCTGAGGTGGGCGGATCACGAGGTTAGGAATTCGAGACCAGCCTGGCCAACAAGGTGGAACCCCGTCTCTACTAAAAATACAAAAATTAGCCAGGCGTGGTGGTGCATGCCTATAATCCCAGCTACTCAGGAGGCTGAGGCAGGAGAATCGCTTGGACCTGGGAGGCAGAGGTTGCAGTGAGCTGAGATAGCGTCATTGCACTCCAGCCTAGGCGACAGAGCGAGACTCAGCCTCAAAAAAAAAAAAAAAAAAAAAAAAGAAGAAAAGAAAAATATGAGTGATTTTTCCCGGATAATATGAATTTCTTTGTGCCTATATTCTGTCTGGAATTGGTTTGGACTGATCTTTTTATATTCATGATAAAATGCAACTTTTTAATATAGGCTAATGCAAGTGACCTTGACATTGAAAAGGTAGACATTATCAGAAAGTTCAGAGAAAAAGGCAGTGACCAGCTGCAGCAGAACTTCCTTCATAGGCTCTTGAGGCACATCACAAGATAGGTGTGCCTTTTCGTGCTGTGGCTCAGCCAAGATGCCGAGAAAAGAAACTTGCTCATTTACTGGAGACCCTGTCATATGAGTTTACAGCAGTATTTAGTGAACTGAGGGTGCCCATGTGGGATTTTTATGGCCAGACAAAAGCATATTCAAGTGGGTGCTCAAGTGAAAATTGTTAAAAGTCAAACCAATGAGAGCAAAGACACAACATACCAGAATCTCTGGGACACATTTAAAGCAGTGTGTAGGGGGAAATTTATAGCACTAAATGCCCACAAGAGAAAGCAGGAAAGATCTAAAATTGTCACCCTAACGTCACAATTAAAAGAACTAGAGAAGCAAGAGCAAACACATTCAAAAGCTAGCAGAAGGCAAGAAATAACTAAGATCAGAGCAGAACTGAAGGAGATAGAGACACAAAAAACCCTTCAAAATGTCTATGAATCCAGGAGCTGGTTTTTTGAAAAGATCAACAAAATTGATAGACTGCTAACAAGACTAATGAAGAAGAAAAGAGAGAAGAACCAAATAGACGCAATAAAAAATGATAAAGGGGTTATCACCACCAATCCCACAGACATACAAACTACCATCAGAGAGTACTATAAACACCTCTATGCAAATAAATTAGAAAATCTAGAAGAAATGGATAAATTCCTGGACATATACACCCTTCCAAGACTAAACCAGGAAGAAATTGAATCCCTGAATAGACCAATAACAGGCTCTGAAATTGAGGCAATAATTAATAGCCTACCAACCAAAAAAAGTCCAGGACCAGACGGATTCACAGCCGAATTCTACCAGAGGTACAAGGAGGAGCTGGTACCATTCCTTCTGAAACTATTCCAATCAATAGAAAAAGAGGGAATCCTCCCTAACTCATTTTATGAGGCTAGCATCATCCTGATACCAAAGCCTGACAGAGACACAACAAAAAAAGAATTTTAGACCAATATCCCTGACGAACATCGATGCAAAAATCCTCAGTAAAATACTGGCAAACCGAATCCAGCAGCACATCAAAAAGCTTATCCACCATGATCAAGTGGGCTTCATCCCTGGGATGCAAGGCTGGTTCAACATACGCAAATCAATAAACGTAATCCAGCATATAAACAGAACCAAAGACGAAAACCACATGATTATCTCAATAGATGCAGAAAAGGCCTTTGACAAAATTCAACAGCCCTTCATGCTAAAAACACTCAATAAATTAGGCATTGATGGGACGTATCTCAAAATAATAAGAGCTATTTATGACAAACCCACAGCCAATATCATACCGAATGGGCAAAAACTGGAAGCATTCCCTTTGAAAACTGGCACAAGACAGGGATGCCCTCTCTCACCACTCCTATTCAACATAGTGTTGGAGGTTCTGGCCGGGGCAATCAGGCAGGACAAAGAAATAAAGGGTATTCAATTAGGAAAAGAGGAAGTCAAATTGTCCCTGTTTGGAGGTGACATGATTGTATATTTAGAAAACCCCATCGTCTCAGCCCAAAATCTCCTTAAGCTGATAAGCAACTTCAGCAAAGTCTCGGGATACAAAATCAATGTGCAAAAATCACAAGCATTCTTATACACCAATAGTAGACAAACAGAGAGCCAAATCATGAGTGAGCTCCCATTCACAATTGCTTCAAAGAGAATAAAATACCTAGGAATCCAACTTACAAGGGATGTGAAGGACCTTTTCAAGGAGAACTACGAACCACTGCTCAATGAAATAAAAGAGGACATAAACAAATGGAAGAACATTCCATGCTCATGGATAGGAAGAATCAATATCGTGAAAATGGCCATACTGCCCAAGGTAATTTATAGATTCAATGCCATCCCCATCAAGCTACCAATGACTTTCTTCACAGAATTGGAAAAAAACTACTTTAAAGTTCATATGGAACCAAAAAAGGGCCTGCATTGCCAAGACAATCCTAAGCCAAAAGAACAAAGCTGGAGGCATCAAGCTACCTGACTTCAAACTATACTACAAGGCTATAGTAACCAAAACAGCATGGTACTGGTACCAAAACAGAGATATAGACCAATGGAAAGAACAGAGCCCTCAGAAAAAATATCACACATCTACAACCATCTGATCTTTGACAAACCTGACAAAAACAAGAAATGGGGAAAGGATTCCCTATTTAAAAATGGTGCTGGGAAAACTGGCTGGCCATATGTAGAAAGCTGAAACTGGATCCCTTCCTTACACCTTATACAAAAATTAATTCAGGATGGATTAAAGACTTAAATGTCAGACCTAAAACCCTAACAACCCTAGAAGAAAACCTAGGCAATACCATTCAGGACGTAGGCATGGCCAAGGACCTCATGTCTAAAACACCAAAAGCAATGGCAACAAAAGCCAAAATTGACAAATGGGTTCTAATTAAACTAAAGAGCTTCTGCACAGCAAAAGAAACTACTGTCAGAGTGAACAGGCAACCTACAGAATGGGAGAAAAATTTTGCAATCTACCCATCTGACAAAGGGCTAATATCCAAAATCTATAAAGAACTTAAACAAATTTACAAGAAAAAATCAAACAACCCCATCAAAAAGTGGGCGAAGGAATGAACAGACACTCCCCAAAAGAAGACATTTATGCAGCCAACAGACACATGAAAAAATGCTCATCATCACTGGCCATCAGAGAAATGCAAATCAAAACCACAATGAGATACCATCTCACACCAGTTAGAGTGGCGATCATTAAAAAGTCAGGAAACAACAGGTGCTGGAGGGGATATGGAGAAATAGAAACACTTTTACACTGTTGGTGGGACTATAAACTAGTTCAACCATTGTGGAAGACAGTGTGGCAATTCCTCAAGGATCTAGAACTAGAAATACCATTTGACCAAGCCATCCCTTTAAGGGGTATATACCCAAAGGATTATAAATCATGCTGCTATAAAGACACATGCACACGTACGTTTATTGTGGCACTATTCACAATAGCAAAGACTTGGAACCAACCCAAATGTCCATCAATGATAGACTGGATTAAGAAAATGTGGCACATATACACCATGGAATACTATGCAGTCATAAAGAGGATGAGTTCATGTCCTTTGTAGGGACATGGATGAAGCTCGAAACCATCATTCTGAGCAAACTATCACAAGGACAGAAAACCAAACACCGCATGCTCTCACTCATAGGTGGGAATTGAACAATGAGAACACTTGGACACAGGGTGGGGAACACCACACACCAGGACCTGTCGTGGGGTGGGGGGAGGGGGGAGGGATAGCATTAGGAGATATACCTAATGTAAATGATGAGTTAATGGGTGTAGCACACCAACATGGCTCATGTATACATACGTAACAAACCTGCACATTGTGCACATGTACCCTAGAACTTAAAGTATAATAAAATAAATAAATAAATAAAAATAAATAAATAAAAACAAAAAAATCTCTGAAGGTTTGGAAACAAACTGGATGGAGCAGATAAAGATGAGTGCTAATTTTGACTTCAACCTTAGTCAGTGGCAATAGATGGTCTATTACTCTA
This sequence comes from Homo sapiens, assembly GCF_000001405.40. Taxonomy (NCBI): domain Eukaryota; kingdom Metazoa; phylum Chordata; class Mammalia; order Primates; family Hominidae; genus Homo; species Homo sapiens. Next base: position 20,597,842 of record NC_000017.11, on the reverse strand, counting down.
ATTGTACCCTTTACCTCTTCTAGGACATTTAGAGAGGTCTCCAGGGGTAGTTACCTTGTTATTTCAATGCAGAGAACAGTAAGTACTTCAGGGAAAATACATGTGAGTATCAATCATGGGGAAAATACTTGAGAGAGTAAAATGTGAATTCGTACATGAAAAAAAAAATCAATACTGAGGCCGGGCGCGGTGCTCACGCCTGTAATCCCAGCACTTTGAGAGGCCGAGGCGGGTGGATGACGACGTCAGGAGAGTGAGACCATCCGGGCCAACATGGCGAAACCCCGTCTCTACTAAAATACAAAAAATTAGCCGGGCGTGGTGGTGCGGGCCTGTAGTCCCAACTCCTCGGGAGGCTGAGGCAGGGGAAGCGCTTGAATCCCGGAGACGGAGGTTGCAGTGAGTCGAGATTGCGCCATTGCACTCCAGCGTGGCAACAGAGCAAGACTGTCTCAAAAAATAAAAAAATAAAAAATCAATACTGAATCCCATATGCTCCTATATTTCTCGTCTGTAATTTTAGTTTCCCTTCTAAACTGTAGGAACTCTGATGAAAGGAACTTTGCATGTTAAATGTATATGCTAGCGCAGTAGTGAACGCAAGGCAGGCCCTTAAATAAGTATTTCTTCTTTATTTTCAGTACCTGACACTAAATTCAGTGGTTGATATATATATATACCCTGAAAAACAGAATTTTGTGAATCACAGGCAAACATGGTAGACTATAATTCATACAGTCTCAAATATGAAACTAAAAAAGTTCAATAATCATTTAAGCATTTTCTTTGTTTATATTTCTAATCACATCATGAGTTTCTAAATTTATCATTTTCACTGAATACAGAAGAAATGAAAAAATATTGTGTTTTGTACAACATATCTATGTACGAATATCTGTTGTAGAATTTATAAATAGACAAATGACAGGCAAAATGTATGCAAAATATTCTGGGCTGGGTGCAGTGGTGCACGCTTGTAATCCCAGCAATTTGGGAGACCAAGGCAGGGGAATTGCTTCAGCCCAGGACTTCGAGCCCAACCTGGGTAACATGGTGAAACCCTGTCTCAACAATAAATACAAAAAAATTACTCAGGCGTGTGCCTGTGGCACATGCCTGTAGTCCCAGCTGCTGGGGGGTGGGGGTCCCAAGGTGTGAGAATCCCTCGATCCTGGGAGGGTGATGCTGCAGTGAGGTGAGATCACGCCACTGCACTCCAGCCTGGGGGACAAAGTGAGACCCTGTAACAACAACAACAACACAAAATAATTTGAAAACAGAATTTCTTTCTTTTTCATGTTTTTTCTCTTGTATCTGGCATGCAGCTAATTTCTTTCTTTTTTATTGTATGTATTCATCGTGTACAACATGTTTTAAAGTATGTATACATTGTGGAATGATTAAATCTAGCTAATTTACAAATGTATTACTGCACATAGTTACCACTTTTGAGTGATAAGAAAAAGCGATTTGAGAACACCTAATATCCACTCTTTTGGCACTTTTTAAGAATATATCATAATTAACTATTATAGTCCCTATGCTGTACAAAAGATCTCTTGAACCAAAACTTCTTTCAAAAAAGGAAAACTACAGTGGAATTTAGGACTACAAACAGACATAACTCATTAATTCAGTTTTTATGTTAGATATAACACTACAGGGAAGTCATAATATTTATCACAACATTTAGGAAGCTTGCTTTTTTCTTATTTTTAAATTGCCTTTAATAGTAAGAATCATTTATTTATTCTCAGATCTTAGATTCGAATTCTACATTTCTTTTCTTTTTTTTTTTGAGACAGAGTCTGGCTCTGTCACCCAGGCTAGAGTGCAGTGGCGCAATCTCGGCTCACTGCAAGCTCCGCCTCCCGGGTTCACGCCATTCTCCTGCCTTATCCTCCCGAGTAGCTGGGACTACAGGCGCCCGCCACTACGCCCGGTTAATTTTTTGTATTTTTAGTAGAGACGGGGTTTCACAGTGTTAGCCAGGATGGTCTCGATCTGCTGACCTCATGATCCACCCACCTCGGCCTCCCAAAGTGCTGGGATTACAGGCGTGAGCCACCGCGCCCGGCCCGAATTCTACATTTCTTAAAGAGAAACACAAAGAGGAAAAGCATAAAAAATTTTCATACCTGATCCATACAGTCTTGTCACTTCTGAGCAGGGAAGAAAACGTAGACTCAAATCAGGTGAAATGTGCTGATACATACAGAACAGGTTATATACATCATAACTGGATCCAGGCTGGGATGAACTGGAAAGTTCAAGCTTCTGATCTCCAAAAGATGATCTGGCAGATCCTGAAAGCAAATGTTTCTAAAGTTTAATAACATCCTATTCTTGGAGTTATTAGCCAACAGCTGGTACACCCAAGGCAAAAGAAAAAAATATTTTGTCTCAAGTAATGCTAAGTCACATGACTTTGATACCTAAAAACATCAGCACATACTTATGGAGTTCTGTGCGAAGGAGTATTATGCCAGGGATCAGCGATGAAGCCTGCACTTAAGACAGTTTGGTAAGTTTCTGGCATTTTTCTTTGCCCCATAGACATTTCTATATTTTGTGATCTGAGTTTCCTCTTATTTTTCTACTTATATATAGAACATCTTTCAAATTAAAACTTTTTTTGGAGATATATCCTTTTCAAGAAGACACAGAATATTTATTAAAATTTACCACATGTTGAGATACACTAAAAACCTCTCAAATTTAAAAGGACTGAAATCATACAAAGTATGTTTTCTTACTACAGAGCAATTAAGTTGGAAATCAAATTGCAAAAATACTTAATAAATGACATTAATATGGAAACACTAAAGACCAAGAATAACCAAAAACTTAATCTTTAAGAAGAAAAACAAGATTGAAAGATTTGCTCTACTGGATATTAATAGAATACTGGTAAGTGATAGAAAAAGAGATCAATGGCAAAGAAGAGAAGGCCCAGAAATAGACACCCATTTTATGAACACTTAATTTATAGTTAAGGTGGCACTGCACAAGAAAGGATGGTCTTTTCACTAAAAAGTGATAAGACAACTGGATATCAATATGGAAAAAAAATAAGCCTTCGGCCGGGCACGGTGGCTCATGCCTGTAATCCCAGCACTTTGGGAGGCCGAGGCAGGCGGATCACGAGTTCAGGAGATCAAGACCATCCTGGCTAACACGGTGAAACCCCAACTCTACTAAAAATACAAAAAAATTAGCCAGGCGTGGTGGCGGGCGCCTGTAGTCCCAGCTACTCGGGAGGCTGAGGCAGGAGAATGGCGTGAACCTGGGAGGCGGAACTTGGAGTGAGCCAAGATCACGCCACTGCACTCCAGCCTGGGCGACAGAGCGAGACTCCGTCTCAAAAAAAAAAAAAAAAAAAAAAAGCCTTCATTCAACCAAACATATTCAGAAAAAATTAGTTCCATGGGCATTGTAGATCTAAATTAAATGTTAAAGGCAAGCCAATAAAGCTTCCATATTTAAGTTAACTTACATGAAAGTTGTCATGACCTTAGGACAAGGAAGCACTTTTTTTTTTTTTTGAACAAGAATTTATTTCTTAAAATTTACTTAAGGGATTAGAGCTAATATAAAATAGAACATTTAATATAACACTTGGAGTTATGTCAACATAAAAATAGCTGTGGTTACAATTAGCACATGCAATTCACTGCAAAGGTAAAAACACATACTGTACTCTAGACAAGGCTTCCAACTGATGTTAGAGTAGGGGGGTAAAACAGCAAGTGAACATGAAAGGATTGCACTTAGAAGAAAGTGGGACATAGCTAGGATATAAAAGAAACATACCTAATGCTAATCACTGCATTGTCCTACTAGCAAATTGCACATTTATTTTTAGAGTATATTCAATACATATATACATTGAGACTAGAGAATTTTCAGATATCTACCTTTAAAATATCCCTTTGGTTCTAACACATCACATTATGGTATTAATGTTAACAGCACTTAAAACCTGTAGTTATCATTCAACGCTTGTGTTCAACAGATTAAAAAAAAATCTGTCACTATTGGCCTTAAATGCATCTCATCACAATCCATCAACTTTAATGAAATGGGTAATGAAGTTAAACTACCCAGTTTATACAAATATTGACTGAGAAAAAGCCCTTAAAAATTTAGGAACAAATGAATGACAGAAGAGCTCACCCTGAGCTGCCACCTTTTAATTTTTAATGCAATGTATATGAGAATATCATGCTAATGCACATACTAGTAGCATGTATGATGGAAAAAATAGGTTAATGCAAAAGATAATACACTTGGCTTTGTAAAGTTTTATTTTGACTTACATCTGTCTGAATTCTGTTTATTGAGTCTGAAAAGGAACTGCTGCCAAAGACCAGTCCAAAGAAGAATTAGGCTGTAAGCCTGCTAGTTTATACCGTCTATGAAATCAATGACAATGCCCAATTTTAGGCTAACCCTAAAACACTTGCCATTTTATGACTCCATATTCTTTCAATTTACAGAAAAGTACAAACTTTTTAAAGAAAGTAATCTTATCAGAGCAATATAATTTAACAATACCTATAATAGAAAGCTATCCCAGTAAATTTTTTGAACAATTGAACTTTTGTCTCATGTAGCTTTTAACTTTGATATTTTATTCATCTCAACAAAATAAAACTTTATTGAAACAAAAGTGTATGGTTTAGGAATATGCTCTTAATAACAACTGAGCAAAATTAGAATGATGTGGACTATAACAGAATGAAGGAAGATCTCTCCTGCTTGATGTACTTGGTCAATATATGTTAGTAAACAGAAATATTTTAGGGAATTCCATATGATTATTCTACTTCTACATTTACACGTCATGGTTTTAACTAGTTAAATGGGTAGAAAAAAGACATCTTTAATAATTGATGTCTACTTCTCAAACTAGATGCTCTACTTTAAATATGAGCTTTAATAAATGTTTTGTAACATTTTTAAGTTGTAACATTTGTAAGTATACTCCACTCATCTTTAACTTCACAATAAGAGCTAGGGTCATCGGATGACTTCATGTGGTAAAACCCCTTATGAAGGAATAAGGCTGAAATTAAATGAACAATTAGGTACTGAAGAGATATGAACACAGAACATATGAATGAAATTTCCTTTTTTTCCTTGCTGCTCTGTTCCTGAGTGCTGATTGATCTGTAATAAAAAAGGATAGGATTAAAATTTTAGGTTTTAATGGTACAAAGTGTGAAGTCTTGTAGTTTTCTAATAATTATTCAGTATTATCCGCTTCAGAGACGAGGGTAGGATACCACAGACATCAGTAACTGACAAGTCATAATATCAACACATGTAACATTTGGGTCCTTTTTTTTTATAACCCTAAGGGGAGGAACTGCAGTTGCAGAAGCAGTGAGTGAACTAGTTTTGTCCACACAAGGTTTTCTGATGTGCTAGTATTACTTTAAACACCACTTTTAGACACTAAAGATTCAAAGTGATAAAGCCACTCACTTTATTAGACTAGTTTTTTACATAAATAACCAGATGTTTCTTTGCCTACCTAAAATACAATTTACATACATCAACACGTAGATTACTCTAAGACATGCTCGGGAAAGTAATTTTGAATGTAAAACAAGTTTTATGATTTATTTTCTCCTTAGGGCAGAAGATGTACATTACATATTAGTGCTCAAATATATGTTCATTTCCAGAATGAATTTTTGCACAGTAATCATATATCCATTTAATATGTATAAAGTGTTCTTGGGGATGGGGGCATTCACTCACTGTACCATGTTTTATACAGGCTTCAACATGCAAATTTGTTTATATCATGGCTTTCAATGATCCTCCATTCTCATTCCCGTAGATAAAGAGGTCACATTGTATAACTGACCCTGAAATGTACAAACTTCACACTATAACATTCTTCATGACACTATTTGTTAGGAGAAAAGTTGCAGCTAAACATTACAATCATGTGACTTATTTTGAGAAAATGGAAAATGTAATAGGTATAAATTTCCTGACACATACAGCAAGACAAATCCAGCCCAGCCTTTGATGATCAACTTAAACGCTGGCGATGTCATTATCTTGTGTGAATTTGGGTCTGTCCCTACCTCTACTTCTCTGTGCCTGATTTTCCTCATCTACTTTGAATTCATCATTCTATTAATCCACTTTTGCCTAAGTGGGAAACTGAATATATCAGAATAAAGCATCTACTTTTTTTCATAAAGAAGATCATATAATATGTGAAAGAACTTTGAAGGATCAGGCATTATATCAATGCAAGAATATAAAAGATAAACAGGAAGTCTAATCTGAATAATATTCTGAGAGTAAAAAGTGTAATTATATTTCAATTGTAAATGTATACCAAGTTTTCTTAGCTTTCTATTCTCCAATAACCTCTAGAAACTATTCTTTTTTTTTTTTTTTTTTTGAGATGGAGTCTCACTCTGTCGCCTTAGAAACTATTCTAAGCATGCCGGTTTCTGTAACTTAAATATGGCATAAAAACCTGTTTCCTTTGAATTCACTTGATAGCAGTAGTCAAACACTAATAATGCTTGCTAATTTCCTCTCACTTTCTTAAGAAAGCCCCTATATTTAGCCTCTGCCTCCATGTCGCATGTGGTGGTTAGGTGACAGCATAAGTACACTAGTGGCTTTAGCACTAAACTCGAGGCCTGGGTCACTTCTCCCCTGAAGAAGAAAGGTTTAAAAATTCCTAAATCACAATGTAGAACTAAGTTACACCCTACCTCAGAACTGCAGATATTAAAATACCATCTCTTTATTAAATGTCTCTACAATAAGGATATTTGCTAAGATCAAGATGTACAATTTTTTGGGTTCTGTTTTGTTTTGGTAAATATTGCCCAAGTCTTTTTAGTTTGCTTCAAACATTTACTAAAAATAAAAAATTTTAAATCTTTGCCTACTTAAAAATAAAAAAAAATACTCAAAACAAATTTAAGCTGAAGATATATACTGTATAAAGTGCTTCATCTACCTAATTCTCTGAAGTCTTTTTTTTTCTGTGTTTTAAGACTTTATCATTGAAAAAAGAAGAAATTAGAGAAGGGAGGTGGGGGGGACAGGAGGGTGAAGGAATCTCTCCAAAATGTCAGATCCGGGCGACCCTCCTTCCCTGACTGCCCAGCCACCCTGTCCCTTCTCTGTCCTGGCGGCGAGGCCCTAGCTGCCATCTTCTGGGGACCAAGGCCCAGGAGCCCAGCTCGGGTCCCAGGCAGAGGTGAAGGCAGAAGCGGGGCTCAGGGCCTGGAGGCCTTGCCGGTGTCTTTGAGAGCCCCTTGGGTGGGCACTCAGGCCCCCATGTCCCAGCAGGGCCCTAGGGAGGTAGGCGTTGAGGGGAGAGGCCTTTGGAGGTGGGGTCCTGAAGCCGGAGGACCAGGCGGGAACCAGAGCCAGGTGTGAGGCTGGGGGTCACAGCCGGAGGCTGGGTCTCTCCCGCATCAGCCTCTATAGATAATGCCATTCTCCTTCCAAGTTCAAACTCATCCCCACTGATGCTGGAGGCCGGAAGGCCACGTGTGGCTCTGTCTCGGTATAGCCCCCGATGGGCTGGCCCTCTGGGCTGAAGGCTGCACCCTGCCCTATGCGGTTGGATTGATCGATCATAGGTTGCACCATGCGTCTCCGGGCATTAATGAACCAGTTGTTGACTTGCAGGATGGTGAGCCCCGTGTCCTGCACCAGCTGTTTCTTCTGCTCCTCCGAGGGGTACGGGTGCCAGAGGTGCTGGAACAACCAGGCTCGCATGATGTTGGTGGCCACCTTGGGGAAGATCCCCCTCTTCTTGTTTCGCCGTGGCTCCTGGTCCAAGTCCTCATCTTCTCCACCAGAACTGGGAGAGGCCACGCTGGTGTCCAGCCCGACTCCTTGGTCACTGGAGTTGTCCCCACTCTGGGAGGCCAGGCCCCCGCTGGATGGACCTGGGGTCCCCAAATGTACAGACCCGCTATCCTCATGGTCTCGAATCCATATATTATTCTGGTCTGGGAGGCTGAGGCAGGAGGCTGGGTAGTCCTCGAAGTCCTCCCTGCAGCCGCCATCCCGATCCTCGATGACCAGGTCGATGGGCATCTTTCCCTTCTCCAGCTCCAGCAGGTGGAACCGCAGCACTTGGATGGCCTGGATCATCAGATTGTCCAGTTCTGGGTTGGAGGAGAAGAAGGGCCTCTCAGAGCGAACCTGCTTGGCGAAGGCAGTGTTGTCCTCGTTGAAGGAATCAGAGGAGCAGACGTCGCCGCCGCGGGGTGTCCCCAGCCCAGCTCCGGCCCCATCACGGGGAGAGCATGTAGCCAGTTCACATTTCTCAAAGACCAGGGCCAAGAGGGGGAAGAGCGGGTGTCCATAGATCTCATCCTTGTCCCTCTTCAGGCCGTCGCTGTCCAAGCCTGGGGGTAGGGGCTGGGGAGGCCGGTGAGGGCCATAGGGCCCTGGTGCCGCGGGCACTGCCTCTGGGAAGCCAGCCAGGGCTGCGGGGCCATCCGCGATGCTTGGGTAGTGCGGCAGCTCATCGTACCTCCGGGCCATGGGCTGAGGCCGGCGGCAGTTCCAGGGTCCCTCCAGAGCCTGGCCGGGGGGTAGGGCGCAGCCCGGGGCCGCAGACCCCTACGGCCCGTGATGTCGACGCCAGGGGGTGGGCAGGAGGCCAGACGCGCGCCCCCCAGCCCCCGCCGCCGTCAGCGGCAGGCGCCGGGCCGGGTGGGGGCTCCGCGCATGGATCCCGGCCCCGGCCCCCAGCGGGGGTCACGGCCAGGAGCGCATTGCCGCCGGGACGGGGCAGCAGGCGCGGGCGGGGCGCCCGAGGCCCCCTCCCCTGGGCGCCCCCGTCCCTCCCCCGGCTCTGCGGGGAATCGAACCGTCCCCAGACCCACAGACCTGGGACCGCGGGGGGCGGGGGGCGGCCCGGGGCGGCGGGGGTCCGGCGGCGGCTCGGGGGTGCTGGTGGCCGCGCTCCGCGTTCCCGGTCTCTCCCTCTCTGTGGTCACATCCGGAAGTTCCACCCTCTGAAGTCTTAAGAAAGGTCAATGATGTGTGTGTGTGTGTGTGTGTGTGTGTGTACACACACACAATTTAAGCCTTTACAAATGGCAATTTTTTAGATGATTTATGGGTTTTTTCCCCCTTTACTACTACAATTTAAGCCTTTAAAAAATGGCAATTTTTTAGATGCTTGAGATAGTTTGGGGGATCCCTAGCTCTTAATCGTGGCACTCTGTTGAGTTTGTGAAATGGATCTTCAAAGAGGTTGTCAATAATAACCAAATTTTTGAAACGAGTCAGATTACTAATTATTGATGAATAAAAAATGAGTACTTTTAGGCTAGGTGCAGTGGCTCATGCCTGTAATCCCAGCGCTCTGGGAGGCCGAGGCGGGTGGATCACGAGGTCAGGAGATCGAGACCATCCTGGCTAACACAGTGAAACCCCGTCTCTACTAAAAATACAAAAAATTAGCCAGGCGTGGTGGTGGGCGCCTGTAGTCCCAGCTACTCGGAAGGCTGAGGGAGGAGAATGGTGTGAACCTGGGAAGCGGAGCTTACAGTGAGCCGAGATCGTGACACTGCACTCCAACCTGGGAGACAGAGTGAGCCTCCGTCTCAAAAAAAAAAAAAATGTGGTAATATTTGAAATTGCTAAGACAGCAGATTTTAAATGTTCTCACCAAACACACACAAAAAGATAAGTATTGATTGGCCAGGCACAGTGGCTCATGCCTGTAATCCCAGCACTTTGGGAGGCCGAGGTGGGTGCATCACGAGGTCAGAAGCTTGCCAAGATGGTGAAACCCCATCTCTACTAAAAATACAAAAATTAGCCTAGCGTGGTGGCAGGCGCTTGTAATCCCAGCCACTCAGGAGGCTGAGACAGGAGAATCGCTTGAACCTGGGAGGCAGAGGTTGCATTGAGCCGAGATTGCACCATTGCACTCTAGCCTGGGTGATAGAGGGAGACTCCATCTAAAAATAAAAAAATTAAAAAAAAAAGATAAGTATCTAAGCTAACTGATATGCTATGTCAGTTGATTTAGCCATTCTATAATGTATGTCTGTGGCTATATAGATATACACAGATTTAACTATTCTACAATGCGTGTCTGTGTGTGTGTATATATGTATAATGTGGTACACCACAAATACACACAATTTATCAATTAATTTTTTTAATTCCAAAGATTTTTTTGACTAATATACAACCCAACCACAAGTTTAAGAGCATTCTAATTAGATGTCCTTTCCAATACCTGATTTTGTCAGTCTTTCTTTTATATATTCTGGTTAGTGGGTAATGTTATTACATTTTTATTGATTTTGGTCTTCTAATTATTAAAATGCCTGAGACCATTTTCATATATGTTTATTGAAAATGTATATAATCAGGCTGGGCACGGTGGCTCATGCTTGCAATCCCAGCACTTTGGGAGGCCAAGGCAGGCAGATCACTTGAGGTCAGGAGTTTGAGACCAGCCTGGCTAACATCATGAAAACCTGTCTCTACTAAAAATACAAAAAAATTAGCCGGGCTTGCTGGTGGGAGCCTGTAATCCCAGCTACTCGGGAGGCTGAGGCAGGAGAATCGCTTGAAGCCTGGAGTCGGATGTTGCAGTGAGCCGAGAACTTACCATTGCACTCTAGCCTGGGCGACAAGAGCAAAGCTCTGTCTCAACAAACAAGCAACCAACCAACCAACCAACCAACCAAACAAACAAAAAGTAGCTTCTTGGTTGAAAGGCTGAGGTGGGAGAATCCACCCGGGAGGTGGATGTTGCAGTGAGCCAAGAACGCGCCACTGCTCCAGGCTGGGCGCAAGAGCGAAACTTCATCTCAAAAAACCAAGCCAAAACAAAACAAAACAAAAAAGAAAATCTATATAATTGTATTTTCAGGGATCTGTGCAATATTTTTTTTTTTTTTGAGACAGTCTAGTAGCTCTGTTGCCAGGCTGGAGTGCAGTGGTGCGATCTGGGCTCACTGCAACCTCCACCTCCCGAGTTCAAGCAATTCTCTTGCCTCAGCCTCCCGAATAGCTGGGATTACAGGCACGTGCCGCCATGCCCAGCTAATTTTTTTTTTTTTTTTTTGAAATGGAGTCTCGCTCTGTCGCCCAGGCTAGAGTGCAATGGCACGATCTCGGCTCACTGCAAGCTCCGCTTCCCGGGTTCACGCCATTCTCTTGCCTCAGCCTCCCGAGTAGCTGGGACTACAGGGGCCCGCCACCACGCCCAGCTAAATTGTTTGTATTTTTAGCAGAGACGGGGTTTCTCCATGTTGGCCAGGTTGGTCTTGATCTCCTGACCTCATGATCCGCCCACCTCGGCCTCCCAAAATGCTGGGATTACAGTCATGAGCCACCACGCCTGGCCAAGACTACTCTTTAATTCCCAAGGCCAGCCACTGTGGTTTGAGCATGTGCAACAGCCTGTGCTCGGGTTGATGCCCCACATTCCCATGGTTATCCAAAAGAGGCCCTCAGACTCACAGTGGCCATTATTAATACTCTGAGGTTCAGCAGCGGTGGCAACTGAAAATCTACAAGCATCAGAAGAAAGAAGTGCTGCAGAGGGGAACCACAACCATCACAAACCTGGAAGGCTGGGTGGGCCACCCCCTGGATCCCATCGGCTGCCTGTTTCTCACTTTGACTGAGGCCTGCCTCCTGAATGATGACAGGTATCTAGATACGAATGAAAGCAGACCCCCTGTGTACCAACATGTACCTGTGGCTGTAAGCTCCCCAAACAGCAGTGAGTCCTACTTGTCATTGGCCCTGGAGGCTGCATCGATGGGCCTGGGTCACAGAGGGTAATGCCTGAAGGCTCCTATGCACAGGACAAGGTGTGCCGTAATGAGGAGCAGCTCCTCAGCCACCTCCAAGAGCTGCAATTGGATGATGACCCAGTGCAAACACTCCAAAAATAGTGCATCTTGCTGCTGGAAGGGGACCCTTTCAGGGATCTGGGAGAAGTCATCCACCGAGAGAGCGTTTCCATGCATACCTCTGCCAAGTATTTGTTCTCAGCTCTGCTGTCTCGTGATCCAGACCCTGCCTATAAATTAGGCTTACGTGTATAAGGTTACCCGTTTTAGAAAATTCAGGTTGTGCAGGCGACACATCCCTCACTCACTGTATGGTGTCCCCGGTGCCCAGCCATTATCCTCCCTGGTTCTTGCTTGGACACTTGGAATCACAGCGGTGGGAACTGGCCTCCACCATGCTGACTGCTGCCAAAGGAGACACTTTGAGGCTCTGAACAATTCTGGAAGCAATGCAGAAGCACATTCGTTCTTCCCCCCTCATCTTCAAACTGGCCCAAAATGCGTTCAGGATTGCTACTCCCACTAACAGTACTGACAGCACCCTGCTCAACGTGGCCCTGGAACCTGGGTTACAGGTGATGCGATGACCTTATCATCCCTTAACTGGAGACGCGGAGAGATGGTATGATGGTTGGTGACCTGTGCTACAGAAGTGGGTATCGCCCACCTCCCTCTACTCCCACGGGAAAGGAGTTTCTATACCCTACTCTTGGGACAGGACAACGAATCCTTGGAGCTCTCATATTCCTATTCCTGATGGCCTAAGAAAGGATGCGGCTGCTGGTGGGAGAAGATAGCCTCTGTTCAGCCAGCCCAAGTTCTGTCCTCACTGCTTAAACCAACCACATGCTGATGTCAGCAGCACTTTGACCCTCTCATCAGAGACATGTCTAAGAGAATGAATTTTCAGCTGCCAATACTCAAGTGTGCCCTTGGGAGGTAGTGGGCCTGGTGGTTTGGTCCCCGTCCCTGTCCATGCTTGTGAGAAACTCCAGACACCTTGGAGGCTCAGGACCCTTTCTAAAGCCCAAAGCCCCAGCACAAGACTCTACCCTGACAGGCCCCACTTCAGCTAGAACCCCTGGCAGATCTGCAACCCTGGCCTTGGGTTAAGCAAACCCCAGGATCTACTGCTCCATCCTTGTGAGGGGCTGAGAGCACCTGCAGAAACCTTCAACCCTCTGACCTGGGTAAGGAAGGGATAGGAAGAGACCCCAAACAAGGTTTGGCCATCTGGGATGCTTCTCTTGCCCTGGTTTGCCTCAGATCATGTCAAGGTTGCTGAGGAGGAGGGAGAACTCATCTCTGCAGGCCAAGTTCAAACCCCACACGGTAATCTGGGCCGACCTGAATCAGGACTGAGATGGCCACGGCTGAGCTCAGGCTCTCCCCGACAGGTGTGTGGGCCTCAGGGAGCATCTTGCAGAGCTGGCACACACTCTTCACCCCTACTGAGGCTGCTAGCATTGTAGCTGCCACAGCCGTATCCCACACCACTATCCTGCGCCTCAGTCTTGACTATCCACAGCGGGAGGAATTGGCCAGCTGTGCTTGCACACTGGCCCTGCAGTGTGCTACGAAGCATCCACAGAGCTGTGCCCTGTCAGCCCTTACACTCTGTGAGAAAGACCACATTGCCTTTGAGGCAGCCTGCCAGATTGCCACCGAGGCTGCTGCCGGTGGCATGACCCATTCACAGCTGTTCACCATTGCCTGCTACGTGGAGCTCCAGGGCTACACGCTCCACGCCTTCAAGCTGGTCTCATTGGCCATGAGCCATCTTCACCTGGCTCATAACCAGGATACCCACCCAGCCATCAGTGATGTGCTCTGGGTTTGTGCCCTCAGCCACTCTCTGGGCAAGAATGAGCTGGCAGTTCTCATCCCCCTGGTGGTGAAGAGTGCGCACATTGCCATGGTGCTTTCAGACATCCTGTGTGCGAGGCTGCACGGTGACTGCACCTGGCCTGGCCGGCACCCCGGGCCACCACAGCTCTGGAAAGCTCATCTCCACTGACAGAGCTCCATGGCACCAGTTGCTGATGCAATGCTTACATCAACACCACACACTACACCTAACACACATTAGCCATTGCCAGTATGGACAGTTCATTGAGTTTCTAAGCAAGGCTCGGGAGACCCTCCTGCTGCCTTAGGATGGCTACCTGCAATTTGCCCTGTTCATCAACAACCACAAACGATCTACAAAGGCAAGAAAAAGCTGATGCTGCTGGTTCGAGAGCCCTTTGACTGAGAAAGCAGATAGCTCACCGGCCCGGCAGCCTGGGTCCCCAGGTAGTATCAGGTCAGGCCAAAAACACTGAAACATTTGTCCACCCTGGGAGGACTCTGAGCACCTGTGGCTGAGGCCAAAGGACCACAGGGCTAAGGATGGGGAGAGTCCAACTCCAGTCGGTATGCATACCTTGGCAAGCTTCTCACTACAGCCCACTGTTCGTGGAGAAGCTGGGCCTTGCAGATCGACCAGAAACCCCCACGATATGCCACCTTATGCCCCTACGTCCTGAGTGTCCTGGGCATTGGCCCTGTCTCCCTTGGCAAACACAGAACACTGTTCCATCTCAGAGATTGCTTCACCAGAGAAACAGATGCATTTAAGGTACTGTAAGTACTATAGTATATGTGTTGCCAATTACTGTAAAGTCGTAAGTATTTATAATTTTGGTTCTGATTTGCTGGGCACTTGAGGTAGCTGTGGGTGGGAGGGTATGCTTATTGTCCGAGGAGACTCACAACCATTTCTCAGGTTTCCCTTGCAGAGTGTGTGCCGTTACCAGTGGGATAGTGGGTGTGCCAAGGAGAAAAATGGCCAGTTAGAAAAAAATCCCAAGACTAGTCTATGCAGAATCTCTCGCCTACAGACAGGGCATTAATAGCCCAGTGGTGGGTGAGCAGCAGAGGCCAGGACTGGACTCAGACTTTTGCCTCACAAAGCTGTGAGGACTCTGAAGGTCCTGCCCCTGCCTCACACAGCCTCGCCAGGAGTCTGCTGAGCACCTTTGAAACAAGAGCAGGGAAAAGATGAAGGTCTGGGAAGCCACTGAGCTCACAATATTCATCTACACTGATCACCTTTGTGTTAGAAAGTGTGTGTATGTGCATGACTGAGTACATGTGTCTATGTGCATAGATATATCTGCGCGTGCCTGTCTGTATGTGCACATTATATGTTGATGTGTATGTATGTCAGTTCTATGGCTGTGTACCTGTGTGGATATGTGCACACTGGAATGTGGGTCTCTGTGTGAGGATGTAACATTTGCACACATGTGAGGGTGCATATCTATGTGTAAATGCTGTCATGTTTTGCATGTTTAGTGTGTGTGTATCTGGGCACACAGGAGTGCATGTGTAGAGATATGCGTCTGTGTGTATGCTTGCTCTCCATGCATCTGTGTTTTTATATGTGTAACTGAGCATATTTCTACATGTAGGGATGACTGCGTGTCCATCTTTGAGGATCTGCATGAATGTGTCCTTTTTGCGAGATTTCTCTTCCCATTCGTCTTAAATCTCTCTCACTAGTTAAATGTTTGTTCCCCATTTCTGTGCCTCCTCTATTTATTCCCTCTCACCAAACAAGCTTCTAAGCACCGGTCTCCCTCTGCCATCAGATTGGCTGCTTTCACTGCACATTTCCCTTCTCGCCCCGTACTTGCTTTCTTCCCCTGCCTTTCTACGTCAAGCTTCCTCTGCCTGCTTTTGTCACAGTCTCATTGCGTGCTGACTTGGAGGCTAGGGCTGGTCTGCACTTAGCCTCTCCCTTCTTAATTTCTAGCCCTAATGAGCAGCCCTGTCTTAGCCCTGGCTGACCTCCACAGTGTATCATCATGTTCCTGCTACCTTCCTGACCCCTATGCTCAGCCTGGAATTGTTGTAGGAGATAGCAAGGGCATTCAGAAGAGTCAGTTGGTTACCAGTGCCTTTGTGTTTACTCTTTTACATGTTAGATCCTGAGTTGGGGGTGGGGTTTGATAAGGAAGAGGTGGTATAGCTAGAATGCGAACTAAGAACTTCTCCATCTGCTTTACTTTTTCTTTTGTTGACAAACTGTCACCTTTTCTACTCCAAACTGAGCAAGAAGTTGTATTTGCCGTATGTAGCTACTCAAGTCCTACTGCCCAGCCAAGGGTCCCTACAATGTCTCAGCCCAGTTGATTGGTTAAAAAGAGAGAGAGAGAGGGAGGTCACTCTCATTTTTGTATCGCAATTGTCCTTCTTTTTAGCAAGTGTGTGAACTCACAGTGCTTTCTATGAATAAACCATGGATCACATGAAAGAGCATTTTTCTTAAAGAAAACAAAAATTGTCTAAATTTTTGTTTAGACAATTTTGTTTAGACAATCCCCAGAGGGGACCAGCAAATACTTAATAGAAGATTATAGATTTCCTGTGAGTGCATATGGCTCGGGGTGACCTGATTCTATAAAGCAAATGTTATTGTCCTCCTCAAATTCATGCGTTGGATTCTATGTGATGGTATTTGGGGGTGGGGCCTTGGAAGGTGATTCGGTTCATGAAGGCAGGGACCTCATGAATGGAATTGGTGTCCCTATCAAAGGGACTGCAGAGAGCTCCCTCACCCCTTCTGTCATGTAAAGACACAGTAAAAAGATGGCTGTCTATGAACCAGGAAGCCAGCCCTCTGCAGACACGGAATCTGCTGACCATTTGACCTCGGATTTTACCATCTCCAGAACTGTGAGAAATCAATTTTCTATGCTACCTAGTCTATGGCATTCTGTTTTGACACCCAGATTAGCTAAAGTACCAGCATGTCAATTTGCACACATAATTCTTGGAAACTCTGATGCCAAATCCTTGATGGCAAAAGGTGATTGATCTGCCGGAGACATGAGCCTACATCATCCCTCTTTCCACAATAAACCAGAGAGTCAAAACAGGCAAGAGTGGGTCAAGGTCTTCTAAAAGCCATACCTGAAAGGTTTCCAATAACAGATGACTCGATGGTAATTCAGCCACACAAACAACCACAACAAAAGACACAACTATCCGAGATTTTCAGGATAGCCTCAAAAACACCATCTAACATTAGGGAGTTCAAAAAGGTGAGAAGTTTCAGAAATCAAACTTTATTTATATTTCATTTCATAAACTTGTAATTCTAACACTATTAATAAATGCTAGGGCAGGTGGTGGCATGGAGAGCCTGGAGCACAACAGCTGTCTTTAAAAGCTTTCCTTGCTGTACCCTTTGGAGCCACCTCCTGGTCCCCTCAACCCCTGCCCACCTGTTAAGAGCCCGTTCGGGGCAGCACATTAGGGGCAAACAGCCTGGATGCCCAGTTGCAGACACACTTCCATGCCTGGAGGAGAAGATTGCGTCTGAGAGCAGGAGGAGCTGCTGGAACTCTTCTTCCCAGCCTTGTTTTAATGCTCTTGAGCATCACCTTCACAGAGATATACCCCACCAGAATTAGCACAATAAACAGGCCCTGCAGCAGCAGGGCTGTGGTTCCGGCGAATGAGAGAAGCCTCTCTCCAGCGAGGTACAGGAGTCCAGTCTGAATGCCCTGGTCTCCGCCTCCATGTTTGCCACCATGCCCAGGACTAGGGGCAGCATGGGATCTGCTGGCTGGGGCTGTGCTTGTCACCCCCTCCCTCCCACTTCTCTCTCCAGCCACGTTTTCAGCTCCAGCATTAAGGCCAGTGGCTACAGTAGGTGCCATGATTTCAGGCAGCTCCTGGCTGGGCTGGTCCTTGGCTGGAGCTCCCTCCACCTCCAGCGCTCTCTCTGGAGGGGGCTCTTCCCATGCTGGCTTTGGCTCGACAGCCGGTGCCGCAAGTGCTGCTATGTCTGCGTACGGACCAGGAGCTGAAAAAGGAGAAAGGGTCACCAGCATCAGTCACTTTCCACTGGAATTTCCAAACACAGAGACAACCTCACTGAATTCAAAGGCATTCCAGCCCAAAAGCACCGCCCCCGCAAAGTCTTCCAGGCTGCAGCCACCTCACCATGTGTCTGTGCCTCCATGGGCTCCCGAATCTCCTCCTGGACAAGGACAATGTGCAGAGGCAGCCCCGATGGGATCTCTGGTGTGGCCTGGCCAGCTAGGGCCTGCCCCGGGCTGTCCTGTGGTACCTGGGTGCGCCTTCTTACAAAGGGCCACAGGCGTCTGGGGTGAGGGATGAGCCTTCTTCGGCATTGTCGGAAAAGGCTCTCACTCCCTCCATTCCTGAAGCAGCAACCTCTCGAAGTGGGGAAGCAACAGGAGAACATCTTGCTCTCTTGAGCGTCTCCCACAAAGTGAGCTGGTTACGGCGCTGACTCTAGGATATGGGTGCCTGGTTACCAGAGTTCTAAGTTCTCTTCGTGTGTGTCATCATCGAGGAAGTGAGGTCGCTTCTTTACGGTTCTGTCCCCTAGGCCCCTTCCTTCCATAAGCCTACTCAGGACTCCACTGGGTTACTGACTACTCACCCTCCCCTCAGGTCATCTCCTGACCCGTACACAGTTATGTCCACCCAGGCTCTGCTTGGACACCTGTGCCTGATGTTCACCAGGGGCCAGATGTCGTCCTCAGGCCTGATGTCCACCTGGGGCCTGATGTCTGCCTTGGCCTATGTCCCTCTTGGGGCCTTGTGTTCACCTGGGGACTGTATCCAGCTGGGGCCTGATGGCCTACTGGGTCTTGTTGTTCACCTAAGGCCTTGTGTCCACCTGGGGACTGGTGATCACCTGGGGCCTGGGTGTCCACCTGAGGCCGGAGGTGCACCTAAGGCCTGAGTTTTCACCTGGGCCTGATGATCACCTGGGGACTGGGTGTGTGCCTTGGGTCTTTTCCCTTTTCCTGAACAGGGCTTGCAGTTTCCAAACCAGACACAATCTCCCAGTTGGAGAAAGAAAAAGGATCCTAGATGATAGTGAGACAAATTTCAGGAAACTCCATCCAAATAAGTAAATGAGAATGAGGACAGGATTCATTGTAAGTAACATTCTCAGGTGGTGTTCCAAAGTTATCTTTTGCCTGGGTACAGTGGCTCACACCTGTAATCCCAGCTCTTTGGGAGCCCAAGGTGGGAGGATCACTAGAGGCTAACAGTTTGAGACCAGCTTGGGCAATGGAGTGAGACCCCCATTCTGAAAAAAAAAAATCAAAAAATTTAACAGGCATGGTGGCATGTGCCTGCAGTCCCAGCTACTCAGGAGGCTGAGGTGGGAGGATCGCTTGAACTCAGGAGTTGAAGGCTGCAGTGGGTGAGGATCACAACACTGAATTCCAGCTGAGGTGACAGAATGAGACCCTGTCTCTCTAAAAAACAAGCAAGCAAACAAACCAAAAACCACAAACAAACCAGACCCCTCTTAGCAGAATACTTCCATGAGGTAATAAAAGGTATGTACCAAATGCCTACAACAAACATATGTCATGATGAAATGTTAAATGCTTCCCATGGAATTAGGTTCAGGACAAGGTTCCATCCACCATCGCATTTGAATCCCACGTTGCACAGTGTAAAGGGGCCTGCCCAAGGTCATAACATTGCACACTGGGTAAGTCAAGAGAACCCAGTACAGCACTTTAGATCCTTCATTATAGTTTTGTTCTAAAACTGCTCCTGTTATCTTTTGGACATGAGTCTCTTAAGTATTATCATTTGAATTCACGTATACTAGTTCATTTTCACACTGCTCTAAAGAATACCTGAGACTGGGTGATATATAAGCAAAAGAGGTTTAATTGGCTCACAGTTCTGCATGGCTGCGAAGGCCTCAGGAAACTTACAATCATGATGGAAGGCAAAGGGGAAGCAGGCAATTTCTTCACAAGGCAGCAGGAGAGAGGGGAGAGCAGGGGAAACTGCCACTTATGAATCCATCAGACCTCATGAAAACTCACTTACTATCATGAGAAGAGCATGGGGCAAACCACCCCCATGATCCAATCACCTCCCACCAGGTCCCTCCCTTGACACATGGGGATTAAAATTCAAGATGAGATTTGGGTGGGGACACAGAGCCAAACCATATCATTCTGACACTGGTCCCTCCCAAATCTCATGCCCTTTTCACATTTCAAAACCAATTATGCCTTCCCAACAGTCCCCCAAAGTCTTAACTCATTCCAGCATTAACCCAAAAGTCCAAGTTCAAAGTCTCATCTGAGACAAGGCAAGTCCCTTCCACTTACGAGCCTGTAAAATCAAAAGCAAGTTAGTGACTTCCAAGATGCAATGCGGGTACAGGTACAGGCATTGGGTAAATGTTCCCATTCCAAACGGGAGAAATTGGCCAAAACAAAGGGGCCAATGGGCCTCATGCAAGTCCAGAATCTGGTAGGGGAGTCATTAAATCTTAAAGCTCCAACATTATCTCCTTTGACTCCATATCTCACATCCAGGGCATTCTGATGTGTGCTCCCAAGGTCTTGGGCAGCTCTGTCCCTGCGGCACTGCTGTTTTTACAGGCTGGCATTGAGTGACTGCAGCTTTTCCAGGCACATGGTACAGCTGTTGATGGATCTACCATTCGGGAGTCTGGAGGATGGTGGCCCTCTTCTCACAGCTCTGCTAGGCAGTGCCCCAGCGGAGACCCTGTATGGGGGCTCCAACCCCACATTTCACTTCTACCCTGCTCTAGCAGAGGTTCTCCATGAGGACTCTGCCCCTGTGGCAGACCCAAAATTATATATATCATTATAGTTGATATTCTGAGGTAGAGATAAAAGAAGCTATCAGTTTGATTAGGAGGTTTGGGTTTCGCGTTTTCTATGGTAATGTAAAAAGGCAGGAGGATTAGTATGTTACAAGTTCACTGCAATTACAAATCAGTTTCTGTGCATATAAGAAAGCACAAAATCACAGACCTAAGGTCTTGATAGATATGAAAGCAACCCTATATGATATCATGCCCACATCTTTACCTCAAACTCTCACCTAAAATTACTAGTGAGGACTTTTTTGTCCTGCTGTTAGTATTTGATAATTCTAGCTAGCATGCAATAAGATATCGATACATGAATAGTAACTTGATTTTATAATATTAATAACAGCTTAATTTTAAACATTTATGTTGTGCCTTGTACTCTATGGAAAATGTACACTTTCCTTTTTTCTCTAAATTAGGTTTAATTTATTTCAGAAGTTTCTAGATTTTATTGTCTCTATTTAGCCAAAGCCATAAGAAAAGTCAAATTCATATCTTTAAATGCTTTCATTATCAATCAAGAAAGAAGAAAGTGAAACGAACAAACAATTTTACTCAAGAAACTAGTGAGAAATCAAAGAAATGTCCAAGAAGTAGGATACAAGAATTAATCAAAACAGATTAACAGTGGAATAAATAAATGAATCCAACTGGTTCTTTGTAATGGAATGTGGAAAGACATACTCTATTCTTCTGGATAGGAAGATGAAATATCATAATCATATCAATGCAAGTTTTATGCATGCTCAAACATGTATAAACTAAGAAAAAATCTGAAAGGACAGACAGCAAAATGTTTGCAGTTTTTTTCCTCCAAGTGGTAAGATTAAAGGTAATACTTTTCTTTTTTATACTTTTCTGTATTTTCTAAATCTTCTGTAATGAACATGTAATTTTATGATGAGGAAAAAATAAGACATTTTTCAGATGCAAAATTACTTCTCGTTAATACATATAATGCAAATGTCAATCAAAATAATAAATAAATAAATATAATAAATATATAAATATAATAAAAGAGAGAGATGAGTGACTAGGGAAGAACTTCAAAAAGGGCCACATGGGAGATTAAACATAATGCAAAAGAGTAATGAGGAATCTAGGCCGGGCGCAGTGGCTCACGCCTGTAATCCCAGCACTTTGGGAGGAGGGGCATGGTGGCGGGTGCCTGTAGTCCCAGCTACTCAGGAGGCTGAGGCAGGAGAATGGCGTGAACCCGGGAGGCAGAGCTTGCAGTGGGCTGAGATGGTGCCACTGCACTCCAGCCTGGGTGACAGAGCGAGACTCCGTCCCAAGGAAAAAAAAAAAAAAAAAAGTGTAATGAGGAATCTTAAAGCAAAAAAAGAGAAAGTAATCTTATTCTTATTCTACAAGATATTAAAACCTAATGCAAAGCCTGGCTAGTAACTTCTATTAAAATTACTTTTATACTTTCAATAAAATACCTGCAAATTTAGAACACAGACAAAAATAGAAACTCCTCACATGACCCACCACGAAGCCCATCAGATGGCAGAATGCAGAATCAGGTTGCAGTGGACTGATCTTAAAACAGATGAAGCAGTGGAGAAAATCTTCCTGGAGCTGATGGTATAATTTGCTTCTTGAAACAATGACAGTCCATGAAATAAGGTGGGGAAGATGTTTTGAACCTCTCTCAGCAGCAGATCCCTAAATCACAGACCCAGAACTTGGAGGAAACAGGAAACAGGAGGCCATCTCTGCACCTCTCCAGCACTGCTCTGGTTGGTGGGCAGAATATCATAAAATCATCACGATTCTTATATCAAAAACCAAATTCTAGACTGATTAAATAATTATTTTTTTAAATGAGAAAAGTTATCGTTTATTTGATCTTGGGCTAGGGAAGATATTTCCAAGCAAAAAGGGTAAAAAGAAGGAAAAAGAAACGATTAACAGATTGGAAGGCAATAACAATATAATATCAAGTGCTGGCAAGAGCTCAGGGAAGTGCGTGTTCTCATGACTGCTGGAACAAATTGGTATAATATTTCTGAAGGGCAATCTGGCTGAATATGTTAGAAGTCTTTAAAATATTTATCCTCTGACTCAGTAATTCCACATCTAGAAATTTTTCCTAAGTAAGTAATAAGAAAGAGATGAAAAAGTATTTGAATATTGAAAGACTGGAAAGAACATAAAGGTTCAATAATACATATATGTTCAACAACAGGGGACTAGTAAATATGAATTATTTATATGATAAAATACTATCTAACCTTAAAATAATGTTTTAAATAATATTTAATGATGAGAATATGCTGAGAAAAGTTTAATCATTTTAAGAAAGTTACATGCAAAATTAAAGTTAATAACATGTACAAGATTATTCTAATTTTTTTTTTTTTTTGAGATGCAGTCTCACTGTTGTCACCTGGGCTGGAGTGCAATGGAGTGATCTCGGCTCACTGCAGCCTCCACCTCCCAGGTTCCAGCAATTCTCCTGCCTCAGTCTCCTGAGCAGCTGAGATTGTAGGCACCCGCCACCATGCCCGGCTAATTTTTGCATTTTTAGTAGACACGGGGTTTCACCATGTTGGTCAGGCTGGTCTCGAATGCTGGCCTTGCTGGGGTGCCGTGGAGTGGGGCCCCGCCCTGGTGAGTTGTTCACTGGGACCACCTTTCTGGAATGCTGGAAGGCGGCGTGGCAGGACCCACCGAATGCCTTCAAAAGCCAGTGGTCCATGCCTCTGTCTCCTTCCTTAGACTCTTCCAGAAGAGACTGGTCAGAGGTGCAGCACAGATGAACCTACAAAGCTGTTCATCAAAGCATCACTTACAATGGTGAAAAGGCAGAAGAATCACTGAATTCCACCAAGGTGGAGCAGCTGAGGAAATCATGGGTAGAACACTAGGGAGTCACAAGAAACAACATATTTGAGGGGACATTTATAGCAGAGGAAAATGCTCATGATCTAATGCTACACAAAAAGGGCAGGATACAAAATAAGGTGTATTGGAAGAAAGAGGGTGGCATGGTTGTCCATCCACTGCTTTCAGGGACTGGACTAAGTGACCTGGATCAGAGGGAGGGCAAGAGATCTGCTTCCTGCCTGAGCCCTGTGAACAGCTGAAATCACTCGTGTGTCTGCAGGAATCATTCTTATATTTGCTATTCTGAGGTAACGTCAAACCTACACAAAATTTGCAAGAAGAAAAAACACCCTGCCACATACTCTTACCTACATTCACCCATTGTTAACATTTTGTCACATTAATTTTCTCTCTCATTTTTTTTTTTTACACGGAGTCTCACTCTGTCACCCAGGCTGGAGTGCAGCGGCGCGATCTCAGCTCACTGCAACTTCTATCTCCTGGATGCAAATGATTCTCCTGCCTCAGCCTCCCAGGTAACTGGGACTGCAGGTGTGGACCACCATGCTTGGCTTATTTACTTGTATTTTTAGTAGAGACAGGGTCTCACTGTGTTGGCCAGGTTGGTCTCAAAATCCTGATCTCAAATGATCTGCCCACCTCAGCCTCCCAAAGTGCTGGGATTACAGGTGTGAGCCACCATGCCCAGCCTGTTTTTCACATTTCTATTTGATGCTCCAGAATTCAGGAGCTCTAAGAGGAGGCTGCCTGGGTGACCTGCCTGCGGTAAGAGTGGACAGGCTGCCTCCCGGCTGCTCCGAGGATGGCCCTGGGTCTGAGGGAGGGCATTGCACTCTGGCGTGTTTGGGACTGGCCTTTGGAGATGTAAACATGGAGCCTCCCTCAGGAACCCAGGGCAGGCGCCCCTGGGAAGAGGAATGGCTCCTTCTTTCCTCCCTCAGTCCCTTTCCTGAATGCCTATGTCACTTCTGGGCACACAGGGGCTCAGCTTGCAGGGAGCCACTCTCCAGGTGAGGCTCAGGTTTGGGGGCTCTCTGTGTGCCCCATCTGCTCCAGCACACTCTCCTCAGATGGGCCTCCTCTGTTCTCTGCTTTGCGCTCCCTGCAAGGAGTCCAATCCTCGAAGGTGGGAGAGTCCAGAGAAGAAAAGAGCCAAACGGAGGAAGAGGACCCTGGGAACCCTTGGGTGCCGCAGAGCTTGGGAGGTGACGCGTCTGGCCCAACTCTGCTCCTCTCTGCCGGTTCCCAAAGCCAGAAGTAGGCAGCTCCCTTATCCTGTCTTTTCAGAGGAAGTGTTGAGTCCAACAGGATGGGGTTCAAATACCAGCCTCACCACTGATTCTGGACAAGTTTATTCTCCTTTCTTAGCCTCCGTTTCCTCATCTGGAAAGTGGGGCTGTCTGAGAACTAAACCCGAGAAGGCACAGGAAGGGCTTCCCGTGGCTTCTGCAAAGAGCTCCACGAACACTCGCTCTCCTTCATCCGAGCAGCAATCCTCGCTGGGCCTCAGGTGCAGGGGGTAGCGGGGAACAAAACACCATCCTTGCGCTTTTACAGCTTACAATCCAGTGATTCTCATCATCAGTACATGTGGCCAAAGGCCCCTGGCTGACTTGTAGGCTGTGGGGTTGAATATGAGCCTCTGGGTGGTGTGGAAAATCTGGGAAACAGGTGGAAAGGGCAGCTATTCAAACCCTGCGAGGGTGCCGGGGCCATCAGGTTACACGTGGCAGCGCAGGTGAGCTCAGGTCTTCTCACCTGGGGCTTGTCAGGTACTAGGGACAGAAGGCACCCAGATTCCTCTAAGGAGCCACAGGGCTGGCCAGGCCTTGAGAAGAACAGAGTGTCAAAGTTCAGGGGACCCTTTCTCTCATCCCTTCAGGAGCCGATGTCCCTGCAGGGCCCCCACAAAGCACAGCCGAGTTTCTCCCACTTTCTCTGCATCTCTTTCTGCCTTCAGCTTCCTTTGTGGTGGCCTTTGTTTTTCCAGCCCATCTTTGGTGGCTCTCAAATGTCATCCCTGCTCCACAGAGAAAAGGGTGCCGAGTGGCCAACCATCCAGCCTGAGGGTCCCCTGCAGCAGCTCGCTCAGGCCAGGGTCCTCCCAGGATGCTGGTCCTGTGAACGGATGGAGGCTTCTGCCTGCGTGGTCACCATGGCCCCGGTGGGGAGGGGCGGTCAAGGAGCACAGGTGGGATTTGTGCAAAAGATCTGGACCGTGGCTCCTTTCTCAGTAGGGGCCGTGGGCTTCCAACCTTCCCAAGATTCCCCATGCAGAGCCAGGGCCTAAGTCTCAGACCCCTTGGTCATCCAGGCCCATCCAAGGCCCTGGGCCCGCCAAGACCTCTAGCCTTGAAGCACATGGTCCCCAGCTTATGTAAAACTTGGCATGAGTGAGAAACTCAACCACAGCAGGTGAAGACTGCCACCTCTTTCCGGCCTGTCTTTCCTTCACCACACTTCGGGGAGGTGAGGGGGCTCCGGCTTGATCATCAGCGGGTGCTCAGGCACCTCCTTGCATAGGAAAGTTGTTTCTCACCATCCCAGCATGGGCTTGGCTTCCGGGAGCCCTGCCTCCTCCTAGGCTGACTCGCCTGCTTGGCGCCAGGACATGGGAGATTCAGGGCCAGGGGCGGGGTCCTGCGGTTGTGGGCTGCACGTAGATGGTGAAGGAGAATCAGAGTTGAAATGCATAGAGGCTCTCTAGGACACAGTGCAAATGTACCGGCAATCCACCCACCGATTCCAACACCTGACCAAGATCCCCGGATGCAGAGCAGGCAGGCTTTGCCTGTAGCCATGGAGAAACCAAAACCAGTGGGAGGGTCACTTCCCATCTCTGCAAACGTGCTGTTCCTAGGAGCTCCGTCTACCTTGAATGCCCCATTTCTAGCTCTAGGATTTGCATCTGACAGTGGGATGTGTGTTTATGAAGGGAAGACCACAGAATAGAATCTTTTGGGAAAATAAATGGTCTTCCCTGCTTAGCCTGCTTTGATAATGCGGATTTTCCTTGCACTTGGAGCTTTCCTTCTCTAGGCTATTTTCTATATAACAGTGGATGTGAGTTTGGCCTTGGAGCCAGACTACTTGGCTTCAAAGTCGCTTGCCACTTCCTACCTGGGACCTAAGGCGAGCCGTGGAGCTCTAGGTCCCCCACCTGTGAAACGGGAAGAACCATGGTGCCCATGTTGCATCATACACATGCATACACAGGCACACCCTACCTGCAAAAAGCAAGGAGCAGGGTAAGGGGGCAGCTATCTGGGTCACGTTCCCCAGAAGTAGATCCTGATTTGTATGGCAGTGACTGATGAAGGACGGCACCCAAGGAGAGCGGTAAGGGAACGGGGGTAGCAGACAGAGAGGGGAAAAGCCATGCAAGGCTGTGGCCCCAGGCAAAATCCTACAGAAGCAGGTCCCTCTGTGGACTGTGGAGTGGAGTCACATCTCCGTTTCCCAGCCTGAGCTAAGGATACACATGTCAGTCATTAGTGAAGGGCCATCCTGCGGCAGGGGGACTTTTCCAGCTCTCTGCAGAAAGGACCAAGGGGCTCCAATAGCCTGATGACAGTCTTGCTGCAAAGAGTCATAGGTGTGGACAGTTGGAAACCAAGGCCATTCAGGCCAGGAAAGGGGCACATAGAAAGGTGCGAGGGGTCACACTTCTGTGACCTGCCGGTGGAGAGTGGACAGTAGCCACACAAGACAAAGGTGAGCGTTCTGAATTCAGAGACCAGAAATGGAGGCTTTCACAAATATGCATGCACCATGCTTTTTCATGGGATAGTCTATCTGGAAGATCATTCCAGGCTGCAGTATGTAAAGCTACCTCATTCTTCTTTTTCACCGTTGCAGAGTTCACTGAGTGGCTACATTATTATGGAGCTCACCAACCTCTATTGATGGGTATTTAGATTGTTTCCAATCTTGCTATTACAAGAGAAACACACCACAATAAATATCTTTGTACTAGGGCCATCAGCACATTTGCAAGTGTCCCTGTACATTTCTAGGAGTAAGTTTTCAGATCAAAAGGCATGTGCATTAAAAAAAATGTTGATAGTGGCCTTACCAGTTTATACTCCCACCAGTAATGCAGGAGAGAGCTTGTCTCCCACACCCACGGTGACACAGTGTTATCACAGTTTTGGATAATTGCCAATGTGATAAGTGAAAAATGGGCTTGAACTATAGTTTCCATTTGCACTTCTCTGGTTATAAA
This sequence comes from Homo sapiens, assembly GCF_000001405.40. Classification (NCBI taxonomy): domain Eukaryota; kingdom Metazoa; phylum Chordata; class Mammalia; order Primates; family Hominidae; genus Homo; species Homo sapiens. Next base: position 20,570,235 of record NC_000017.11, on the reverse strand, counting down.
TTAGGCTAAACATTGTTTATCAGCTCAAGGGCCATTTCTACTTCCTGCTCTGTGAACTATCTGTTCATGTCTATACTCGTGGACATTTTTTCTATTTCATATTTTCGATTGCAGTTTCATTTGTCTTATTGACTGTAGGAACTCTTTATATATTAAGGAAATTTGGATCTTGAGTAGAGTGACTTGAGGATGGAAGCAGAGGGATTTCATTCATCCAAGGGCTTCCCATTAGTTTGGCTACCTAAATTTCATATCCAAAGCAGTCCTTTCCAGTATATGGTTTTTTACTTCTTCTTTTGTTTCTGTGAGCTAACCTATAATCTCCCGGCACATTCCTTGCTTGCTTTGCCTTGGCTGGACTTAGCCAGAGTTGATTTTGGTGGTGTAAGGAGTCTTGATATATCCACTCTCCCTCACCAGGTTGAGTCTGAGGGTCTGAGTTGATATCGTCCCCATCTTCCAGCTGAGATTCCCTGCTTTTCTCTGTGGGTTCCTCAACTTCCAGGTCCAGGCAACTAGTGACCCTTCCTAGCCAGCTCACTCAGGGATGTTTGCAGCCTCCTCTCCCCTGTCCTTGTGTCTAGGCCAGAGGTCCTGTTTTCTTCACTTGGAAGGTGATGTCGCTGATTGATTTAAGAGCTTGTTTGTGCTCTCAGCTCTGGGAGTGTAGGCAGTGGTCTCCCTTGATAATTGTGTCCCAGAGCTTCAAAGGTGAGGGCCAGCAGGACCCTTGGGGATCTTGGGGACCTACCACCACAGTGGACAGAGGAGATGCAGTGCAGAGGGGGAGCTGTCATCTCAGGTCACACACTGTGTTGGGGGACACATGTGGGTCCAGGCCCTTTCTGAATCATAATGCTCGTTCATTCTTTTGGCAAGCACTCCTCAATGGCTGGATTCCCCAGCTTACAGGCAGGGCTGTGCCATAGTGAGCACCGACTCCACATGCAAAGGCAACCATAACTGCCCTGCAGGCCAAGGACAGAGGAGCCTGTTTAGGGAAGTGGGAAGGTGGCTCAGAGGCAGTGGCCTGGAAAGACTAGCTTGGGTTGGGGCATGGCAAGTGCAAAGGCCCTGAGGCAGGTGAGAATGAACATTTTGAACATGGAGGCCACAGGGAGAGGGTCCCACACGCAGGGGTGTCGATCAGAGAGACCATCCTCCAACCAAGACCACGTAACCAAGACCAAGCAGAAATGGAAACAATGAGCAAAAAGCCTTCTAGGCAGGGGAAGTGGCCCAGGGAAGGCCGTGCAGTTGGAAGGAGCCACAGAGCTGCAAGGAAGTGTGGCTCCAGACTGGCTGGGACAGACAGAGTGAGCTGAAGCAGTCAGACAGGATGGGGTGGACACAGGTAGGATCCATCACAGGATGGAGGGGGTCAGCTTTCCTCAGGCACCTCACTCAGCTGCCCTTGTCCATCTGGACAGATCCCCCGCTGGGTGCGGCCATCGGGAAGGAATCCTGCCCCATCGCTGACAATGAGCTGCATTCTTTGGAGAGGCGGCCCCTGTCCCCAAAGCTGGTGCAAGCCCTGGGTGTAGCAGGTGCACTCAGGAGGCAGGGCTGCCGGCCCAGTGATGGGTGGAGCCACATGCCTGCCCAAGTCAGGGTCTACCCAGTGTGGCCCGGCTGAGGCCACCATACGCACGGTTTTCAGCTATGCCTCATTCACTTGCTGTGTGAATCTGGGCTGCAGGGCCCGCTTCTGTGTGCCACAGGCCAGTGCCCTGCAGTGCAATTGTACCTGAGGACCTAAGGTGGCCAGGGAAGCCCCAGGTGGGACTTGGCAGGGGAAGCAGGGCCTGTGGATGGGTGGACAGCTGTCATGTGGAAAGGCAGCGTGTCCACAGGCCCTGGCCCAGCCTCCAACCCCCCCAAGTCCCCTCCAGGCCTCTCCAGACCAGGGCCACCACATACTGGCTGTGCCATTTGGGTGAGTGACCTCACCTCTCTAAGCCTCAAAGTCCTGATCCCCATTGGGAGGGTGCAGTGAGAGGGTGAGTCTGAGCCCACTAGGGCCTGGCAGGCTCTGTATGCATGGCAGCCACCTGCCCACACTCACCCCAGACATCTGCTCATTCCAGAAACCTCCTGGGAACATCCACCATGTGCCAGGCACAGTGTCAGACAGGAAGGGACAGAGAGAAACAAGATCAACAACCGCCCTGCCCTTGTGGAGCTGGCGTTCTAGTACAGGAGACAGACAAGGTGCTTCCGAGGAGGGAGCCGTGCTCATCAGGCAATCCACAACGCCACTCAGGAGGAGACTTTGGAGCGAGATGGAGGAGCCACCTGGGGTCTTGGCAGAGGGAACTGCAGCTGCAAAGGTCCTGAGGGAGAATGAGTGCCCAGCTTTGGAGGAGCAGAGCTGGCCTCTCGGTACCCACCCTAGGGAGCAGGTTTTCCACCTTATTCTTAGGACCCTAGGAGATCCCCTCCGCTGCGAATGCACGAGGATGGCATCGGCCCTTTTATAGAGGGGAAGTTCTTCCTAAGAGAAAACCAAAGTCCCAACGGTTGCAACTGAAGCTGAGCCTTCTCTTTTCATTGCCTCCACCTCCCAGACCCAGAGCCAGCTGGTTCCTCCTGCCTCCTGCTCACAGCTCCAGGAAATCGTCCTGGTGGGGAAAGTAAGTGAAACACCAGGTGGCCTAAGGTATCTTCCCAGGACTCCAAGGTGACTAGACAGGGCTATCTTATCAGCCCTGGGATGCAGTCAGGGGGGAAAAGTTCTGAAAAGAAATTGGACCCAGGGCACTGAGGGAAGCCTAGGTCCCTTCTGAGTGCTCTGCACAGAGACAGGAGGAGAGACAGTCAGGTGTTTTGTGAGGGAGGGGATAGGTGGGTGGTAGTAATGAGGGGTGTTTCAGTCAGTGCCCAGTAACCAAGAGGAGAAAGGGAGGAGAGGGGGGATCAACTTCAGGCACAGCTGGATCCAGAACCCTGAGGCTTGTGCTATGGCTGTTCCCCATCCCCCGTATCACCCGGGTCTCAGTCACCTTCCTCTCTGTGACACAATAGCCTCCTCCCTAGGGCTCCTTCCTTCCACTCTTGCCCCCACAAATCCATTCTTCATATATTGTTCAAACTATGCAACTCCCCTGCTTAACCCCTCTCCCCATGGCTTCCTGACGCCTTCCACGTAAAGCAGAAAACTGTTTACCCAGGCCCCAGAGGCCCCCCCGCTGACCTCCCCAGCCCCACCTTGCTCTCCTCTCCCCTTGCTCCGTCTGTCTTTTCTGTCCTTTGAACACATCAAGCACATCCCCATCTGGCCAACATTGAACCTGCTGTCCCCTCCTCCTGGTGTGTCGCCATGTGGCCACCCCTTCTCAGCAGGACAGCCCAGATGTCGCTGTCCTCGGCCATCCAGCCCCCAGCCCTCTGTGCACTCCCCACACCAGCCCTGTCCGGTGGTTCCTTCAGTGATGGAAATGCTCCCCGTCCGCTGTCAAACACAGCAGCCACCCCGTGCGGCTAACAAGCCCCTGAAATGTGGCTATTGCGATGGAAGAACTGAACTCTTAATTTTCTTCTTTTCATTTTTTTTTTGAAAAACAAAATTTCTTTCTTAAGCTGTTTGAGTGCAGAGATGTTCTTCGTAATCCCAATACAGTACAGATTTCTTTTCCAAAATGAAATGAGCAAGGAAAAAAAGAAAAAGAGCTATATAAAATTTTCTCATGAAGAACCAAGACAATCTCATCTTTCTTTAAAAACAAAACAGGCTGGGCACGGTGGCTCACTCCTGTAATCCCAGCAGTTTAGGAGGCTGAGGTGGGCGGATCACGAGGTCAGGAGTTTGAGACTAGCCTGACAAACATGGAGAAACCCCGTCTCTACTAAAAATACAAAAATTAGCCAGACGTGGTGGTGGGCACCTGTAATCCCAGCTGCTCAGGAGGCTGAGGCAGGAGAATGGCCTGAACCTGGGAGGTGGAGGTTCCGGTGAGCCGAGATAGTACCACTGCACTCCAGCCAGGGCAACAAGAGTGAAACTCTGCCTGAAAAAACAAAAACAAACAAACAACAAAAAACGATCCTTTTGAATGTGTGGTGCAGGTGTAGGATTGAAGCCATGAGCTTTAGCGGTGCCGTGAGCCCAGGGCTTTGCTCACCGCTAGCACCACAGGGGGAGTAGCCCTCTGGCCCAAGCCATCCTTACTGCTTGTACAGAAGCTTCCTGAACCTAAGTGATCAGTTCCCAGCTCTCCTTGAATTCCCAGTCCCCACCCTGGGCCTCTCTCCCTAACACCCTCATTGCTTTGGGAGGCCCTGAAGTGAACCCTGAAATAGTCCCTCTGTCAACTCTGGGCCCAGACCTTTGCCCTTCTCTGTGTCACTAGGACATTTCAGTCAAGAGGGTGGGAACGGGTGCTTTCAGACCCTGCCGCAAAGCCACTGCCAGGCAAGGTTGTTTTTTTTTTTTTTTTTTCAGACAGAATCTCTCCCTGTCCCCAGGCTAGAGTGTAATGGCGCAATCTCGGCTCAGTGCTACCTCCGCCTCCTGGGTTCTAGTGATTCTCCTGCCTCAGCCTCCCTAGTAGCTGGGATTACAGGCACCCACCACCATGTCTGGCTCATTTTTGTATTTTTAGTAGAAATGGGGTTTCACCATGTTGGTCAGGGTGGTCTCGAACTCCTGACCTCAGGTGATCCACCCGGCCAGGCAAGTTTTAAGGCAAATTTTATCTCTTATTCGATCAGAGCCAGACCTAACTTTCTCACCACTGAGCAATCCTGCGTTTGCTGGAGATGCAACTTAGGCAACTCTGGATGAAGGTGGGATGAGGGAGCCCGGGGCAGACTCCAGGAGGTCTGGGACTGACTACAGGAATGGACTTGTGTGCTTATGAAGGCTGCAATCACCAGGTGCCACTCCTGGCCCAGCTGCCCCTCAGTGGTAAACAGGAAGGGGGGCCCAAGAAAACTGAGATGGCAAAACAAATCTAGGCTCCAGAAGCAACATGAGGTTGCACAGATCCCACTAGGCAGCCTCATTATATGTAAGAGAAATGCCAGGAAAAGGGGTTACCGCAGGAGGCACCTCGGATCTGATGACAGGCAGGACCTTGCATCAAAATAATTTTTCTTTAGAACAAAAGAGAGGGGGAGAAAAGAAAAAAATCAAAGAAAGGGGTTCCACAAGCTTCATGAGATAAGACACAGCAGTGTTCTAAGGGAAGCAGGAAGGTGGGGGCTGTGGACACAGGGTGGCGGGCACTGCCTCTCATGGATTCTTTTCTCCCTGGTGGGCTGGTGGGTTGGTAGCTGAGGCCTGAGGGCCCCTTCCCCGGGGAGTAGACAGATGACTTTGGCAAGGGGCAGTGGGGAAGCTGGGGTTACTCCACCTGGAGTCTTCTTCAGTTCACTTTTCATTACATCTCCCTCCAGCTCCTTCTGATCACTGATCACAAACTCCTTAGTGAAATCCTGTATGACCTCCTTCACCAGGGTCTTGACATTCTCGCCGATCCACCTGATGAGGGTGGCATCCCTCGTGGTGACGCACACGAAGGCAAGCAACCAGATCTCATCTGTGCACTGTGGGATGAAGTGCTGGTATTCCACTCCTTGCCCGATACGGACGATGGTGGAGCCGTCATATTTAAAAGTCACCCAGATGACGGCCAAGCCGTCATCTCGCGCCAGGTTGTAGGCCTCCCAGCAAGCCTCTTTGTCAACCTTGGTGGCCATTGCCACAGGGCCACAGCGGGGACACTGCCCGGGGTGACTGAGCATGCCCCTGGCTGCAGCGGGGATGGGAGCAAGGTAGTGGTGACAGTGACGCAGCGTCTGCAAACTCCAAGCACGGCTGCAGGTCCGCTAAACTCTTTTTTTTTTTTTTTTTGAGATGGAGTCTCGCTCTGTTGCCCAGGCTGGAGTGCAGTGGCATGATCTCATCTCACTGCAAGCTCTGCCTCCCAGGTTCATGCCATTCTCTTGCCTCGGCCTCCCGAGTAGCTGAGATTACAGGTGCCTGCCACCACCCCCAGCTAATTTTTTTGTATTTTTAGTAGAGATGGGGTTTCATCGTGTTAGCCAGGATGGTCTCAATCTCTCCCATTCTCCTGCCTCAGCCTCCTGAGTTGCTAGGATTACAGGTGCCCGCCACCACGCCTGGCTAATTTTTTGTATTTTTAGTAGAGGCGGGGTTTCACCATGTTAGCCAGGATGGTCTTCATCTCCTGACCTCGTGATCCGCCTGCCTCGGCCTCCCAAAGTGCTGGGATTACAGATGTGAGCCACCGTGCCCGGCCGCTAAACTCTTAATTTTCAATTACTCCAATTGCTTGAAACTCAAATAGCCATATGGGGCTAGTGGCCACCATTTGGACAGAGTGACTCCAACATTCCATGTGGTGTAATTTTATTTGCTAGCCTTTAGCATCATGTAATGTGATCTTCTTCACTTGTTTTCTGTCTCTGTGACCAGAGCATCAGCTCCTTGAGGTGGGGATTGGTTTGTCTTGTCCACTGCTGTATGCTGGGGCTAGAAGTGGGCCTGGCATATAGTAGAGGCTCCATATGTAATTGCCGAATGAATGCATGAGTAAATGAATGACTCCTGGGGACCATGAACTCTGAATTTCTCCAAAAGGAATGCTAGTTCTGCCAGGGATTGCTGCTCTGTGACCTCAAGTCAGGATCTTGCCCTCTCTGGGCTCAGCATCCTGACCAAGGGGCACTGGGGCCCCTCTGGTCCTGAGGCTCTGAGACTTACTGCTGCTTCCTCTGTCCTTTTGGGAGAAAAGCTGAGTGTTGGGAGAGAAGCTGAGGCAGGGCTTGCATGTCTGCTAGACTTGCTAGCTCTTGCTTCTAGCACTCCCATTATCTCAAGTAGCCACATGTTTCAAAGAAAATGCTACACCATCGCAGCTGTAGCTCACTCACTTGATACATTGCTTCCTTTAAACCCCCACATCCTCACCATGTGTTTCTTTGTTTGAGCACCAGTAAATAGCCTGGGCTCCCAGAGCTCAGGGCCTTTGCAGCCTCCATACTAGTGTTGGCCCCCTGGTCCCACTTTATTTCCTGTCTTTTCTCATTCCTATGACTCCGCTGGACTTCGAAGCCCCCATGGCCTGATGTTGGGTCTGATCACCCCAACCTGCCCAAGCTGCCCTTATCTATCCTTCTTACCCGAGGCCCACCTCCTGCCTCCCAGCCATGTCATAGGAAGGGGGCCAGATGGGCTTCCTGTCCCCAGAGCCTGTGTCTAGGAAGTCATCACAGCAGGCTGCCTGTGCCCATCTCCTAGCAATAAATGGCCTTAGGAAGTATTTGGGGGTGGGATAAAGTGGTGATCACTGTGGGGCTGTGTCCCAAATCAACACCTCTCCAGCTGGCCAAGGGCAAGTGTTTCCCAGGAGCCAGGCCAGGGCAGGCTGGCGGTTGTGGCATGTGCACCAGGAGTCAGCTCCAGGGTCCTCCAAGCCTGGGCCCTGCAGTCGGCCACCCTCACCCTCTCATGCCTGTGCTTGGGGTTAAGAGGTGGCAAGGGGTGCTTGGGCCCTACATGCTTCTTGTGGGGGCCTGTAGGAACCAGGCATGAGGAAGTGAAGAGCAGGTGCTGACTGTGAGTGACTCTAACCCTGACTGCCCCAGCATCCAACACTCGCACACATGCACATGTGCCTACTCACCTGGACACAACACAGCTATGCATGCTGACACGAACTTGCTCGGAGGCATGGGCACAGACACACACTTACTTGTTTTTGTTTTTATTATTTTGAGATGGAGTCTTGCTCTGTCACCAGGCTGGAGTGCAGTGGCATGATCTCAGCTCACTGCCACCTTTGCCTCCCGGGTTCAAGCGATTCTCCTGCCTGAGTCTCCTGAGTAGCTGGGACTACACACAGGAACCACCACACCCAGCTAATTTTTGTATTTTTAGTAGAGACAGAGTTTCATCACATTGGCCAGGATGGTCTCCATCTCTTGACCTCGTGATCCACCCACCTTGGTCTCCCAAAGTGTTGGGATTACAGGAATGAGCCACCGTGCTGAGCCATTTTGTGTGTTATTTTTATAATTTTTATGTTTAGAGAGGGATCTTGCTCTCTTCCCCATGTTGGATTGCAGTGGTGGTATCCTAGTGCACCGCAGCCTCAACCTCCTGAACCCAAGCGAGACTCCCTCCACAGCCCTGCCAGTAGCCAAGAATACAGGCCTACACCACCATGCCTGGCATTTAAACAATTTTTTTGTACAGATGAGGTCTTGCTATGTTGCCCAGGCTGATCTCAAACTCCTGGGCTCAAGTGATCCTCCTACCTCAGCCTCCCAAAGTCCTGGCATTAAAGGGATAAGCCATTATGCTCGGCCCTGTCTATTCATTAGATTTGAATTGCAAATCTTCAAAGTCCATCCATATTTGCAGGAAGTATAAGTATTCCATTCATTTTAATAACTGAATAGTATCCCCCTGTGCACATATAATACATGTTGCTCATTTATTCTTCTGTTGATGAACAATTGGGCTGTTTCTACCTTTTGGCTATTGTGAATATGCTGCTCTGAATGTTGGGACACAAGTATCTGTTTTTTTAAAAATTGTGTTTTATTTTTTGATAAGTTATTGGGGTACAGGTGGTATTTGGCTACATGAATAAGTTCTTTAGTGGTGATTTCTGAGATTTTGGTGCACTCATCACCAGAACAGTATACACTGCACCATATTTGTTGTCTTTTATCCCTCGCCCCCACCTTCCAATCTTCCCCCCAAGTCCCCAATGTCCATTGTATCATTCTTATGCCTTTGCATCCTCATAGTTTTGCTCCCACATATCAGTGAGAACATATGATGTTTGGTTTTCCGTTCCTGAGTTCAAGTACCTGTTTGCAACCCTGCTGTCAGGGGTTTTGGACATCTACTTAGGAGTGGAATTGCTGGGTCATATGGTAGTTTTATGTTTGACTTTTTGAGGAACTGCCAAACTTTTCCACATTATACATTATACATTCCCATGAGCCACTGCATTATACATTCCCATGAGCAATGTGTGAGGGTTCCACTTCCTTCACATCTCCAACACTGGCTATTTTCCATTTGTTTGATAATAGCATCCTAATGAGTATAAAATGATGTCTCATTGTGGTTTTGATTTGCATTTCCCTAATGACTAATGACATTGAGCATCTTTTCATGTGTGGATGCTGGAAGTAGGGACACCGTGACAGGACAGTAGCCTTGGCATTGCCTTAGCAGCAGTGTAGGATGGGGATCAGGGAGCATGAACGAGGGTGAGGAGGGAGAGGAGTGGGGAGAGAGAAAGGGAGAAAAGAGATGGGGAGAGGGAAGAGAGAGGTAGAAAGCAAAAGATGGGTGGAAAGAGATGGGGGAGAGACAGAGGAGGCTGAGAGGGAGAGGAGGATGGAGAGAGCAGAGAGAAAGAGAGATGGGGAAAGGGGCAAGAGATGACAAGAGAGACAGAGAAGCCAGAGAGGCAGAGGGGGAGAAAGGGAGAGAGGGGGGGAGAAAGGGAGAGAGGGAGAGAGAGACAGAGCAGGAGGTCGGGGCACTCTGGGTCCCAGTTTCCGGTGCAGTTGTAGGTCACCATCACCTAACTGCAGGTGCAATAAAGCCCTCGTGCCTGCTGCTCGCAGCCCCTGAGAGTCCTTCCTCCTGGAGAATAAAACCTTTGAGGGCTGCCCTTCCTCACTGGATTTTGGTTGTTTCTAATGAACTGAGTCATCCTGTCTATCACCTTCCTGGGCTCACGGCTCCACTGAATGCTGCCCCCTCGGTTTGGGAGGACCAGTGGTGCCCCCATCTCACCAGGCTCCCAAGGAAGCTTGTGACCTTGGCTTGGGCCCAAAGTAGCCGGGTACCCACTGGGGCTCTGCTTCTCCCTTCACTAAAAGAAGAAAGAGACCAAAGAATGGTCTGCACAGAGGGCACCTGTGCAAACACCCAGGGAACCAGGGAGTTGAGCCGTCTTCATTTCCTAACAGATACATTCCCTTCTGTGCCTCCTTAATGAGGGCATGAAGCACAGTATGCGTGTGTCCAGCTGTGTGCAAAGGCATGTGTGTGTGCATGTGTGTTGTGGGAGCATGCAGTAGGCAGCAAGGAAAGGGCAGCTCCTGCTCAAAGCTGCAAGTCTCTCTGAAGGAAAGATCAAGATTCCCTGGACCACAGCAGGACAGTGTTTTCATTTGCATTGAGAGCATTTAAACCTGTATCTTGAGTAGCATATAAACTTTGTTGGTTAACTGTTCTTACAAGCATTTACACAGTAAGATAAACATATGATAATATACACTGAAATTATGCACCCTGCACCCCACCGTCCCAACCCCGGCCAAAATTATCTTGCAAACCTACACCCAGCAAAAGATCCCATAGTGCACTTTGGGAAGTATAGACAGGAAGCCTGAGTCTCCATTGCTCATTCCATCTTTTCACCAGCTGTGGGCTACCAGGCTGCATTGGTTTGCTAGGGCTTCCTTAAAGTACCACATACTGGGCAGCTTCAGCAACAGAATCTCACTGTCTCACAGTCCTGGAGGCTGTAGGTCCAAGATCAAGGTGTCGGCAGGGAAGGTCCCTTTCCAGGGCGGTGCAGGAAGGCTCTGTTCCAGGTCTCTCTCCTGGCGTGTAGGTGGCCTTCCCGGTGTCTCTTCACCTCGTCTTCCCTCTATGCATGTCTCTGTGTCCAAATTTGCCCTTTTATAAGGATATCAGTCATATTGAATTGGGCACCCCCTACTGATCTCATTTTTCATGTTAACTTATTTCTATAAGACGCTATCTCCAAATAAGATCACATTCTCAGGCATTGGGGCTAAGGACATCAGCATAGGAATTTCAGGGGACAAATTCAACCCATCACATAGGCCATCCCCGAGGCCACCTCTGCGTCATCTTTGTCTACAGGCAAGTTGGCATCTAAAAAGTGTCTGCCCAAGACATGCATCTGGCCCATGGTACAGCCAGTCCACACAGCCAATGGTGAAATCCGGGTGGCATTGTTTCCTCACCGCCATGCCTCATGCAAGCAGCTGCCTTCTTATAACGGTGGACACAAATCCCGGCACTGGTGCAGACGCTTGCTGGCTGTGGGTGAAGTAGCCCCATGTCAGTGTGCTGCAAAGATGCAGCTTAGAATGTTATGGCTTGTGTGAAAGATACGCAGATTTCTATTCCTTCCGATCTGTGGTTTCAAGTTCTGCTCATCTGAACCCAAGGGGCTCTATAGGGTGCCTCTGGAACAGCCGGGGTGTTAGGGGTGCTGAAAAGGTGTTAGGGTGCCTAGGCTCAACCCCAGCTTCAATCACACAAATAATCTTGTTGACATGATTTTTGGTTAATTTTTTTTTTTTTTTTTTGAGACAGAGCCTTGCTTTGTCGCCCAGGCTGGAGTGCAGTGGCCTGATCTCTGCTCACTGCAAGCTCCACCTCCTGGGTTCATGCCATTCTTCTGCCTCAGCCTCCCAAGTAGCTGGGACTACAAGTGCCCACCACCACGCATGGCTAATTTTTTTTTTGTATTTTTAGTAGAGACGGGGTTTCGCCATGTTAGCCAGGATGGTCTCAATCTCCTGACCTCATGATCTGCCCGCCTCGGCCTCCCAAAGTGCTGGGATTACAGGTGTGAGCCACCGCGCCTGGCCTGGTCAGTTTTTTAATTGATCTTTTGTATAATTTTTTTGTTTAAGAAAGGGATCCTTTGGCAGAAAGAAAATCTGAAACTCTAAATACTGTCCATTTTATCCATATATTGTTGGTCATACCCTCAAAATATATCCTGATTCCAGCCATTTGTCATGACCACTTTAATCTGAGCTCCCATCATTTTTCACCTGGATTACTGTACCAGCCTCCCCAATGGCCTCCCTGGTGCCACCTGGTCCCTCCCCAGGGCTCAGCAAGATTTTTCTGCAAAGGACCTGGTAGTAAGCATCTTGGGCTTCGTGGACCCTGTGGTCTTTGTTGCACCTACTCAGCAGTTACTCAGCTTCGCCACTGCAGCCCCAAAGCAGCCCCAGACAAGAAGCGAACACAGGGGAGGAACTGTGGCTCCAATAAACCTTTATTCACAATAGGAGGGGGGCTTCATCTGGATTGTGGGCCATAGTTTGACCACCCCTGCCTGACTTCATGGCAACACTAACCTTCGTATTTACGCCTCTTTTTTTTTTAATATTTATTTTTGTTGTATGTATTTATGATGTACAACATGATGTTTCTTTTTTTTTTTTTTTTTAGTATTTATTGATCATTCTTGGGTGTTTCTCGGAGAGTGGGATTTGGCAGGGTCATAGGACAATAGTGGAGGGAAGGTCAGCAGATAAACACGTGAACAAGGGTCTCTGGTTTTCCTAGGCAGAGGACCCTGCGGCCTTCCGCAGTTTGTGTCCCTGGGTACTTGAGATTAGGGAGTAGTGATGACTCTTAACGAGCATGCTGCCTTCAAGCATCTGTTTAACAAAGCACATCTTGCACTGCCCTTAATCCATTTAACCCTGAGTTGACACAGCACATGTTTCAGAGAGCAGGGGGTTGGGGGTAAGGTTATAGATTAACAGCATCCCAAGGCAGAAGAAATTTTCTTGGTACAGAACAAAATGGAGTTCCTATGTCTACTTCTTTCTACACAGACACAGTAACAATCTGATCTCTCTTTCTTTTCCCATTTCCCCCTTTTCTGTTAGACAAAACCGCCATCGTCATCATGGCCCGTTCTCAATGAGCTGTTGGGTACACCTCCCAGATGGGGTGGCGGCCGGGCAGAGGGGCTCCTCACTTCCCAGACGGGGCGGCCGGGCAGAGACGCTCCTCACCTCCCAGACGGGGTGGCGGTCGGGCAGAGACACTCCTCAGATCCCAGACGGGGTCGCGGCTGGGCAGAGGCGCTCCTCACATCCCAGAAGGGGTGTCGGGGCAGAGGCGCTCTCCACATCTCAGACGATGGGCGGCCGGGCAGAGACGCTCCTCACTTCCTAGACGGCATGGCCTGGAAGAGGCGCTCCTCACTTCCCAGACTCCGTCTGCAATCCCGGCACCTCAGGAGGCCCAGGCGGGCAGATCACTCGCGGTCAGGAGCTGGAGACCAGCCAGGCCAACACGGCGAAACCCTGTCTCCACCAAAAAATACAAAAACCAGTCAGGCGTGGCGGCGCGCGCCTGCAATCCCAGGCACTGGGCAGGCTGAGGCAGGAGAATCAGGCAGGGAGGTTGCAGTGAGCCGAGATGGCGGCAGTACAGTCCAGCCTCAGCTGGGCATCAGAGGGAGACCATGGAAAGTGGGAGACGGGAGACGGAGAGGGAGACGGCAGACGGGAGACGGGAGACGGGAGACGGGAGACGGGAGACGGGAGACGGGAGACGGGAGAGGGAGAGGGAGAGGGAGAGGGAGAGGGAGAGGGAGAGGGAGAGGGAGAGGGAGAGGGAGAGGGAGAGGGAGAGGGAGAGGGAGAGGGAGAGGGAGAGGGAGAGGGAGAGGGAGAGGGAGAGGGAGAGGGAGAGGGAGAGGGAGCATTTACGCCTCTTAAAAACATGTGTAAGCCGAGTGCAGTGGCTCATGCCTGTAATCCCAACACTTTGAGAGGCCGAGGCTGGAGGATTGCTTGGGGGCAGGAGGTCCAGATCAACCTGGATAACACAGTGAGATAACTGTCTCTACAAGAAACCATTTCAAAAGCAGCCAGGCATGGGGGCCCACACATGTAGTCCCAGCTATTCAGGAGGCTGAGGTGGGAGGATTGCTTGAGCCTGGGAAGTCAAGGCTGTAGTGAGCTGTGTTTGGGCCACTGCACTTCAGCCCAGGTGACAGAGCAAGACCCTGTCTCTGTCTCTCTCTCCATATATATATATATATATATATATATATATATATATATATATATATAAAATTTATTTATAGTGTGTTAATGGTTGTCTACAAGACACACCTTTAATTAATCACAGCCAACCCTCAAATAATACGCATAGTGTAGGACTCTTACAACGTTACACTCCCAACTCTTCTCCCCACCCATCTTTTGTTTTCTTTCTTTCCACAGATTCTGTGTCCGTCTTCCTCTCCTCATTGACTCTGCATGAAGGGGATTTCTGGTGGGGTAACGGTAGCAGGCGAGAAATGAAGTACCAAGAAACTAGCAAAGGGTCTTCTGGTTGTCTGGGGACAGTCCTCCTGTCATCCCCAGCCTAGTCTCAAGGGTTCTGGGCCGGTCACCCTGCGGCCTCTGTGCTGTCTCTGGATCTGGTCTCCATGGTAAGGACCCTGGGAGACCCAGCAGAGTGGGGTGCCTGGGTTGACAAACATCTTCCTGTTCCTCTGGCTATGTGGCCCAGGAATAGGCCCAGACAGTGCATCCAGATGTGCGAGGCCACATCACTGCCCCGTTTGAGATGGCCCAGAGGACCTTGTGGCACAAGCGTGAAGCTCAGCACCCGGAGCCTGGGACAAACTGCCCCTCCCTGTGTCCTGGAGTTGGGGTCCAGTCCCGAGAAGACTCTCAGTCACCTGTGGGTGCTGATGAGGGGAGGGAGAGGTCTGTGGACTGAGAAGAGCCATTGGTAGGGGACTCTGAGCACCACCGCTCAGCGGTCTGGTCAGTGGGGGTCTGGTCAGCAGAGATTGAACTCTGGGGCTCAGACACAGAAAACCTGCTCAGTGACCCTTTCTCCTTTTTCAGCTCTTGCCGCACGTGCAGAGAGAGAGGAACTTCCAGTGCCCGCTATGGAGCCACAGCCCACAGCATGGGGAAGTCCCCATCCAGAGGCAGTGCTGCAGCTAGAGGTAGCTCCAGAGTCCTCCGGGCCCTGCACCGATACAGCCAAAGACCAGCAAAGCGACAAGCTGCCAGACCTCATGCCACCTGCCGTAGCCACTGGGCTCAGCCCTGGAGCTGAGAGCATCGCTGGAGATAGACGTGGCAGAGAAGAGGTTGCGAGCATGGCCCCAGCCAGCAGCTCCCACGCTGCCCCTAGTCCTGGGCATGGAGCGAGCCTTGGTGTCAGAGACCAGGGTGTGCAGTCTGAGCTCCTCTACCTTACTAAAGAGAGACCTCTTTTATTTACCAGAGCCACAGCCCTGCTGCCTCAGGACCTTTTCATTCTGCCGGTGCTGGGGCTGTCTATCTGCAAGCTGGAGGTGTTGAGAGCAGGAAAAGGAGGCTGTGAGGAAGGGTTCGGGCAGCTCCTCCTGCTCTCAGAGGTGGCCTCCTCCTCCAGGCATGGAGGTCTGTCCACTACTGGGCTTCTGGGCTATTTGCCCCTGATTTGCTCCCTGGTACGGGCTCTTCTTAACAGGCAGGCAAGGGGTGCGGGGACCAGGCGAGGGCTTCAAAGGGTACAGTACCAAATCTTCCAAACTCAGCACTTGTGCCCTGGGGTCTCCAAACTGTCTTCTGCCCTAGGATTTATTCATACTGTTAAATTACCAGTTTATGCAAATGATATGTAAATAAAGCTCAATTTTTTGAAACTTCATGCCTTTTTGAACTCCCTAATGTTAGATGGTGTTTTTGAGGCTATCTGAAAATCTCTGATAGTTGTGTCTTTTGTTGTGGTTGTTTGTGTGATTGAGTTACCACCACCAAATCAACTGTTATCGGAAACATTTCAGGTATGGCTTTTAGAAGACCTGGACCTACTCTTGCCTGTTTTGACCCTCCAGTTTATTGTGGAAGGAAGGATCATGTGGTTTCATGTCTCCGGCAGATCAGTCACTTTCCTCCATCCATAGCAGGGAGGAGTCATGGCACCCCAGAGGGATGAAATACTTCTCCCAAAGTATTTCTTATTCTGTCTCTTCCTCTCTCTCATTCCCTGCTCCACATCTCTCTGTCTCCTTTTCCAGTTCTCTCTCCCTCCTCATCTCGCTGCATGCCACTGTTCAGGCTCCTGGGGCTCCACGTGGATGGGCGGACACGGGACTCCTAGGCTAATTTTCACGGCACAAGCACAGGGCTGCAGGACCTAGGTCCCACACCTCCCAGCACCCTCAAAACGAGAGGTGTGGGGTGTGCCCGTGCTCTCCTGGGTGGGTGCCCCACACTCCAGGAAGCAGAAACTGCAGGACAAAGCTGGCACAAGTGACATGCCCACGTGGCTGCCAGCTTCCCTCTTGGGATCTGCTGAGGCCAAAGCAGAAGACACCTGCCCACAGCCGACCCTGCACCAGGGTGGGGGAGGGGTGGGTTTGGGAGTGGGAATGGGGATGGGAACAGCCACTGCAAAGCAGTCCCTGGCTGGCTTCCTGCCCTGAACCCTGTCATGCAAGGCCTCTCCTCCCGCCCCACCCCTGCCCCTCACCACCTCCACCCCTAGGCTGTCCAAATCCAGGCTCCAGAAGTCTCCCAGGATCCAAGAACTAAGGGCAACCACTGGGCTCCGCAGCCCCTAGTCCATGAGTCAGCCACCCCTCTGCATGCTGACAAACCTTGGCTGTCACTTATCCTCCACCCCAAACCAGCCCCAGCCCCATCCTACTGCAGGCCTGTGTGGCTGCTGGAGAAGCCGGGCTCCTTTCCTCACCCCAAGGCTGCCTGATATACTTTCTGGATCCTGGAGAAAACTGACCCACTATTCTCATACTGGTGCAGCTTCTTCCAAGACCTCAAAATTGGACAACGTGAACTTGTCTTGTTTCTTGTCTCTTCTTGCTAGGACTGTCATGGGGACAGTCCGAGATGGGGGGTGGGGGGAGACAATGGATGAATGGATGGATGAATGGACATCCCCCCACCAGCATTACCACCTCCTCCTAAACATAGTCCTGAGAGCTCTATTTCCTGGTAAACTTCCCCCTTCCCACCCTAGTCCAGGGAAGCCCAAAGGCCAGCGCCCTCCACCCACCCTTCCTGGGGTCCACTCTACTGTCTGCTTGCCCAGGTGTCTTAACCCGGCTTTACCAAGCTAGAACAGATAGCAGGGATGAGCCCCCAGCCTCTGCCAGGAAGATTTGCCAAAATGTTCTCAGTTTAGAAGCAGGGGCAGTGACGGGGCCTAGGGATGACTCCAGGGTTGTCACTCAAGTAGCAAGAAGGGCAAGGAGCCCTGTTTCTTCCCCTTACCCTGGGAGAACTTGGCCGGGGCTCCACAAGGCCCTGCAGGGGCAGCAGGAGAGCAAATCTATGCTCCTTTTGAGGAAGTCACCACCATCCCTAGGAAGCAGCAGATGGGGGCGCACTGGCAGAGCCCTCGCGTGCTATAGGGCGAGGCCAGCAGATCTGTACTCAGCCTCAGCCCCAGGGGAGCTGCAAGATAGACTGAGACCCTCACAGGTTTGGCTCTGTGTCCCCACCCAAATCTCATCTGGAATTGTAATTCTCCTGTGTCAAGGGAGGAACCTGGTAGGAGGGGATTGGATTTGGGGACAGTTTCCCCCGTGCTGCTCCCCGGATAGTGAGGTAGTTCTCAGGAGAGCTGATGGTTTCAAAATGTGGCACTTACTGGTTCTCCACTCACTCCCTCCTGCCATCTTGTGAAGAAGGTGCCTGCTTCCCTTTCACCTTCTGCCGTGATTGCAAGTTTCCTGAAGTGCAAGTCAATAAAGCCTGTTTCCTTTATAAATTACCCAATCTCAGGTATTTCTTTATAGCAGTGTGAAAACAAAAGAATACAGTCCCCTTCCCTGAGGTGCCTTCTCCTTAGGCAACCAGCTGCCCCCATGCTCCTCCTCTGCCCCCTGGTATTTCCTTTCCCCTCATGAGGCCCAAGTGATCCACATGGCCAGCCCCAACCCCATCCTACTGCAGGCCTGTGTGGCTGCTGGAGAGGCCGGGCTCCTTTCCTCACCCCAAGGCTGCCTGATATGCTTTCTGGATCCTAGAGAAAACTGATCCACTATTCTCATACTGGTGCAACTTCTTTCAAGACCTCAAAACTGGACAACATGAACTTGTCTTGTTTCTTATCTCTTCTTGCTACGGCTGTCATTGGGAAAGTCCGAGATGCGGCAAGAGCTGAAAAAGGAGAGCTGCTCAGAGCTGAAAAAACCTGCTCAGTGACCCTTCTCTTTCGTCCTCATGGTGGCTTCGTAGAGTGGGTGCTGTTCCCGAATGTACCCATTCGACAGGTGAGACATCTGGGGTCAGAGAGGCGGTAACCGGCCTGGGAATCAGACATGACCCTGGATTCTGCTCTCAGCCCTGCTGTGTGCCGTGCTAGACTTCAGGCCTCAACCCTGAGACCTCCCTGCTCTAGATCCCAAATCTGCCCAGATTTCCGATCCCGATGGGGCAGAGCCTGGCCCTGGCAGAGACACTGGAATGGATCCACTGTGGGTGGGGAGGAGGGAAGGGTCCTCAGAACACACCTGGGGCCTAAGCTGGGTCCTGATGGTCACCGTGGGACCCACTGGACACACATGGTCCCTTGTCTGGGAGTGGCATGGGGAGGCTTCTGCCCTTGGGCAGTTGTGGAAAGTGAAGGAGCCCTGGAGGACTGGCTGAGGGGAGACTAACTTCCCTTGTGTTCAAAGGGGTCCGGGCACTGGGGTTCTCCCCAACTATTTCTTATTCTGTCTGGCCTCGCTTTCCTTTTGCCCTGAGTATTATCAGGAGGGACGGTCCATCTAGATGTTCTCCAGGAGCAAGGACCCACTCTTCTACATCAGTGACACAGGAACATGAAGCCCCCTCCTGTAGGGACAGCTCAGAATGGTGGAGTCCACAGTCCGTCCCCGAGAGACATGGTTTCCATGAGCACAGTGGCTGCTTTGGAGACAGTAGATCATTTTCATCCCCAAAACCAAACACACTCCTGCTCAAATGGCGTTATTCTTAAAGCAGCTTCACTGGTTAGACTGAAGGGCCATGGTAGCCCAAGTGATGAGCGGGGTAGAACGGAGCAATCAGGAGAGATCTTGTTCCTCATAGGAAACTGGGCATCTCTGTGGCCCTGAGCATCCCAGGAGGCCGATCGTACAGAGACCTCTGGTGCCTGACCGCAGTTCACATCCACATCCCTGGAATAGCCCATCACAGGCTCTTCACCCTTGGCAGGTGGACACCATTCAACCTGCCAGGGCAGGTGTGTGCCCGTTTCATGGCATATGGGGACAACGGGATTCTCTGTCCAGGTCCCACTCTTCTCGAGTCCTTGGGAAGATGCCCACCCCTGCTTAGGGCTTCAGACTGCAGAGACCCATGGATGTGTGGGCCACGGGGTTTGGACCCTTTTTACCAGAGCGCAGTGGTGGAATGCAGGTTATACAACCAGCCAGCATCTGGGAGCCCAGCGGGAGCAGTTCAGGGGTTCTCTGAAGCTGTCGGGTACAGTGTAACCTTTAGACAACTTTGTCTCACAGGATGGACATGGTAGAGGGCGCGGATAGTGTGCAGGCATAGGAGCGGGAGGACATAATTATGAAGTATCAGAAGGTACAGTTCGGTCTGCTCCTTGGAGGGAGGCCTTTTCCTGTGCGCCCTGGTCAAAGGGTCCTGGGTTCCCTCGGAGCACAGGGCAGGGACAGGTGGCCAATACCCCCAGGCCCTTGCACCCTTTACCTTGGACCCCTCACCAAGGCTCCCTCTGGGTTACAGGGACACCGAGCTGGGCTGCCAGAGGACAAGGGGCCTGAACCTGTTGGAATCTACAGCAGCGTTGATCGCTTTGGGATTCTGCAGTGAGTCCTCTGTGCTCCCCTCACCCCTAAAGCAGCTGTCTCAGCTCAGGGATGGGTTTGCTTTTAGAAAGGCCTTTCTGACGCAGGACATGTCTCACCAGGTCGGGCCAACCTCTTTTCCAGGGTCAGAACTCCTCCCTGGCTCCCCTGCAGGTCCAGCCCGAGATTGTTGTTAGGCCAGAGGTGCAAGGCCCATCTAGGGAGCCGGTGGGAATGGAGAGGGGGCTAGGCCAGGCCCCTGGGCTCTCAGCAGTTCTGTCGGCAAGTTAGCACAAGAGGAGCGGGGCAGCCTGAGGTTCTGGCCCTGTCTACCAGGAGACAACCCCAGTGAGATCCAAGGGTTGTGGCCACAGGGTGAGGAGACACCTGGCCCAGCCTCAGGGCTGCTGTCCAGCAGGTCTCTCAGAGCCCACCTGCCCCTGTCCTCCCCCATTTCCCTAGAACTACAGCCCTCACTGTCCCCATGGGGAAGGGGGAAAGGTGTGGGGACAGTGGGGGCTTTGGCCCAAAGAGAATGGGGGAGAAGACGGGCAGGGCCCCGCTCTGGGCATCTCATGGTGAGACCAGAGAGGCAGCAGGGCTTGTGGCTAAAGACCTGGGTCTGGTGCTGGGAAGGCATCTGGGGCCAGGTAAGAGGAGCCCAGCCAGGAGCCCATCCCTCGGGGATCATAGGATGCAGAGACAGAGGATCCCGGGGGAGGTAGGGTGGGAGGGAGCTGATGAGCCGTGCCACTTCTGAAATGCAGGGTGTGTGGCTCAGATGCAGGGAGAGGCAGGTGGATGCTGGGAGGTCAGAACCTGCAAGAGCCTTGGGGCTGTCAAGTGGGATGGGCCCCTGGTGCACCCAGAGTACACCGGGCAGGTCTCAGGGCAGGCTCCCTTGACCCTGGCGGGGTGATGTGGTCACTCCCTGAGGGACTCCTGTCAGGGCCCGGTCGCCCACCCTGGGTGGCCCCCATCCCATCTCAGGGCTAACCTTTCTCAGCTCCAGCAGAAAGCACCACCTTGAGTCCAGGACGCGCAGCCCCATTGTGCAGCCTGACCACCCCCCATGCCAGGGCCCCAGTAACCCCAGCCAGGCTGTCCCTGCACTCCTTCTCCCAGGTCCTGCCCCTCCTGGGAGTCAGCCCCACAGGAAGGTCCTTGTCCTCCCTTCCCTGTGACTTCTCCTGGGCTGAGCCCTGAGCTGGATAGGGACAGTGCCAGTCCTTTCTGGGGGTCGGCTCCCAGGCTTGGGTGGCTCCAGGCCCTGTGCAGGTCCTCAGCTCTGCCTGAGTTGCCTTACAGTGAGACGGAGCTGCCTCCTGTGACTGCACGGGAGGCAAAGGTAAGAGCCTGATGCATGGAGGGGCTGGTCCAGGGACGTAGGGACTGGGCGGGTGGTCAGTGAGGCAGAGGAAGCAGCTGGCCTGGGCGGTGGCGGGTGAGGGCAACACGCTGTCACTGGGAGGGGCAGCAGAGACCTGACCCCAGTTGCTGTAACTTTGGCAGTTTGATAAAATTCCAAAGTGAGAACCACAGTCCTGGCTTGGGGGTGGCTGCCCGCTTGTGTCAGGAACCCACCTAGAGGCTGGGACCTAAGACTGGTGTGTCTGTGGCCTAAGGATGGCACATCCTGGGGTCCCAAAGCCAGCCCACTGGCGCTCATTTGCTCAAAGGCTCTCAGCCCTTAGGGTCTGCCCTTCCCTGGCTCCTTCCAGCTGGGTCCCACCAGGGCTCCAGAGCCCAAGACCCAGCATCCACGGGCGGCTCTGGGAAGCCTGGCAGCTCCGCTAACTCCAACATTCCTCATTTGGCAGCAAATTCGGCAGGAGAAAAAAAGAAAGAGCAAGTGGCTGGAAATGCTGGGCAAATGCGAGTCATATAAAAACAGCAAAAAGGTAATGTGTGGAGGGAGAGGCCCCGGAAGTACTCTCTGCAGAGACAGAAGAGAGGCACCCATGGCTGTGGCCTGGCACCGTCAGCCTCTCAGAGGGCGGGTGGCACACTGTCCTTGCACAGAAGACTGCAGGCCTGGTCGTCAGATTGCCTGCCTATTCGTGCAAGCGTCACCTTGCTGGGAGGGAATCTGAATCTAGGGCTGGGACCACCTGGAGCTCAAGGCTAGGGATGCCCTGGTGACCTGAAGGAAGAAAAAGGTTCGGATCACAGTTTCAACTCTGAGTGTCCATCCACTCTTTCAGTCCTGGGAAGGGAGACCCTGTCCCAGCTTGATCTCACCTCTACTGAGGAATCATGGGGCCAAAACCAAAAATTTCCAGAATCCCTGGGCTCTGATCCTCACTGGGGTCACCCCATGGCCTGTGACACCAGATTGTTTTCTGCCCACAGCTCATAGATCGCATCTATAAGGGCATTCCCATGAACATCCGGGGCCTGGTGTTGTCAGTCCTCCTGAACATTCAGGAAATCAAGTCAAAACACCCCAAAAAATACTAGGTATGCTCAGCCAGAGCACAACAAACAGGACAGGCTGTGTCAGGGGCCCAGGCCTCCAGCTGGAGTGAACGTCAAGCCCAGCCTGGGGGGGTGGGGGGGATGGTCAGATGCACTTCCTGGGCACAGATGGTGACATAGTCACCACAGATGAACTCGGCTCTGGTGACCCTCCCTGGCTTCAGTAACAAGCCAAAAAGCAGCTTTCTGCACAAGGAAACCTTCCTTCTTTCCTTCCTTCCCAAAGCGCTGACTGTGGGCTGACTGCCATTTGGGGCAGGGAGTCTTCCATCTGTTCTGAGGCTGCTTCCTCCTCTTGGCCCTGCCCTACAGATCATGAAGGAGAAGGGCAAGAGGTCTTCTGAACACATCCACCAGATCAAACTGGACGTGAGCAGGACTCTCCAGAACCATGTCTTCTTCAGGGATCGATATGGAGTGAAGTAAGCCTACGAGAGCCACAGGGTCCCAGAGGAGATGGGGTGAATGAGAGGGATGGGGACTTTCCCAGAGCAGAAGCCAGGATCACCCAGGAGGGATGACAGAGCTGCCAAGAGCTCTCCTAGCCCAGGGAGCAGCCGGCACCATGAACCAAGCACCTCCCTGGTTCCAAGCCCTGGGCCAGGCTGGAACATGTGGGGCCAGAACCCAGGAGGATCCTGAGGAGACAGAAGACAGCAAACAAAATCATGCATAATGGTGAAAGGTGCTCTCCCTGACCCACGGGGACCCATGGTAGGACCCACGGGAGGGTGGCAGGATGGAGAGCCCATGAGCCTCCCCAGGCAACACTGACAGCACCAAATGCTGGGAGAATTAGGGGTCCTGGAAACTCTCATCCAGGTCTGCTGGGAATATGACATGGCACAGCCACGTTGGCAGCCAGTTGGGCAGTGGCTCACAAAGCTCAATGGACTTGAACCACACGTCCCCAAGGTGTCACAGATATTGAACCCACTGATTTGAAAACTGACATCCACATGAAACCTGCATGCCACGTTCACTGCTTGATTCCTCATCAGTCACACACGAAGCCTTCGGGGATGGCCTTCAACACGGGAATGGGGAGAGACAGTCTGGTCCTCCTTTCAAACAGAAGACCCAGTGAGAAAAGGGAATGAGCCAGTGATGCCCGCAGGAATGTGGGTGGATCCTAGATGCATTTTGCTAAGGGAAAGAAGCCAGACCCAATAAGCTACCACAGTAGGATTCCCATTCCTAGGCCATTCTGGAAAAGACCAAACCATAGGGACTGAGAAGCAGTCTGGGTGGCCAGGGGCTGACGGATCGGGGAGAGGCTGGGTGCATAGGGGAAACCCTGGAGATTTGAAAGATCAGGAGTCACTCCAGGAGGGGCTGGAGTGGTGGCCGGGAGACTCTGCACACTGGTTTGGAACCGTGGAGGAACTGTACACCCAAAGACTGAACTGGCGTGTGTGCAAACTGAAAAAAAAAAAAAATCATTCAGAGTGAAAAGGATCGGTCAACTCCCTGTACAACTGGGCTATTTGCATGTCACAGATGTGGATTTTACTGAAACATTTCTTCAATAATCTCAGGCCCTGAAAGTTCACTGCTTATCTGGTGAATCATCTGAACCTGAAATGGGATTTGTTTTTAGGATTTGTAGACAAAGTGAAACTAACAGCATCTGCACAAACCAAACCCTAGCCCCCTTTCTCTGTTTCCTAGGCAGCGGGAACTATTCTACATCCTTGTGGCATATTCAGAGTATAACCCGGTGAGTATTCCCGGCAGTGAGGTTCCTGGGCCATATTTCCATATTCACAGGAGTGGGTGTCTGATGGGGGTGTCGTTGCTTCTTTTAAAGTTAGTATTTGTGACCCACCAGGATATAGGAGGTAGGATTCCAGGTCACTGCTGGCATAAACCTCCAAGCAAGGGGGTGGTCTCAAGGGGTCAAGCTGAGACACAAAGGACTTGGGGCCTGGACTCCTGGTGTCACCTGGGCCTGTCACCTGGGCACTTCTCAGAACAAGAAATGACACCCTCCTCCTGGGGCTGCCCCAAAGCCTGGGAGCTTGGCAGTGTCACATGCAGGACGGTGCTCTCAGGAGACAATTTGGACAAGGTGCTGAAGTGCCTGATGGACTTGGCTCTTGTCATGAAATGAATTTGCATCCTGAGGAAGCCTCTTCAGAGGAAGCCTCCCCAGTCACCTCTGCCCTCTCCAATGACATGAGTCCTCCCAGGTGACCTCGGCCCTCCCAGGTGATGTCCTTCCATGGCGATTCTGGCTCTTGCAGGAGGTGGGCTACTGCAGGGACCTGAGCCACATTGCCACCTTGTTTCTCCTTTATCTGCCTGAGGAAGATGCATTCTGGGCACTGGTGCAGCTGCTGGCCAGTGAGAGGCACTCCCTGCCGGGTAGGTGAACAGCTGCCCGTGGGGCCTCATGCAGCCAGATCTGGGGACAGCCACCGTGGCCAGGTGATCTCGGCTTTCAGCCAAGGCACCATCCTTGTGTCGCCAGCTTGTTGGGAGCCTTTAGGACGTCTCTGCTGAGGGTCCCACAGGAGTCCGCAGCTGACCCCCACAGCCCAAGTCAAATGCCTTTCATCCCCATCAGCAGAGGGCATCTCATCCTCCCCGTGGCCACCCTCTGTGTCCTGGAGCCACGCCCTCCGGCTCTGACTCTGTGCAGCTGACTCTCCCCTCCCTGAGAGTCCTCCTGCCCTCCAGCTGCCCAGGCTCCTGCTGCCCTTGGTGCCCACGAATGGGCTAACCAAGCCCAGGTGGCAGCATCTCCCCATCCCGTGTCCCCTGGCCCAACCCCACTTCCACAAGATGACCAGGAAGCCCAGCACCCACCGTGTTCTGGCTGCTCTGTTGTGACCTCAAAGTCAGGCTTGCCCTTTTTGCACCCTAGCCCAGGAGGCCTCCAGGGGAACCTCCAGCCAGGCTCCAGGGGATGTTCTTGTCCCACCTCCCCAGGGCAAAGGCCGCATGGTGGGGTCACCAGATGGGAGGGTGGGAGGCCTTCGGGTTTGGGGGCCTCTGCAGCTGCCCAGCTCTTGCAGCTGATGGCTCCACATCTTGGGGGAAGGCTCTGATTTCATGATGGGCTGGGGGCTTCTCAGGATTCCACAGCCCAAATGGCGGGACAGTCCAGGGGCTCCAAGACCAACAGGAGCATGTGGTACCCAAGTCACAACCCAAGACCATGTGGCATCAGGTGAGTTTATTGTCCCCTTGGCTCTTCTCAGAGGCCTTGCCTCCCGTGGGGCTGTAGGAGCAGGGGGACTGGAGACCCTCGTGGGACTGGTGACTGGCGGAGTCCCAGCCAGGGCCTGACCTGAGACGTCGGGTTCTCCATGGGCTGGGAGTTTGTTTCCTTTCCTGCCCTGGAGGAGACAGAGGCACAGGGATGGGGGCCCCGCTCCCGCAGAGCAAGTCAAAGGTCAGTGTGTCCACTGAGAGTGTGGGAAGGGGACAGTGTTGTGGGGAGCTCTGGACACCGCCCAGTGTTCTGCACTAGGGGAAGGGTCTTCAGAGGCCCTGGAAGATGGAGGTTTTTAGGGCAGCCCAGGGGGCCCTGAGCACCTCTGTTCCTCCCATCAGGACAAGGAAGGTCTATGCGGACAGTGTTCCTCATTAGGCTGCCTTCTCCGGATGTTGATTCAAGGGGTAAGGAGGCATAGGGAGACCCTGGCTCAGGGACCCTCCTTGCCCTGCAGTGCCCTGCTTCCCCAGTCCGGGGGTCTGGCTCACTCCCAGCCCACAGGAGGCTCAGGCGGGTCCCCGAAGGACACACAAGCAAAACCCTCTGCCCAAGAGGGGTCATCCCAGGGCAATGGCTGGGGCTCAGGCCCAGCCTCATGGGCAGACTGGGCCAGGACCCAACTTGAGAGGGCTCAGGGAAGCCTCAAGCCCTGGGCAAGCCCCTCTGTCCAGGAGCCACATCCCCACTCAAATGAGTGCCCCCTATGAGGAGCTGCAAGACCTTGTCTGACCCACCATTCTAGATGGCTCAGGCGACCCTCATGGGGAAGGTCACTGACTCTGGAGACTGAAGCCCCAATGTGTGCAGCTTGAGCCACCAGCCCCAGCCTGGAAGGGCCAGGTTGTCTCACACCTGCTGTCCCCACAGATCTCTCTCGGGCTCACCCTGTGCTTGTGGGACATGTATTTGCTGGAAGGACAGGTGTTGATGCCGATCAGAAGCATTGCTTTTAAGGTTCAGAAGAGTAAGTCTATGTGTACCCAGTGGGGCCTGGGGAGCCCTGCGGTCAGACCCGACTGGCCCAAGGGCAGCTTCCTCACACTGTCCTCATGATCCTCTGTTCTGGCCCAGAGGGAGGTCTGGCCAGGTGGGCTTGGGAAGGGCACTGTGATGCCGAGCCCATCCCTCACATGACCCAGATGAAAGTCAGGAGTGTGGTGAGCACTTCCCTGTCCAGATCACCCCCCAGCCACAGTCTCCTGTGTACATCTGGACGCCTGGGGTGGCCACAAAAGGATCCGGCACGGCCCAGTGGGAGACTGAAGTGGCCACGGGGTATGAGCTGTGACCATTCCCAGGTAACTGTCCTGGCCTGATATCCACCCTGTCCCTAGAGCGCCTCATGAAGACATCCAGGTCTGGCCTTTTGGCATGTTTTCGGAACCAGTTCTTCCATACCTGGGCCACGGATGATGACACTGTGCTCAAGCATCTTAGGGCCTCTACGAAGAAACTAACAAGGAAGCAAGGGGACCTGCCACCCCCAAGTGGGCTCCAGTGCCATGTCCCCTCCCATGTCACCCTCTGGGGCAGTCAATAGTGGGCGAGTGCCCCGGACCAGCAACCCTACTACCTGGGCCTTCCTCTTCACCTTTTCTTCCTTCTCTTCCTCCTGGACTCTAAGAAAGTACAGGAGGCCCACCAGTCCTCAGGGCAGGCGCTCAGTGTGTGTATACCAGACATGTTGTGTACGCAGGAGGGGGATGTGGGCAAGAGCCTCCAACAAGCCCCCTCCCACTTTCCACGGTGTCTCGCTCTGCCCCTCACAGGGCCCTCAAAGTTACTAGAGGAGCCAGACCCATTTGTGGGAGACCCCCCCACTCCCTACAAGCACCCACAGCCTCAGAGAGCAGCAGAGGCCCCTCACTCCTGCACCTCCTCCAAGGTTGCCAGGACAACAAGCCTTGAGCAAGGGAGACAAGGGAATTGGGTGTCCCTGACCCACAGGGCATTCAGGGAGAGGGCACAGGCAGGACCATTTTCTTGTCTACTTGATTTTAGAGTCAGTTCTTACTATTAGGCAGCTACTAATTAGTTGATATTAAAACCAGCCCTCGTTTAGGCATTTTACTTTGATAATATAGTTTTTATTATTTAGGCATTTTATAAACTTAACCTTTCTCTTGCTATCTCCCCAGAAAGATGACAAACCTGCATTTATAGTTTTGCAGCTACAGATAATTGTACAAGTAACTAAATATGTGGAATTGTTAATTTGTGTCAAGCACTGTACTAGGCATATTATATACATAATTTATTTACTCTAGATAGCCCAGTATAAAGTAGTTACCATTATAATCCACATTTTTCAGATAAGGAAAATGAGGCACAGAGAATTTAAGAAATATATATAAGTTACACTAGTAGGATGTAGCAAAACCCACATTTAAACCCACATTTCTCCCCAAAGAGCTTAAACTCCTAACTTTTATGTTATACTGATTTGGTACTTATCACTTTTGAGTCTCAGTTTTCTCATCTAGGAAGTATACTACTTCATTTGTTCATTAATTCATTCAGTCGTTTCATTGTCTACCACGTGCTAGGCTATACGGAGGTGCAGGCACAAGGATTAACCAGGAAGAAAACAGACTGTGTGTGCTGTCAAGGGCATAACTTTCCAGTGAGAGGAGTCAGAGAGCCAGGAAGTAAATGACTGTAATGTCATGTGGTGACAAGAACTTTTATGAAAAATGAAGTAGGCTAAAGTAGAGAGAAAGTGTTGTATTAGAAGCACATTTTACATCATATGTGGAAAATTCTGGTAATGAGATATTTGAATAGCAAGAAGAAGATTCTAGGCAAAAAGTAAGACAAAGCTTAAGTAGGAGGATGTTCTGGGAAGAACGTGCCCATCAGTGAGGCCAGAGCAAAGTGCACAACGGGAGGATGGTAGACGACAGTTTCAGAGCAATGCCAGGAGCTAAATAATGCCAGGCCTTGGGAGACATTGTGGTCAGTTACTGTCCAACCAGGAGGCTGAAACTGCACAGTAATTTGAATAAGGAAAATTGAAAGTAAATAACTGTTAACTATTTCAGGGAATTCTCTCTTAAAGCAGGGGTGTCCAATCTTTTGGCTTCCCTGGGACACATTGGAAGAATTGTCTCGGGCCACACATAAAATACATGAACACTAATGATGGCCAATAAGCTAAAAAAAAAAAAAAAATCACAAAAAACCTCATAGTGTTTTTCTGTTTGTTTTGGGTTTTTGTTGTTGTTGTTTGGTTTGGTTTTTGTTTTTTGGGTTTTTTTCTGATACGGAGTCTCGCCCTGTTGCCAGACTGGAGTGCAGTGGCACCATCTCGACTCATGGCAACCTCTGCTTCCTGGGTTTAAGCAATTCTCCTGCTTCAGCCTCCCGAGTAGCTGGAACTACAGGCACACGCCCAGCTAATTTTTGTATTTTTAGTAGAGATGAGGTTTCACCATGTTGGCCAGCATGGTCTCGATCTCTTGATCTCATGATCTGCTTGGCTCGGCCTCCCAAAGTTCTGGGATTACAGGTGTGAGCCACTGCACCCAGCCTGTTGTTTTGTTTTTTTGGACAGAGTCTTAACTCTGTCACCCAGGCTGGAGTGTAGTGGCATGATCTCGGCTCACTGCAACCTCTGCCTCCAGACTCAATCAATTCTTGTGCCTCAGCCTCCTGAGTAGGTGGGATTACAGGCATGTGCCACCACACCTGGCTAATTTTTGTACTTTTAGTAGAGAGACGGGTTTTCACCATGTTGGCCAGGCTGGTCTTGAACTCCTGAACTCAAGTGCTCTGCCTGCCTCGGCCTCCCAAAGTGCTGGGATTATAGGCATGAACCACTGGCACCCAGCCAAAAATCTCATAGTGTTTTAAGGAAGTTTACAAATTTGTGTTGGGCCTCATTCAAAGCAGCCCTAGGCTGTGGGTTGGACAAGCTTAGGAAAGGCAAAGCAAACACACACACAAAATAGGGACAGCAAATTCACGGAGCTGCCAATGTGCTCTCCAGAGCTTCAGGCAAGCACTGCAGGAAGAAACAAATCTGGAAGAATCTCCCACACACACCAGAAGTGAGTGCTAGACCTCCTTGGAGAGGGTGAGGATGTAGCCTGCTAGACAGCAGAGAATTTTGCTGAGTTTCTACACTGACAAAACACTGGAAAACTGCTCCCCTAAGTGCTGCTTGTGACCTGCTCTGTCCCCAGAGAGGTGATGGCCAGGGTTGGCTGCTGTCCCCCACAAGAGCAAGGTAAGAGGAGCACTCAGAACTAGAAAGAGCCCCAACCTTCTCCAGCGTCCCTTTAGCAGATGCTGCAGATGAAGTTTCACACCGTGCCACAGAAAAGGCAAAGCCGGCAAGCAAGGTAAAGGGGGGAGGTTTGGAACTGATGGTAATCAGCTCAACAGTGCAAGAAAAATGAGTTTTCTTTTGAAAAGACGTTCAACATCACTGATCATTAGAGAAATGCAAATCAAAACCACAACGAGCTACCACCTCACACTAGTCAGAATGGCTATTACTAAAAAGTCAAAAAATAACAGATGCTGGCAAGGTTGTGGAGAAAAAGGGAACACTTAGGCACTGTTGGTGGGAGTGTAAATTAATTCAGCCATTGTGGAAGACAGTGGCAATTCCTCAAAGACCCAAGACTGAAATACCATTCAATGAAGCAATCCCATTACTGGGTGTATACCCAAAGGAATATAAATCATTTTATTATAAAGACATATGCATGTGTATGTTCATTCCAGCACTAGTCACAATAGCAAAGACATGGAATCAACCCAAATACCCATCAACGATAGGCTGGATAAAGAAAATGTGGTATATACACACCATACACCATGGGGTACTATGCAGACATAAAAAAGAATGAGATCGTGTCCTCTGCAGGGACATGGATGGAGCTGGAGGCCATTATCCTTAGCAAGCTTATAAGTGGGAGCTAAATGATGAGAACACATGGACACATAGAGGGGAATGACAAACACTGGGGCCTTTCGAAGGGTGGAGGGTGGGAGGAGGGAGAAGAGCAGAAAAAAAAAAATAGTGGGTACTAGGCTTAATACCTGGATGATGAAAGAATCTATACAACAACCCCCATGACACAAGTGTACCTATGGAACAAGCCTGCGTATGTACCCAGACCTTAAAAGTTAAATTTTTAAAAAAAAATAAAAGATGAGTTTTGCCCTCATTCAAAGAATTTGAGCCAAAGGGTGACATTTTAAATGATATTTTTGAAAAATCGGCTAGATGGCTTCATGGAAAGACAAAAGGAACAATAGAAGGAGTAAAAAGCATCTAGAAGGACAGGCTACTAATCGAGACCTGAGATGACAGATGGGAAGGGGTGGAAGCAGTAGACCTGTAAGAGATGCTTGGATTCACAAAAGGTTTTTTTTTTTTTTTTTTTTTTTTTTTCAGTGCAGTGGCGAGATCTCGGCTCACTGCAAGCTCCACCTCCCAGGTTCACGACATTCTCCTGCCTCAGCCTCCCGAGTAGCTGGGACTAAAGTTGTCCACCACCATGCCTGGCTAATTTTTTGTATTTTTCGTAGAGACAGGGTTTCACTGTGTAGCCAGGATGGTCTCGATCTCCTGACCTTGTGATCCACCCTCCTCGGCCTCCCAAAGTGCTGGGATTACAGGCATGAGCCACGGCACCCAGCCTCATTTGCTGTTAAACTCATTTATTGAGTCACCTTTTTCTTCCTCACACTTTTTAGTCTTAGAATTTTTGTGTGTTTTTATTTACCCTAACCTGTCAATTTCATAGTTTCCACTTTCTTGTTGAAGTTTCCAAACTTGACCTCATGCCTTTGAATATACTAATTCTAGTTGCTTTGACACATTTTTTTCTTTTTCCTTGGCATCTGTTTATTCCTTCTCACAGTGTCTTTTTTCTTCATTGACCCTCACATCTTTGAGCAAATGTACAAAATATAGTGGGTGAACAACTGGTTTTGTCTGTCTTTAGAGGCCCAACTAATGTTTTCTTTCTCAAATGATTGCTATTTGCTCATGCAGAAGTATAAGGACAGTCAAATTCTGAATTACTTTCATAAAAATTTGGAGTTGGAACCTTTTTGGGCACTCAGTTGGAGAGCAGCCAGCCTGCTGTGGTGACTGGGTGAATTCTGGTTCCTTCTCACTGCTTTAATGTACCAGCAGCTTTTGATATCCATGACCAAACTGGGGGCCTCTGCAAGACTAGCAGAGGTTTAACACAACCTGGTAGATATCCCATCTGAAGTAATAAATGGCTCCAGGGCAAAGCAGCTCTTATTTCTCTAAATGCTGTTTCTCTCCAAATCTTAGCCTGACAATTCTTAGCTGTGCATTAACTCAGTTAGTGTTAAAAAATAATAATAAATTATTACCTCTTATTTATTTTATTCATTTATTTATTTTATTTTTATTTTTTTGTGATGGAGTCTTGCTCTGTCACCCAGGCTGGAGTGCAGTGGCACAATCTCGGCTGACTGCAACGTCCGCCTCTGAGAATCAAGGGATTCTCCTGCCTCAGCTTCCCGAGTAGCCGTGACTACAGGCGCACGCCACTACTAATTTTTGTATTTTTAGTAGACACGGGGTTTCGCCACGTTAGCCAGGCTGGTCTCAACCTCCTGACCTCAAGTGATCCACCCACCTCGGCCTCCCAAAGTGCTGGGATTATAGGCGTGAGCCACTGTGCCAGGACCTGATTTGTTTTAAAATGTTATTTTACATACAAAACCTAATTTAAATTATTCTAGGATACCTAATCTGTCTTTATCAGAAGCATAAGTCTGACATTTATTCATCATAAAAAATGGTATTTGAAATTTTCTCTCACTTGTGTTGTTTTGTTGTTGACCTCACAAAATTATCTTATAAAAATGTTCTTGATTATGTCTGATAATATTGTTTTATTTGACAAATAATTTTTTCTTTGCGCCATTCTTGAAACTTTTATATTGTAACGTTAGATGAAAAGAATTAAGAACTATCTTAAACTGGTGTTAGAAAGCAGTGCTTACTAAGGACCTATGTGTTAAAAGAGAAATGGCACTATTTGTCAAAATGTCTACACAACCACCTAATTTGAATGTATGCTACACTGCAAATAAAATGTTTATATTTATAAATGTCTTATTTTTTGTCACAGCGTAGACTGAATTGGAGAAGGAACAAAGAAATCTGTAACCGGTGTGATCAATCAGTTGTAAACACCAGCCTCCAAATTACCTGTTATTAATTGTTGGTACTGAGCGTTCACAGTGAAATAGAACCATCAGAAAACATGGGCAAATAAAATTATTAAAAATTCATCTCTATGATGTGCCATGTTCTGAATAGGCAGTTTCTGAGTGTCTGGGCCATCTGTACAAGAAAGAGAGTTGTTATTTGGTCAAGGACACGTGCATTTTTCAGTCTAGAAGAATGTCATCATTTTCTTGAGGTAATTGCAATGTTCCTACTCTGTATCAAACAGCAAATACCTCTGATTCCTAAGGCAACAGCATAGTTATTATTTGATTTTTTCCAAGTGAATAAAATGAAAAATGAAATGTTGTGTCACAATCCCAAAACACTGCTGGCATATGGAATAGTTGAGATGATAGAACATGATTTGACAACTCCAAACTGAAAATATCTATCCAAGCAGTTGCACTCCTGAAAAACTATTATATTGTCTGGCAAAAGACTCTCTCATGATAGGAAGGTTTTCTAGATATTTCTAGAAATAGAGACAGGGATAAAACTTTATGTGGCCCCAAGAAAAGGAATCAGAATTGAGTATTGTCAATGATTGCTTATGGGCTTGAGAATTAAGAAAAAAAGGACCCCTCCCCACAGGTACCAACAGTTACATAACCACGGGTGCCATGGAACTAATTTGACATACTGAAACAATTTTCTATAATCATTCAGATTTCTGACAAATCAAAATATAACTATCAAATTCATACTTATGTTAGTTACAAGTCAAATCTTATTTTTAAAAAATCCAAATTCTTTGAAGATTTATCTTAACAATGACAAAGCAATTGACTGGGAAGTAGTTTTGTTAACCATTCAATTGACTATTTGACCTAAGAATGTTGTATGTATATATATTTAATTTCTATTAAACAAATGAACATATTTGTTTATACCATATAGTTATAGTTTGACTTTTTTTAAGAATTCAACCAAAACCATCAATCCTGAAGTATCAAACTCCAGTGACTTCAGCAATTCTACTTTAGAATTCAGTTATTTGGTAACAAATGTAAGTAAAATATTAATAATTTCAGCCAGACGCAGTGGCTCATGCCTGTAATCTCAGCACTTTGGGAGGCTGAGTTGGGCGGATCATGAGGTCAGGAGATCGAGACCACGGTGAAACCCCGTCTCTACTAAAAATACAAAAAATTAGCCGGGTGTGGTGGCGGGCGCCTGTAGTCCTAGCTACTTTGGAGGCTGAGGCAGGAGAATGGTGTGAACCTAGGAGGCGGAGCTTGCAGTGAGCTGAGATCTCGCCACTGCACTCCAGCCTGGGCAACAGAGCAAGACTATGTCTTAGAAAAAAAAAAAAAAAAAAATTAATAATTTCATGGTAACCCTCTTCACTTTTTTCAAAATCAGAACAACAACATTTTACCTTTGCTGATTATTAAGGAATGTTCTCAGTATCATCTAATATTTATGTTCTTGCAAATGCAAGCACTGAACACTGGTATTTTAAATAACATCTTGTTTTTAAAAATCATGTATCTTTCATGCATCTGTAACCATCTGATCAATGATCAGAAAACGGAAAAGTCAGTATCACTAGGATTCTCTCAGAGAGTCACATTTAATTGGCTGGGCCCCGTTTGAATTTCCATCTAGAATCTTCTGAGATTAATGTAGAAGTAATCACGGTGCATAAAAGCAGCTTAAAATACTGGACATAGCTTCAGTATCAGAACACTTTCAACTATAGTGTGACGTGCACAATTGCTTTATTTTTCTTGAATATTTTCTTTTCCACTTGGTTAAGAATTTAGCAGATTGTGCTTTTCTGGAGAAAAAAAACCAATGTTGGAAACCAAGTTTTATTTAACAAAATTAAGTGATTTAAGCACAGAGAGATTTTGAACTTAATTCTACAGTATGTGTTTCACAACAAATTTCCTTGTATTAACGGTACGCCATTTCATACACAGAGCAAGTTCGAGCACCGCAGAACACAGCTAATTTTGCTAATGTATCACAATTACAGAAATAGCTGTGCTAAATGAACTTGTCCTATTTTCATGAAAATGAACAGTGTTCAATAACCCTCAAAATATTTTATTTCATGCTGATTCAGATTTTCTCTAACCATTTTTTTCTGTGACTTTGCTTCCACAATAACATAGAATGTTTTTAAAAAGGCATATGTAGTTTGTTTTCATATATATTTTCCAGATATTCTTTCTTAAGAAAGCATGGTAACTTGCAGTTATTACCATGCGTATCTTTTTTTTTGGCAAAAGGATATAATTTGTTTTAAAAAGCCAATCCAAACACTGTCCTATGTGTATATAGGGTGGCCATGCTGTTAAATTTGCACATAGACTGTCAGTGACTGAGGATGACCCAAATTGCAACTTCCTGTTTTAATGTTGCAAATGTTGCCTATGCCTGATGGTGTGTCAAATACCCAAAGCTTGCATGGAGGGACCTAACAATGGACCTTTTCACAGCTGTGTTTCCAGAATCTTTATTGACTTTACTTCATAGTATACAATAAGATGAAAACAAAACGCAAACCGCCTGATTTCCAAGAGCTTATTTAAAACCAAAACCACCATGTGAGACTTAGTATAGTACACATTAGATATGGATGACATTTCTGCAGTAAGTCATTGTAAGTCTAGTAAATATCCAGATGATAACATCTATTTAAGAACAGCACTGATAATTATATACGAGGAGGTCATGTTAAGTATTCCACAACAAATTAAAGAGATGATGTCCATGAAGTTATCTATGTTACTCTATATAACAGATGGAAAAAGCTTGGGTAATATTCAGTGCGGATACTGACTTGTGTTCCTGACTCATAGGCAGTGCTCAGACACATTTAACCCACTGTCTGACAGAATGAATGAACGTGTGCTGTAAGTGAACCCGTTCTGGGCATGAGGTTAATTATTTTCTATGAGAGTACATTAAATCATTTTCTTTTCCAAGGGTAAATGAAGCCTTCAATTTGATTGAATAAAATACAAGATGTGCACCACCATGCCCGGCTAATTTGTTTATTTTTGTACAGGCAGGGTTTCACCATGTTGCCCAGGCTGGTATGGGACTCCTGAGTTCAAGCCACCCACCTGCCTTGGCCTCCCAAAGTGCTAGGATTACAGGTGCGACCCACTGCACCTGTCCTAAAAGACAGATTTTGCTTAATTTCTACACTTGATGTTCTGGTACAGACATTTGCTTGGAAATACAGTATAGTTAGCGGAAGCCTTTTCATGGGGAAATAAGATATCAGTAAGTATTCCAGGATTTTAA
Source organism: Homo sapiens (assembly GCF_000001405.40). NCBI lineage: Eukaryota > Metazoa > Chordata > Mammalia > Primates > Hominidae > Homo > Homo sapiens. Next base: position 20,534,474 of record NC_000017.11, on the reverse strand, counting down.
ACTAGAATACAAAAGAAGAAAATATTTAAAATAAACTATAGGGTAATATAAAATGTATTTACATCCTTACATTTAACTGCTTATTTTACAAGCAATAAGTTATCATTCACCAATTAATAATTTATGTCAAGTTCACCTGTATTAATACACATAAACTTCTATGAAGTTCCATAATGCCAAATAAAAAAGGAACATTTAGGTTTAACATGTTATTTTATATAGGCATAACGCAACACCAGCATTACAGGATTGCATTTACAAATTCTCTTGACTCTAAGCATGAAATTATGTTAAAAGACTAAGGCAATTTAACTGTTTTTGGGTTTTTTTATATTAAGGAAACCTAAATTTGTATGAGTGAATTAAATTGAATTACATTTTCTTATAGGCATATCAGTTTACCCTTTGTTAAAATAACACGCACTGCCCTACAAAATGAATGCCGTAGTCACAATCATGTTTCTGCCACAATCTTAAAGATTTGGGGAAACAACTACAATCTAAAATCAGAGACTCCATGTCCAATGCCAAAGGTACACACCTCTATTTTTCCCCAATAAGCTTCTTGGAAAAGTCTTTGAATTACACGTTAAAGTGCACTTCAAGGAAATGTGATGTTTTCGTTTATAGCTGGTGAACAGCATGCAATTTGACAGCACTGTCACTAACAATCAGAGACTGCTCTGGATCTAAGTACTAAAAATGACCCACACTGCAATCACAAGATATTTGGAAGTGGGAATTTATTGAACAAAGTTAGGCCGGGAGTCTAAAGCAGCACTTGCTTCTTTTGCTCCAAGACGACGACGTTTAACATTAGCATCACTATTGTTTCTTTTTCCCTCAACTCTTCTCCCACACTGCCTTCTTCTCCCCCACCACCTTCTCCCATCGTCTTTCCCCGCTTCCCTTCTCCCTCCCTCCGCTCCCCCTTCTTCTCCCAGCACTCTTCTCAGCCCGTCTTTCTGCCTTTTTCTTCCCCTCCCCACCTCGTTCCCTGCCTCATCCTCTTCTCTCCCACCCATCTTTTTCCCCTCTCCATCTCTTTCCCCAAGGTCGTCTTCGCCGCTTTCCCCTCCCTTCTTCTTCCCCCCAACCCTCTTCCCTCCTCCCTCCCCATCCTTTTCTTCCCTTCACCCCTTTTCCAGTCTTCTTCCCCACCTTCTGCCCTTTCCCTCCCCTCTCCTTCCCTCCCCTCTCCTTCCCGACCCTTCTCCTTTCCCAACGTCTTCCCACCTTTTTCTCCCCTCTCCGTCTTCTCCCCTCCTTCTTCCCCACTGCGGTCTTCCCGCATCCTCTTCTGCCGTCTCCCTACTGTCTTCTTCCCGCACCTTCTTCTCCCCCGCAGTTTTTTTTCCCCTTCCCCACCGTTTTCTTCCCCTCAGTCTCTCCCATTCCTCGCAGCACGGGTTCCTGTGGCGGCAGCTTTTCCTTCCATCTCCTTCTCTCCACCCGCTGGCTTCCAGTCTCCACCTTCCCGCCTATTCCCCCAGCAGCGTCTTCCCGCCGCTCCCTCTTCTCCCCTCCCCCTCCTCACCGTCTTCTCCCGGCCTATTACCGCCAACCGTTTTCTTCCTCACCCCGCACCCTTTTCTTCCCATGTCTGCCTTAGTCTTCTTCCCACCCTCTTCTCCTCTCCCCATCGCCTTCTTCCCACCCTCTTCTCCTCTCCCAATCGTCGTCTTTCCCAGCCTCTTCTCCATTTTCTTGCCGCCTCCATATCCCCACCTTCTCGCAGCAGCGTCTTCCTGCCGCGCTTTTCTCTCCCCTCACCATCTTCTCTTCCTCTTCCCCACCGTCCTCTCCCCACGCCCTCTTCTCCTCACTGTCTTCTCCCCGCGCCTTCCCCACAACCGTTTTGTCCCCCGTTTTCTTCCCCTCACACCGTTTTCTTCCCATGTCCTCCCACCGTCTCGCAGCAGCGTCTGTCAGTCGCAATCTTCTTCCCACTTTCTTCTCTCCCCCTCCCATCGTCTTTTTTCCCCAGCCTCTTATTCTCCGCCATCTTCTTCCCCTCCCCACCTTCTCGCAGCAGCGACTTCCTGCCGCGTTTTTCTCTCCCCGCACCCTCTTCTCCCCTCTTCCACTCCCCACCGTCTTCGCCCCCGATCGTCTTCTTGCCCACCCCCTTCTCGCGCTCTCCAACTGCCTTTCACCTAGAAGCGCTCCACGCGTGCGCCCGCCTGTGTCCCTGCGCCTGGTGTGTCTGTGCGCCCAGCCAGCCCCATGAGCTGGGCCCCTGAGCTCCGCCCCAACAGCCAACAGGAGACCCAGGAGAGTCGCTGCCAGGGCCATCACGGCTGCCGCCGCCCCCGCCCCCGCCGCTACCTCAGAACTGAACAGTGTTGGCTGCGGGCGAAAGACAGTGGGGCCCGGAAGACTGCGGGGAGAGGGGGAGGAGGGGACGGAGAGGGTGGGAAAGACCTTGGAAAGTGGGATGGGGAGAAAGGTGGGGAAGAAGACAGTGGGGAGAAAGTGCAGGGAGAAGACAGTGTGGTAGAGAAGACAGTGGAGGAAAACGGTGAGGAGAAAGGAGGGTGGAAAAGAAGACGATGAGGACAAGGCCGGGCGCGGTGGCTCACGCCTGTAATCCCAGCACTTTGGGAGGCTGATGCGGGCGGATCACAAGGTCAGGAGTTCGAGACCTGCCTGACCAACATGCTGAAACCCAGTCTCTACTAAAAATACAAAAATTAGCTGGGCGTGATGGCGAGCGCCTGTAATCCAGCTACTCCAGCGCCTGAGGCAGGAGAATCGCTTGAACCCCGGAGGCGGAGGTTGCAGTGAGCTGAGAACTCACCATTGCACTCCAGCCTGGATGACAGAGTGAGACTCCATCTCAAAAAAGAAGAACAAACTACAGCGGGGAGAGGGCGAGGGGAAGAAGATAGTGGGGGAAAAAGAGCACCGAGAAAGGGAGAAGAGATGGGGAGAGCTCTATTGTGTCACTGAACATTCCTCAGTTAAAGTTAAAATGTTCTCATAAGTTTGTGTGTTTTCAACTTTTGCTCTTCCAGTTGGTATATTCTTTTCTTCCTCCATCTCCTTTTTATAACTCCAACCACCTTTCTCTTTTTATTTTCCAATGTTTTTCTTTCTTCTAAGAACATTCTTAACGCTGGTAACACTTTACAATGTTGCAAAGCTCTGAATCCTATTTCCTGTCATCTCTTCATGCTTTCCCTTTGAGATATCAGGAGATTTTCCTCCTATTACTTTGTTTACACTAGGAACATTTCAGCGTGGCTAGACCTGTTTTCTACCTAATTTTTTTCAACTTCAAGCTTGAGAAACCCAAATATGCTCCTGGTTTTTGTTGTTGTTGTTGGTTTTTTTTTTTTTTTTTTTTTTTTTGAGACGGAATCTCTCTCCTGCCCAGGCTGGAGTTCAGTGGCAAGATCTCAGCTCACTGCAAGCTCCGCCTCCCAGGTTCACGCCATTCTCCTGCCTCAGCCCCCCTAGTAGCTGGGACTACTGGCGCCCGCCACCACGCCCGGCTAATTTTTTGTATTTTTTTAGTAGAGACGGGGTTTCGCCATGTTGCCAGGCTGGTCTCGATCTCCTGACCTCGTGATCCGCCCGCCTTGGCCTCCCAAAGTGCTGGGATTACAGGCATGACCAAATGTGCTCCTTTACCAATTGTTTCTGTCTCAGGAATTGGTTTCTTGTTGCACTGTGATACACATGAAGCCATATACCTTTTTCAGCTCATTATCCCCAGAATGTATTTGTACATTATTAACACAGAATAGACACCTAATAAATATTTCTAAATTTTTATTGTTCTTCCTTGCCACAAAACAGCAATCACTTTTTTTTAGCATGATGTACATGCCCTTCTATCATCTTGCCCTGAACTATTTATCAAATCTTATTTCTTCCCACTCCCCCATTTGTTTCCCGTGCTGTGGCTGTACAGAACTACTTAGAGCTCTGTCAACTCTCCATGCTATTTTATAATAATCAACACTAATGAAAAGAAAGGGGGCTTTATAACAGAGGCAGAACTCATTATGTTCTAAAAAATACACGCATGTTTCCCATGTTGAATAGTGTCCCGCAGAAAGTCATGTCCAGCTGGAACCCAGGAATGTTAAACTATTTGGAAACAGGGTCTCTGCAGATAACACTTAGTTAAGACAAGGTCACAATGCATTAGGGTGGGCTGTAAAGCCAATGGCTGTGTCCTTTCAGGAAGGTCGTGGGAACATACAGAGACCTACAGGGAAGACGGCCATGGGACAAGGGAGGCAGAGTCTGGAGTTACGCTGCCTACAGTCACGGAATGCCAAGGACAGCTGGAAACCACCAGAAGCTAAGAAGGAGATTTTACCTGAAAGCCTCTCAAAGAAATCAATCATACTCACACCTCCTTTTTGAATTTCTGGCCTCGTGAATGGTGAAAAAATAAATTTCTGTCGTCTTAAGCCCCACGGTTTGTAGTCATTTGTTCTGTTCCTAGCCTTAGGAAACTAACACAGCATGCTAAGGGAAAAGAAGAGAATTCTGCATAAAATGTCATTTTACTTTTTAAAACAACTACTGTTGACAGTAAATGAGTATTCTTCCAAGATTCATATGCAGAACATATATGCAGCCCGGAACATTTTTTGGGACCCATGGCATAAGTGATTATGATAGATAAAATCCAAATATTAACCTGCCAAAAGAGTTATTTTTTCTTTTGCAGTCATTTAAAGGTAATAAGCAGAGGTCATGAGCCCTGTAAAAATTAATCTATTCATTTGTTGTCACTTGATACTTACGATCCGTTGACATATTTAGGTTTTAATTCTTTGTACAGATTATGGTTCGTCTTGCACTGTAATTTTATTGCACAACAAATTTTTTATTTATCATATATCTAAGTTGTTTCTTAAACGTGAGTAACATTGCACTTGAAAATACTCAGAAGACTTCTGTCGACGTTCTCGTAACAGCTTCTTCTAGTTAATAAAAACCTAATCCCATTTTCCTATTATGTATAGATTACAAGTAAAATCGGCATTTAAAAAGTAAAATCTGTTCGACAATTTCTATTGCTATTGTAGGTAGTATAACATAAAATGTGTCTTATTTTTCCCTCACTCATTGACAATTTAAGTAAATTTTTTAAACCAAGAAGCTCTTTTCACATACCAGGCCCAGTGATTGGAATTGAGTATTCAGTATTGAACAGAGCAAACAAGTTTCTTATCATTAAGCTCATATTCTATGTTATAAACATTTTTCCAGTGAAATTACTGGAATGTTTTCAAGCAATATTGAATTGTGTTCTTATAATCACCTATCTCCATTTATTGTTGAGAATGAAGAAAATTTTGGAGCATACAATTCAATGCAATGATTTTTTTTTTTTTTTTTTTTTTTTTGAGACAGAGTTTCGTTCTTGCTGCCCAGGCTGGAGTGTAGTGTCACGATCTTGGCTCATTGCAATCTCCACTTCCTGGGTTCAAACAATTCTCCTGCCTGAGCCTCCTGAGTAGCTGAGATTATAGACTTGTGCCACCATACCCGGCTAATTTTTTGTTTAGTAGAGACGGATTTTCACCAGGCTATCCAGGCTCGTCTCGAAATCCTGACCTCAGATGATCCACCCGCCTCAGCCTCCCAAAGTGCCAGCATTACAGGCATGAGCCACTGTGCCTGGCCCAGTGCAATGATTTGATAGTTATTATGGTGGTTTTAAAATGACCTGAGTGAAATATAGTGCTTACATCAATTCCTTATCTGTCATGCATTTCATCTAGTAATCTGCTCTAACTACATTAACATTATTTCTTTTTATTAAATGTCTTGAGATTAAAAAAGATGTTTTGTAGTTATACTCAAGCTTGGAACCATAGTGACCAACTGTTACGGACAGACTGGATTGTATCCCCTTCCAATTAAGTTACGGTGCTGCTACAGAAAGAAAAGAGGTGAACTATTTTTTAAAAGCATTTCTCCATTGGCTTTGAAAATGCCTATATCATCATGAATAGAATGTTGGTAAAATTCTGAAAGCTGAACGCCATTCTGGTGAGATCTCATATGGAAATGAGATGCAGCTTATTAGAAACAGGAGGAAAAGTGATCCTTGTTTTAAAGTGGCAAAGAACTTGGATGTATCATGTTCTAATATTTTGTGAAAGGTAGAACTTTCAAGTGATGAAACTGTATATTTTGCTGAGGAGATTTCTAAGCAAAGTGATGAACGAATGGTGTGGTTTCTCTTTACCACTTATAGTAAAGTGCAAGAGAAAAGAGATAAAATAATACTTAAAAAGGAATCACAGGCCACATGCAGTGGTTCACTCCTCTAATGCCAGCACTTTGGAAGGCCGAGGAGGGCAGATCACTTGAGGTCAGGAGTTGGAGACGAGCTTAGTGAAACCCTGCCTCTACTATTTTTGTAAACATACAAAAAATAGCCAGGTGTGATGGCATGCACCTGTAGTCCCATCTTCTCGGGAGGCTGAGGCATGAGAATCAGTTGAACCTGGGAGGTGGAGGCTGCAGTGAGCTAAGATCGCTCCACTACACAGCAGTCTGGGTGATGGAGCAAGAGTCTGTCAAAAAAAAAAGGAAATCACAGCTTGAATATCTGAAAAATCCTCAGCCTGTCTATATTGCAAAACATAAGAAACATGTTCGGCTGGGCGCGGTGGCTCACGCCTATAGTCTTAGCACTTTGGGAGCCCGAGGCGAGCAGATCACCAGAGGTCGGGAGTTTAAGACCAGCTTGACCAATGTGGAGAAACTCTGTCTCTACTGAAAATACAAAATGAGCCAGGCATGGCGGTGCATGCCTGTAATCCCAGCTATTCCGCAGGCTGAGGCACCAGAATAGCTTGAATCCGGGAGGCGGAGGTTGCAGTGAGCCGAGATCGCACCACTGCACTCCAGACTGAGGGACAAAGTGAGACTCAGTCTCAAAAAAAAAAAAAAAAAAAAGAAAGAAAAAGAAAAAAAAAAGGAAGCAAGCTGGGTATGTGCGTTTAGAGGTGCTGTACCTTTTCAGCATTATAAATGAATAGAGATGAGTGGCAATAGTTACTTTGGTCCATAGATTTTTGGTATCTTAACTAGTTTTGGATCTCTTCCACTAAAGGGATTGCCTGTTGCACGTTGTTAGGAATGTAAATACTGAAGGCAAACTGCCTGGGTTTGAATTTTGTTCTGTCCCTTGCACCCTGCCTGGGTTCAAATACTAGCTCTGCTTATGAAGTTCTTTTATGGTGATGACCTTTGAGCAAATGTCTTAGCTTCTGCTTTCCCAAGTAAATGGACACAATAGTTGCTACCTTGTGAAAGATTCATGTAATTGACCAGTGTTTACCAAGCAGCATCAGTGTTCAGTTTCAGTCGTTGGTGATTCTGCAGTTGGACTGTGAGGGGGTGCTGGGGTGGGGGTGGTGTGTGTGTGTAGCACTTAATTGCATGCGGAAAGGAAAAGATACTTTTTATAACCGAGAGGCAGCTTTTCTCTGCTTTTGTGTCAAAAGGGAAGAAGGGAGTTTGGAGAGGGAAACCAATTCTCTTTAATACTAAGCTCTCTTCTTCAAAATCAGAGGTAGATAGAATGTGTAATAATTTACAGAATTTCTAGACTTCAACAATCTGATTTTTTTTAATGTATTTTTATTTTTTCAGGTTGAGACTGAGCTACAGTTAATCTGTGGCAAGGTGCTGGATGCACTGGACAAACACCTCATTCCAGTAGCTGACACTGGCAAGTCCAAGGTTTTCTATTAGGAAATGTAGGTTCTATACTAGAAAGGAAAATGTAAGATTAAAAGTTGGCCTTTTTAGAATCATGACTTTCTTCTATGTAGGTTTCCAACTTTTATTTAAAAATAATTGTTTAATGTTAGAAGGATAGTCAATGTTGGGATAAAAAGATGGTCAGGCTATTATAAAAAATGCATTAGCTTTTGCTTTACCTATTTATATTCTTTTGCTTTCATGGGACCTATCTCATTCCCCTCCCCTAAACGGCCACACATTTCACAGTGCTGGCTGAATGTTTCATGTAGAAATTTTATTTTATGATTAATACACTTGTGCCATTTCTTGGAACCACTTGCTTGTTTAATTCTAGTCTATCAAGTGATAATTTTGTTGATATTTAGAGGCTCCTCAGTTAATTTCTGTGGGATTTTTCGTTATATTTAATAAGGAAAATAATAGGAAATAGCTAAGAAAAAAAGAAACAAAGCCAATTATTCCTGAGCATGTTTAAAATTATTGAAGTACACTTGTTAATTTTTAGTATAGAACCTACATTTCATAATAGAAAACCTTGGACTTGCCAGTGTTAGCTGCTGGAATAAGGTGTTTGTCCAGTACATTCAGAATGTCGCCACAGATTAACTTTAGCTCAGTCTCAACCTGAAAAAATAAAAATGAATTTTAAAAAATTCAGATTGTTGAAGTCTAGAAATTCTGTAAGTTATTACACATTCTATGTACCTCTGATTTTGAGGAAGAGAGCTTAGTATTGAACAGAATTAGTTTCCCTCTCCAAACTCCATTCCTCCCTTTTGACACAAAAGCAGAGAAAAGCTGCCTCTGGGTCATCAAAAGTATCTTTTCCTTTCTGCGTGCAATTAAGTGCTACACACACACACCACCCCTACCCCACCACCCCATCACAGTCCAACTGCAGAATCACCAATGACTGAAACTGAACACAGATGCTACTTGGTAAACACTGGTCAATTACATGAATCTTTCACAAGGTAGCAACTATTGTGTCCATTTACTTGGGAAAACAGAAGCTAAGACATTTGCTCAAAGAGCATCACTTAAAAGAACTTAATAAGCAGAGCTAGGATTTGAACCCAGGCAGGGTGCAAGGGACAGAACAAAATTCAAACCCAGGCAGTTTGCCTTCAGTACTTATATTCCTAACAACGTTCAACAGGCAATCCCTTTAGTGGAAGAGATCCAAAACTAGTTAAGATACCAAAAATCTGTGGACCAAAGTAACTATTGCCACATACCCAGTTTACTTCTTTTTTTTTTTTTTTTTTTGAGAGGGAGTCTCGCTCTGTCACCCAGGCTGGAGTGCAGTGGTGTGATCTCAGCTCACTGCAATCTCCACCTCCTGGGTTCGTGCCATTCTCCCGCCTCAGCCTCCCGAGGAGCCGGGACCACAGGCGCCCGCCACCACGCCCAGCTAATTTTTTGTATTTTTAGTAGAGACGGGTTTCACCATGTTAGCCAGGATGGTCTCGATCTCCTGACCTCGTGATCCGCCCGCCTTGGCCTCCCAAAGTGCTGGGATTACAGGCGTAAGCCACCATTGCCCAGCCGCTAAACTCTTTAATTTTCAATTACTCCAATTGCTTGAAACTCAAATAGCCATATGGGGCTAGTGGCCACCATTTGGACAGAGTGACTCCAACATTCCATGTGGTGTAATTTTATTTGCTAGCCTTTAGCATCATGTAATGTGATCTTCTTCACTTGTTTTCTGTCTCTGTGACCAGAGCATCAGCTCCTTGAGGTGGGAATTGGTTTGTCTTATCCACTGCTGTATGCTGGGGCTAGAAGTGGGCCTGGCATATAGTAGATGCTCAATATGTAATTGCCGAATGAATGCATGAGTAAATGAATGACTCCTGGGGACCATGAACTCTGAATTTCTCCAAAAGGAATGCTAGTTCTGCCAGGGCTTGCTGCTCTGTGACCTCAAGTCAGGATCTTGCCCTCTCTGGGCTCAGCATCCTGACCAAGGGGCACTGGGGCCCCTCTGGTCCTAAGGCACTGAGACTTACTGCTGCTTACTCTGTCCTGTTGGGAGAAAAGCTGAGTGTTGGGAGAGAAGCTGAGGCAGGGCTTGCATGTCTGCTAGACTTGCTGGCTCCTTGCTTCTAGCACTCCCATTATCTCAAGTAGCCACATGTTTCAAAGAAAATGCTACACCATCGCAGCTGTAGCTCACTCACTTGATACATTGATTCCTTTAAACCCCCACAGCCTCACCACCTGTTTCTTTGTTTGAGCACAAATAAATAGCCTGGGCTCCCTGTGTACCCATTGTTCTCACTTAATACATGAGAACATGCAATATTTGGCTGTTTCTGTGTTAATTCACGTAGGATAATGACCTTCAGCTGCATCTGTGTTGCTGCAAAGGACATGATTTTGTTCTTTTTTATGACTGCCTAGTACTTTGTGGTGTATATGCACCACATTTTCTTTATTTAATGAACCGTTGGTGGATACTTACCTTGGTTCCATGACCTTGCTGTTGTAAGTTATGCTGCGATAAACATGGGAGTGCAGTGCCTTTTTATATAATGATTTCTTTCCCTTTGGGTAGATACCCAGTAGTGGGATTGCTGGGTCGAAAGGTAGTTGTACTTTTAGTTCTTTGAGATACCTCCCTACTTTTTCCATAGAAGTTGAACTAATTGACACCTACCACCGCTTGCTGGAGGTTGAGGACGCCCAGTGAGTGTGCACCCGGGCTGGAGAAGGCAGGAGGTATGGCCCGGAAAAGAGACACAGAAAGGTAATCCAAGAGGGCTTTCTGGAGGAGGTGGCAGCTGAGCCTAGAGGTGAATTTCGTTGGGGAAGAGGGAGTGAGGCCTAGGCAGCTTAGGCCATGACCCCCATGGTGGGAGATGGCTGCATAAGGGTCTCTCTCCTGGCATCCGTCTTTACCCATGCCTGGGCATCCTACCCCCATCACCCTTTAACCCCCGAGGGCCTTGGCTGGGTCCCAGAAATTCCCAGGAGGGTCAGAGAAGACCACGGGGACTCTCATCACCCCCACCCTGGCTCACTTCCAAAAAGGCTGCAAGAAGGATGTTGGAGGGTCTCCTGGAGGCTGCCAAGGGCATTTTCTCATGGAGCCCACATCTCTCCCCGATCGTGGTGGCTGTGATCGGTAATTCCAGCTTCATACTGGCTACAGGTGGATGATGCCCACCTGGCTGCCGATGACTTCTGCACCAAGTGAGGCTGGGTCTCTGGAGCTGCCCCAGGGGCTGGACAAGCTGACCCTGCCTGGAGCCAACCTGGAGATGCAGCCTGAGAACCTCAAGGAGGACCTGGTCTACCTGAAGAAGAACCATGAGGAGGTGAGTTCAGCTCAGGGAATGCAGCAGAAATTCACCTGGAAGCAAGCGAGGCTGGGGCCCAGAACCTCCCTGGGCTGGGCCATGCTTCCAGTCCAGTTCCCATCCTTTATGGATGCCTAGCACTGACCCTCAGAGGACCCTGGGTGAGGCCTGGAGGAGCCCTCTTCTCAAATAGACTTCATTTGTCCCTTGAGGCTCAGCTCACTGCAGTTAACTAACTAATGAGTAACTCAGTGTAAGAACACACAATACTAATTATTAGAACTAATTATAATAGTGATAGTCATTAAAACAAGGAACTTCTGCCCAGCACTACAAGTGACTCACAGCCATTAACTCAACTGATACAAAAACTGGGAGAAAGATACTGTTTCTTTCTTTTGACCTGTGAAGAAACTGAGGCTCAGAGAGGTTAAGGGATATATCTACGGCTGCACAGGGACCCTCCTTCAGGTCTGTCGGACTCGTATCCACCCCACCTCTCTGCCCCTCTCCTGCCCCTCCTTTCCAGAAGGTTCTAGGTCCCAGGGACTCCAAGGCTCAACCCAAGGATAGAGATCCAAGGTCCTGCCGGGGCGGTCAGGAGGTCTTACATGCCCTGTCCTGTGGCTTCCTTCTCAGCCGAGCTCTGTGCTGCTCTAAGCTGGGGGAGCCTACTCCCCGAGAAGCAGGACACCCGGAAGGTGTTTCCCCCTGGCGTTGAGGCTGGTTATACAATTGCTTTCCTCTAGCAGATTAACATTTGCTAACGGGGCCTGGCGCGGTGACAGCAGCGTAAGGTTGCTTTTTGCATGCCTGTGCTGTGGGGTTGGTGGTGGGGGCAAGGCGGTGGTAGGGGCGAGGCCAGGGCAGTGAGTGAGGTCGCCCATGGTCATTCTCTGCCGTGCTGGGGGGTTGTCATCTCTTGGGGCTTAGCACTTGTTGGGGATGGGTGAAGTCCAGTCCCGAGTCACAGTGTGTGTTGGGGGAGGTTGCTGATATTCATAGCCCTGTATGTTTGAGTAATGACAACATCCATCTCCACCTTCAGGGTGAGGAGCTGTTGGCCTATCTGTGTCTGTCTGTCTGTCTGTCTGTCATCCGTACCTGTCTCTCCGAGGGAGAGAAGGCAGGCCCCAGGGTCTTTCCCCAGGATGGCCTTGGGTGAGTTCCTGCTGTCCTCTCTGCCCAGGAAATGAACGCCCTTTGAGGTCAGGTGGACAAGGATGTCAGTGTGAAGATGGACACTGTGCCTGGAGTGAACCTGAGCTGCATCCTGAATGAGATGCGTGACCAGGACAAGAAACTGGTGGAGAAGAGCTGCAAGGATGCCCAGGGCTGGTTCTTCAGCTTGGTGGGTGGCCGTGTGTAAGCAGGTGTGCACACGTGTGGGCACATACGCCGTGTGCTGGTGCAGTTGGAACACCGGCAGATTCACAGGCTGTCCCAGTTGGAAGGACTTTTGGAAACCAGTCGGACCAGCCCTTCATGTCTTCAATGTAAAATGTGAGGCTCAGAGAGGACTCAAGCTCACACAGCCCTTCACTGTGGCCTGCAAAATAGATCCAGTTCTCTGCAAGTCTGGTCTTGGGTTTCCACCACAGCTGTTTACAGGATGTGTGTATTTGAGTACATACACATACCCTTGGCAAGCACAGGCTGAGTGTGTCCGCTGTCCTAGGGACAGCAACAGGTGCAAAAGAATAACACCCAGTGCCTGTCTTTGAGGTGCTGTAGTTCGGTAGGAGTAAGAAATGCAAACGACCGCAGAGCAGGCTGAATTCCTCCAAGGTCCAATGTGGGTGCAGAGAGTCTTTGTGTGCAGGTGCTTTTGGGGCCCCATAGAGGCCAGGGAGGGTTTAGGGGATGGTTCTGGGAGGTGAGGGCTCAGGAACAGCCCCTTTCCTGTGCCCCACTTCTGAAAGTCTCCATAAACCCCTGTGGCCCACTCTGCCTTCCAGAGAGAGGGGCTGAACTGCGAGCTGGCCACCAACACAGAGGCCCTGCAGAGCGGCAGGATGGAGATATGGAGCTCTACATCTCTGTGCAGAACCTGAGCCGTCCCAGCTCAGCAAGGTAGGGCCTCTGTCCCCTCCCCACCCTGTACCTGTCACCCCAGGGTGAGCGCAGCCTTATAGACCCCTGCTTGGAGAACCAGAGTCCCCACCCAGCCTGTCCCTTCACACTCAGTGGCTGGGTGCACTACCACCCAACTGTGCCGGCAGCACCCACAGCTCCATACAGGAGGGGCTCCTCTCTAGTGCTCTGCCATGGGGAAGGGTCCCACGTCCATCTCATCGCACCACCTATCTCTTGGCCCACAGAAAGCATTGCTGGAGGGCAGCCTGGTGGAGACGGAGGTGTGTTACAGGACCCAGCTGGCCCAGCTGCAGGGGCTCATCAGAAGCATGGAACAGCAGCTGTGCGAGCTCTGCTGTGATGCAGAGCACCAGGACCACGAGCACCAGGTCCTTCTGGACGTGAAGACGCAGCTGGAGCAGGAGATCGCCACCTACAGCCGCTTGCTAGAGGTTGAGGACGCCCAGTGAGTGTGCACCCAGGTACCTGCTGGGGCGGGCTGGGGGCCCACTTCACCCAGGGAGAAGTTGGTGTCTGAGCACCAGCAAAGTTCAGGAGGTGTGAATGTGGGAACCTGTGGGGTTTGCAGGAGGTGAAACTGACGATGCAGGCTGGAGTCTGACTGAGGAGCCTTGACTGCCAAGTTAAAGCGTCTGGACTAGATCACGTAGGCAATGGGGAGCCATGGAGGGATTTGGAGCAGAAGAGGGGAATGAACATCAAGATATTTTAGAACATTCACTCTGGCTACAGAGGGAGAAATGGATCAGAGGGGTCAGGGTGGGGCCAGAGAGACGCGTCAGGGGGCTAGAGCAGGGAGTCTGGCCAGAGAAGTCTTGCGGGGTGGAGGCTGGGTGGGGGGGCAGGGGAAGGAAGGTGGTGCATGCAGAAGAGAGGTTATAGCTCAAAACAGCAGGACTGGATGCCTGGATCTCAGGGTAAGCGTGGCTCACGGTCAGGACTCAGTAAGCGTTGGGTGAACACATATGAAGGAGTGGGCATTGATGGCCCTGGGTTTCTGGTTCCGATGACTGTGTGAGTCCATCAGCCACAGGGTGAAGAGCATGGTGGGTGGTGGTCGGGTTTGCAGTTGGGAAGGGTGATCAGGCCTTCAGCTGAGTGTGTCCTGGAGTCTCCATGCTTAGTCACACGTTGCAGCTTTTTGCTCCCCGAAAATGGTGAAGTCCATCTATAGTCTAACGACAGTCTCTCCTGCTTTAATTGGGTCTATTGGTTGGGTCCTCTGGGACATGGAAAAACCACTTGCTCAGCTTCTCCTTGTAAATTCCTGGTGAGTGCCTCCAGGCCTACTGCTGTGCTGTTTCTTTTTCTTCTTCCTGCTGCACTGAACCCCTGCCCTTTCATTCTTGGGCCTGTGCTAATTTCTGTGCATTCCCAACTGTGATTTTTCACCAATTTAGGGGAACCTCCTCTGACAGGGCCTGCTTCTCCCCAGCAGTGCTTGCAGGGGCCTGGGCTGGCTGGCATCCCTGGGTCGATGGGTGCTCCTCTCCCTGCAGGCTGGCCACTCAGTACTCCTTGTCCCTGGCCTCGCAGCCCACCCGGGAAGGTAAGAAGCTGCCCTGTCCTGCTGTGTGGACCCCAAGGCGGGGGAGAGGCTGAGGACCCTTCTGTGTGGGAGACTGGGGGGACCACAGACTCAGGGGCAGGTGGGGGGAAGAGCTCCTGCCTGATGTTCCCTGTGCCTCCCTCCTCCATCGCCTGCAGCCACAGTGACCAGCCACCAGGTGTGCCATCGTGGAGGAAGTCCAGGTTGGAGAGGTGGTCTTCTGTAAGCAGGTCCATCTCTCCACCCACTGAGGCCCCTTTCTGCCTGTGACAGCCCCACCTCGAGGGTCACGGCACAGCCATCAGCTCCAGCTCCCAGCATGCTACTGCCACGCCCCGAGTGTCCGTCTGGGCACTGGTCCATGACCTGTTGTCTTTCTGTATCTACTTTCTGCAGCCCCTCACTGAGGAGGCCTCCTGGGTTTGTCCAGTGCCTGCTATTAAAGCTTTGCTCCAAGTTCAATGCCTCGTGTGATCTGGTCTGTTCATTGGTTTGGGGCAGTGTGGGCTGAGGGACTGGGATAGGTGGAGAGTTTATTGAGTGTTTGGGTATTGGCTTGTCACCTGCCAATCTGTTCTGCCCACTCCATCCAGGCCTGGGGCTCCTGGAAAGACCAGAGGGGAGGAGGAGGAAGGATTAAGGGTGGAGGGAAGGGACAGCCCCTTGTATTGGGAAAAGTTTCTAAGAATCAGCCCCTGAGTCCCTGTCACCTGTGGCTGGTCCCTGGGAGGGCCACACAGACTTTCCAAGGACCACACCTGTTGGGGAGCACTCCCTGCCTCAGCCCAGGGTGGGTTCAAGAGCAGAAGGAGAGGGGCTCGGTGGGGAGGGGCTTCTGAAGGAGTGGTCCAGGGCACTGATGAGTGAGGGGGTGAGAGCGAGGCAGCTAGCCCAGGAAAGCAGACCGGCTCTGCCCAGCTCGGGGTGTGTGTGGGGCAGGGTGGCCGCTGTGCGTGTACGCATGGGGGGTGTCCTGTTTGCTTTGGTGGCTTGGCAGCCACTGGGCTATTGAGGAATCTCTCTCCGCTGCTGGTGGGGCTACCTGGGCCTGTCTGGGAAGTGGAAGCCATTGGCAGTCTGAAACATGACCACCTTCCACCCAGCGGGCCTGGCGGGACCCTGGGACCCAGGGCGGGGCTTGGGGTGGTGGGCAGGGCAGGGTGGGGCTGTGGAGTGGGGCACTTGGCCCGCCCAAGGAGCCACATCTTGGGGAGCCTGGAGTGGGGAGGGGGCTGGCTGGCTGGGGTCTCTGTAAGAGCCTCTTCTTGGGCAATGTCCTTTAGGTTTCCTGTGGGCTGAGACCTGAGAGAAATGCCCCTCCCCTGACCCTGAGGTCTCTTGGGGTACAGAAGGGTGAGAGGAGTGGAAGGGGGCATCCCCCTCTCAGTTGGTTTAGATCCTCTCTTAGCACGGCCCACCTTTCCCCCATCCTATAGCTGAGCCCCTGTTTGCCCACCCCAGCCTGGAGTGTAAACCTGGGGAAAGGTTTACACGAGGAGACTGGGTTAGCAAGGGCTTCTAGGGATGGGGCAGGGTCAGAAGCTGACTGGATGGAACTGTAGCCCCTAGAGTGCATTCCTGGGTGTCAGACTCTGCAGAAGGGGCCAGTGTGGACACTGCACCCCTCTGGAGCCCCAATTTCTTTATCTGCGATGTGGGTTGGTCTCCGAGGCTTGATGGCATTTCTATGCTGTGAGGTGGGCCTGGTGGGTTTGGGCTCAGTTTCCAAGGCAGGATAGGCTCTCGGTCCCTTCTTTCTCTTCAGCACCCAGCCCCGGGCCAGCACCTTGGGTGGAGCAGTGTGGGGTGAAAGACAGCAACTTCAGGGGGTGGTCACCTGACATTGCAACCCATTTCCCCACCAGACAGGGTTGAGGTGGGCCGGGCTGGGGTGGTGGCTGCCTGGGAGGGCCTGGGGACGGTGAAGTCCTGTATTCTCCTCTTCTCCCATATTAGGTCATGGGAAAGCATAGCTGGAGGGCCCGCCCAAATCACAGGTGACGGGCCTCAGAGCAGTGGCACGCACACGCGTGGCACCCAGCACGAGGATTTGGAGAAATGAGGCAAATTCCTGATGATGGGTGGGGAGGGGGTCCCCAGCCACCTGGGAGCTGGCAGGTGGCCCGTGGTGATGAAAGCCCAGGGGAACGGAAACAGAGGAGCCTGTTGTAATCGCTACGCCCACTTGGTGGCCTATAAAGGAAGCCTGTGAACCCCGGCAGCCCTACACTACTTGGGGCCCCTCTTCTTTCCAGCCCTTCTCCTGTGTGCCTGCCTCCTGCCGCCGCCACCATGACCACCTCCATCCGCCAGTTCACCTCCTCCAGCTCCATCAAGGGCTCCTCTGGCCTGGGGGGCGGCTCGTACCGCACCTCCTGCCAGCTGTCTGGCGGCCTGGGTGCCGGCTCCTGCAGGCCGGGATCTGCTGGTGGCCTGGGCAGCGCCCTCGGGGGTAGCAGCTACTCCAGCTGCTACAGCTTTGGCTCTGGCGGTGGCTATGGCAGCAGCTTTGGGGGCGTTGATGGGCTGCTGGTCGGAGGTGAGAAGGCCACCATGCAGAACCTCAATGACCGCCTGGCCTCCTACCTGGACAAGGTGCGTGCCCTGGAGGAGGCCGACACTGAGCTGGAGGTGAAGATCCGTGACTGGTACCAGAGGCAGGCCCCGGGGCCCGCCCGTGACTACAGCCAGTACTACAGGATAATCGAGGAGCTGCAGAACAAGGTAGGGCCTGCTGGTGGGAGGGGTCTCCGGGGGGCATGACTTTTTCCCCCCAACTCCTGCCCTGGCCAAAGGCCTGGAGTCCAGCCATAGGGTCTCAGGGAGCCAAGTGTGGTTTGGCTGTGGCTTAGCTTCTGGGAACCTGCCTTGGGGCCCCTGTGTGGCCCACATCCCCCTTTTCTGGGGGCAGTAGGCTGAGTCAGGAACAAACAGGCCTCGTGGAGCCCCTTGGAGACTCAGTTTCTCCCTCGTGGAGCTCCTCCACCTGGAGAGGTTGTAGGATGAGGCAGGAGGATGCAGATGGAGGGCTGGGCCCATGGGCCACTGGATGCGTGGTGTCTTGCTCCTTTGGAGCAGGGGTCAGCAGGAAGGGGTTTTGGGAGGTGTGGAGTGGGGGTGTCTGAGTGAGCTCCCGATAGCACCTGCTGCGGGTGGGAGGCAGAAAGGAGGGGGTGGGACCTCAGGGTGGGGAAGGCCTCTGATGTGCCTTATTTGGGGATTTTTCTGGCTTCTCCTTTCCTCCTGCTGTCCCTTAAGACAGGCTCAGCAAACCGCAGGGGGCGGGGCTGCTGGCTGGAGCCCAGGGTTAGGGATTAGGAAGGGTCCTGACTTCTGATTTGGGACCACTCTTTGGTGAGGGCTCCTTTAGCCTCCTTTTGGGGGAGCCTGTCAGGGGCACCCTCTAGCTGACTGTAAAACGAGGGGGTTGCCCACATCCCCTCCCTTGTTCTAGAATTCTGGGACAGTTTCTGCCCTGGGGACATTTTCCCTTTCTTTTCTGGTTGCCTCATACTCCCAGCCAGCTGTCTCTTCTCCTTTAAGGCTGAGCCTGGCATGGGGGTCTGGTGGGGTACTGAGTAGCGGGGGAAGAAGAGGCACCTTTGAGCCCTTCAGACTCCTGCTTGCCCCTCCTCTGCCAATAATACAGCACGGGGCAAGGGAGGGGCTGGGCGGGAAGAGAGGACCCCAGGCAGGAAGATCTGTTCAGAACTCTGGTGTGGGCTCAGCCACCCCCATCCGATGACCTGACTACTCTCCCATCTCCGCTGATCCTCACAGCCACCGTGGACAATGCCAACATCCTGCTACAGAATGACAATGCCCATCTGGCTGCTGCTGACTTCCACACCAAGTGAGTCCTAGCTGTGGGCTTGGGCAGCCTGGGTCAGCTGGGGGAGGATCTCAGGGTACCCCTCCTGACCCCAGGACTCCTTGGTTGCTTGTGGCAAGGCCCAGGAGCTCAGGGTGGGGCAGTCCTAGGAGCCCCACTACTTAGTCCAGGATGCAGTGAAGGCAGCCAGTTCTGAAGGTTGCTGGGCTTAGGCAGGGAATAGAAGAGAGGGAGGGGAGGCAGGAGGCAGAGAGAAGTAAGGAAGCTGGTGGGCGTAGGATCTGGCCCTGTGATGGTCCCAAGGCCCCGGGGCTGGAATTCGTTTCCACTCGACCCTCTCATCAGCCCTTCCAACCCCTTAGAGTCCTGGCAAAATGAAGGCAGGTGAGCAGCCAGGACCTGGACCTGCAATTCCAAGCAGCCTGGGCTGAAGTTCCTGATTCCCATGGCAGGTTTGAGACAGAGCAGGCCCTGTGCCTGAGTGTGGAGGCCGACATCAATGGCCCGTGAAGGGTGCTGGATGAGCTGACCCTGGCCAGAGCCGACCCGGAGATGCACATTGAGAACCTCAAGGAGGAGCTGGCCTACCTGAAGAAGAACCACGAGGTGAGGTGGCTGGGGCAGAAGGTCAAAGATGCTGAGGAGTGGGTGGCAGAGCCCTGGGGCTGGGCCATGGCTGAGGCCGTGGGAGAGAGCACAGCAGGCGCACTGGGATTAGTCACCTTAGAGGGCTTCCCTGTCTGCGGAGCCCTGATCCTTGGGGTCCAGCGTGCAGGGCAGACTCCTCTTTGTACCACACTGCTTCTCTGTACCCAAGGAACCTCCCAGGGGCCCGCAGAGGCTCCCTCTACCTGCCCTGGCCTCCCTCACGAGGGCAGGGGATAAGTAAGGAAGTCTCCTTCTTGTCCCATTTCAAACTCTCAAAGCTGAACATCTACACAGAAGCTTGGAAATTAGAGGGGAAATTTTTGGGGCATAGGCTTAATAATTAGATTTTATTTTGGAGAGCCCTTGGTCTAATGGGGGAGATAGAGTCTGATGGTGGAGGCAATACTGAGCAGATGAATAAAAATCATTTAGAGGGTCAGATAGAGCAGAGGAAGAACAAAGGAGGGGTCCTTGTGGGGAGTGGGGTCACCTCGTGGGGGAAGGCTTGGGAGTGAGAGATCAGGATGGGTCCAGATGCGCACATCCACATCCCCTTTTTCCATAGGAGATGAACGCCCCGCGAGGCCAGGTGGGCGGTGAGATCAATGTGGAGATGGGCGCTGCCCCAGGTGTGGACCTGAGCCTCATCCTGAACGAGATACGTGAGCAGTATGAGAAGATGGCAAAGAAGAACCGCAAGGATGCCGAGGATTGGTTCTTCAGCAAGGTGGGGGCTGCTGCAGGCCAGAGGTCTCTCTTCGGGGCTGGGGCTCAGGGGCCTTAGCACTGACAGTAAGCCCACGGCCAGGTGTCTTGGAGATGCTCCCTCCTCAGCAAGCTGCATGGACCACAGGGTCACCCACTGCATCAACAGACCTGGAGCTGAGCTCAAGCTGGGATCTGGGGGGTGGGTGGGGAGCTAGGGAGCCCCCACAGAATAAAGGCAGAGGGTAAAGACCTTGGGAGTCCCCACCTCTCTCTCAAGAAGTCAGAAACTAGCACCAAGAGCCAGGCTACATGTTCTGGCTGGTTCTCAAGTTTCCGGTCTGTGCCTCCCACACGCAGGGATTAACCATAAAAAGTTAACATTTCAAATGGCATGTTTCTGGGCTTTGGGACGTGGGAAGCTGGTGAGAAGGCATCACTCTGTCCACAGTTAGATTTGGGAGGAGGCCTGACTGAGGAGAGGGATCCAGGCTCACACCACCCTGTCCTGTGTTCTGTCTGCAGACAGAGGAGCTGAACCGCGAGGTGGCTACCAACAGTGAGCTGGTCCAGAGCGGCAAGAGCGAGATTTCGGAGCTCCGGTGCACCATGCAGGCCTTGGAGATCGAGCTGCAGTCCCAGCTCATCATGGTAGGAACAGTCCTGTGCATGGGGATGGGCCCAGAAGAGGACACTGACAACCCTCACTGACCCCTGGTCTTCCTGCCCTCCTGCAGAAAGCATCCCTGGAGGGCAACCTGGCGGAGACAGAGAACCGCTACTGCATGCAGCTGTCCCAGATCCAGGGGCTGATCGGCAGTGCGGAGGAGCGGCTGGCCCAGCTTCTCTGCGAGATGGAGCAGCAGAACCAGGAGTACAAGATCCTCCTGGACATGAAGATGCGGCTGGAGCTGGAGATCACCACCTACCACCGCCTGCTGGAGGGCGAGGATGCCCAGTGAGTGGGGGAGCCTGGGGTCAGGGCTGGGGGCCTCTTGGCAGGGTTGGGGCTCTCAGACTCACATCTAATTTCCTCTCTGTTTTTTTTTTTCTTTCAGCCTGACTCAGTACAAGAAAGAACATAAGCATCTTGGTGGCTGAGGCCTTGGGGATTGGGTGCATGGGACAGGCAGCCCACCTGCACGTTGCTGGAGCTGGGTCCCCAGGAGTTCTAGGAGTTGATGGCTGTCCCTCAGCAGGGGTGGGAGAAGTGACCCGTTAGCACTGAGGATTGATACTCAGGAAAAGATCAAATGAGAGAGATGCTGTCTGGTCTGATGGGGTGGGCCAGGGAACTGGTCCTTACCTTGGAGATCCTAGTCTGATGGAGGAGACAGGTCCCACCTCTGGAGATTGTCATCTGATGGGAAGATAGGAACATGGTCTCATGATCTATGCTCTTGACAGCTTTTGGATGAGCGAAAGCAGTCCTGTCTCTGGGGACTCTAGCCTGATGGGAAATAGGGACATGCTCCTTGTCCTCCAAATTCCAGTCTGATGGAGAAGATATGATGCTAGCCCCAGGGTTCCTAGTCTAATGGAGGAGATAGGGGCCTGGTTTTTGTCTTGGCGATCCCAGTCTGATGGGGGAGATGGGAGCAAATCTATGCCCTGGAGACTGCAGAGAAATGGAGATGGATTTCATGGAGTCTACATGGCTCCTCCCTGGCAGGACACACTGGGTCAGAATCAAATAACCCATCTGCGGAGGCAAGACTCACACAGGGCCACCGGCAGAGGGATGGGATGGAAGGGAGGCGGTGGCAGGGACAGGAGGGATGTGTGTGCAGTGTGATGTTGAGGTGCCAGTGGAGGCACTCACAGCACCTGGGGGAGGACGAGGGAGAGAGCCGGCTCCTGTCCATGAGGGCTAGGGGGCAAGCGAGGGCCTCCTGGCCCCTACCCACTTTAAATTGCCTGCTTCTCCTGCAGCGGTGACCACCTGTCAGGTGCCTACCATTGTGGAAGAGGTCCAGGATGGTAAGGTCATCTCCTCCCGCGAGCAGGTCCGCCAGACCACCCGCTGAGGACTCAGCTTTCCCGGCCGGCCCCCCAGGAGGCAGGGAGGCAGCGGTCCCATCTGCCCCGCGGTCTCCGGCCTCTCCACCCTCAGCCCCCTGCTTCAGTCCCTTCGCCATGCTTCCCTGCGTGATGACAATAAAGCTCGTTGACTCAGCTATGAAATGTGTCCTTGTTCTGGCCGCTGAAGTGGGCACTGGGGACAAAAGGGTGAAATGGGAAGGAGTGAGGGTGGGGGGAGATGGTGCGTGGAGACCCCGTTGTTGACTGGCAGGTCAGAGGTCAGCTTAGACCAGCATAAAGAGTAAGTCTGGGGAGAGTTTGGAGGGGGGTGCTCGCATCTCCCAAGGGCTGGAGATTTTCAGGGGGTGGTCCAGGCTGCGCTAGACCCGGGGTGGAGGCGGTGTATCAGGTGTGGTCCTAGGTCGCCACTGCTTGCCCTGTGAGTAACTCTGTGACCTCGGGAAGTTAGGCAGTCACTTCCCCTGACTGAGCCTTGCTTTTCCATCCGTAAATGGATGGGAAGATCTCAGGTGTGGGAGCCCGAATCCTCAGAGATGACTCACTCAATCAGTTGCTCCTTCCTGTCCTGTGGGCTGTGCCCTCCCCCTAGATGGGGCAGGAGGTGGGCAAGGGCTGGGATAAGCACAAAGGGAGGGTGGGTGGGGGAGGCAGTCTGGGTGATTGGGGCCCCGACTCCTGTGTGAGTCTCAGGAAATCCCCAAGAGGGGCTCCCATTGCCTCTGCCCTGGGAATGTGAGCGGGAGGGTGGTGTTTTCAGGGAAGGCTGCGGACCCCAGGCAGGTATGGGAGAAAGGGTGGGGCCTCTCTCAAGGATGTTTCCTCACATGGTCAGCTGTTGCTCAGGATGCGGACAGGGCAGAGTGGGGGGCACTGCAGATGGGGTGGCTGTGCCCAGGGAGCAGTGCCACTCTCCCTGGCGGTCTGGATCCTCTTTGGTTCCCCACTAGGGACAGGGGTGGTGTGAGGGAGGGTAGAAACTGCCTCCTAGGAAAATGAGAAGGAACAGTCCTGCTCCAGCCACTCCCGGCACCCTCTATGAGCTGACCAACGCCAGCTCTTGCTGGTGGCAGCAAACGTGGCTGTGGGGAGCAGTCTGTGGGAGGTGAGCCTGACACCTGGAAATCTTCCTTGTAGTAAATCTGGAAACTGCCAGGTGGGTTGGCCTGCTTTCCTGGTTTTCTTCAAGCAGGGGGTTAGTGGGAGGAGGGTGCCTCCACGTCCTCACTGCTGGACCTGTGGTGTCTCTGCTGCTGCGGAATCAGACCAAGGCCCCCAAACACCCTCTCTCTCCTGGTGCCTGGAGGCTGGGGGTGGGGCCCAGGTCCGAGGAGAATGGGAGTGACCAGAGCCCTCTGAGCCTGGGTTGGTGGGGGTTTGGGACTGGCAGAGGCCAGGGATGGGGGTGGGTACTGACCACTGGGGTATGGGTGACTTTGGGCTGGTCACAAGCCCTCCCTGGACCTTGGAGCTATGACATCCCGGGAGAGTGTTTCTCTCTGCAGGGTAGATGGCTGCCTGGAGTCGGGGACTTGCACCTGCAGCGGCATCTGCACGACTCAAAGCAAGGGCAAGCTCTGCTCCGTTGGAGGCTGACGTCTCCCTGCTCTCTGGCAGCAAATGTGGGGCCATGGAGGGCAGGAGGGAGGCACTGTTTGCACCAGGCCCCCACCATACACCCCGCCACAACCAGAAGAACAGCCCTGGGCTGCAGATGGCTCATTCTGGAGGGTGACTTCATTTGTCTGAATAGTCCCCGGAAGCAGGGAGGGTCTAGGGGAAGGCGCCTTGTTGTGTGGATGGGGACACTGAGGCTCCAAGGAGCAGTGACTCAGCCCTTGTCCCACAGCCTGAGGGGTCAGTAGTGGAGACGGGCACGGGAGGGGAGTGGGCCCCGCTTCCGTGCTGGGAAGAGGAGCCAAGCCCCAGCTCCTCCCCCACCTCAGGCTCCAGGCAGGGCTATCTCTCCCTCCTGTAGAGCCTGGGGTCCACAATTACTGATGGCGTGAGTGAGGAGGGGTCAGAGTGTGGGAAGGACCAGAGACAGCCCCAGACTGTGCCCCTCTGCTGGGGAAGAAGCCCTTCTCCACAAAGTGAGTGGGTGGGAGGCTCAGGAGGCCAGAATGGGGGAGCCCCCCGGTGTGCCCAGAGAGCTGAGCCAGTAGAGGCAGTGGTTGCCAGGGGCTGGTGGGGAGACTTGAGTGACTTTGTCCAAGGACCCCAAGTGGGCCCAGGATGCTGGGGACATGTGCCTGGGCTGGATTGGGGACCCAGCTATGGGACTCAAGGAGGGACTCACAGTTCGTCCACACACTCCCTGCCCACTGCACAGAATGTCCTCAAGGCAGAAGCTGCGGATATGTGGTTACCCTGTAGAGCTGCCACACCTGGTCTCGTGTGATGGACACACATATAAGACTCTCAGGCCAGACCCATGCCAGTGGTAGCTGCCTCCGGACCCCCCTTGCAGGGGTTGACCTGGCAGCATGTCTTCTACGGAGACGGATGTGGTGGGGGACACTCATCCATGGCATGACATCGCTCTGCGTCTGGTTTGCACTGAGTCCAGGGAAAGGAGGAGACACCGGTCCTGACCCCAAGAGACAGTGCCTGCCCCAAGGGGACCTGAGGGACTGACAACAGTCCCTCAGCCCTTATGCAGTGTGGGTCTATTGTGGCAACCAAGGTTTTGGGGAGATGAGGGGAACAGAGGGAGCAGAGCCAGGCAGGTCTCCCCACATGCACAGAGCCGAGGGGATAACTGAGCTTGACAGAGACCCGTCCTCACCCTGAGCTGTAGTGACCATTTGAAGAAACATCCCTGAGAGAGGCCCACTCTTTCTCCCACAACCCCTGGGGTCTGCAGCCTTCCCTGGAGGCACCAGCTTCCCGCTCACACTCCTGGGGTGGGGGCAATGGGAGCCCCTCTTGGGGGTTTCCTGAGACTCATACAGGAGTCCGGGCCCCTTGTTTGTGCAGAACAGGCACCCCAAGTGGGTCCAGGCTGCTGAGGACATGTGCCTGGGCTGGACTGGGGACCCAGCTATGGGACTCATGGAAGGACTCACAGTTCGTCCACAGCCACCCTGCCCACTGCACAGAATGTTTCACCCCATCATCAAGGCAGAAGCTGCAGATCTGTGGTTGGATTGTGAAGGGCTATGACAGCCCCACCTTCAGAAGGGGGGCGTCAAACTTGCAGGAGGGGAGAGGACCCCCGAAGGTGGGCCTGGCACTCACAGATTTCCCCAGATCCCTGGAGCCGTCACAGGGGCAGAGCCTGGGCCTGGACATTCGTTCTCCCCCAGGAACCCTGCTCCCTCTGTTTCTCTGCAGGGCCCCAGCACCCCATCGTGGCCTGACTTTAGTGTATTGGGATTGTCTTTACCACCTTCTCCCCCAGAAGACTATGTCTCCAGGGCTTCTCTGTCTTGTTCTTTGAGTCTGAGTGCCCAGCACAGTGTCAGGCACACAGTAGGTGCTTTATAAACACCTGCTCATAAACATAACGCTAGCCACCAGCCTTTGCCAGGTGCTTTATTTATTTGGCCTCAAATCCCCTAATATGCCTGTGACGCAGGGCTGTTATTCCCATTTCCCAGACAAGGAAACTGAGGCTCAGAGAGGCTGAATATCCTGCCCAAGGTTTTGCCCCTGCTTGCCCCGATTCCAGGCTGCTCTGTCCTGGCTCAGTGGGGCTCTACTTTTCCTTCCTCCTGCCCTGAAGCCTGTGGCTCTGGCTTGTCCACCCAGGGCTGGGGGCCCTGCAGCAGCCCCCTCTCTCCCCTCAGCTTCTCTGCCCCCCTCCTCAGCCCCCTAAGCTGCCTCCTGCCTTCCCAGTCTGAGTTGGCTGGGGAGCTTGTAAAACAGCCCCACCAGCAGGCTTGTCCTGAGTGGTGCTGATGCAGGAGTTGGAGCAGGGCTGCGAATCTTCTTGGGGACTCTGATGATCTGTCTGGTTGGAGAATCACTGCAAGCCAAGGCGTGGCATTGGCCAATGGTGATTCCCGGCCTCCTCAGGTATGCTATGATCTCCGCCTCATGCTTGACATGGGCAGGACGAAGGAGGGAGGAAGGAGGCAGGGTGCGGGGAGGAATCCTCTGCCTGGAGGATGCCCACTGGGCTTCTCTATGCTCACCAGGCTTAGAGGTCCTGGCTCTTGGCCACCTTGGGGCAAGTGTGCATCACTGATGCAGAGGAAACGCCTCCTCCTCTTCTGTCAACTCAGATCCTCTGAGGCCCTGCTGGTGCCTCCCTCTGCTGGGACCCTTTCAGGGATCAAGGCCAGGAGGGCAGCCCCCTCCTCTACTGCTGAGGCTCAGCGGGGTAATGCTTACCCCAGCTGCCTCCGGTGGTGTGGGCGTGGCAGTCAAGCCCAGCACCCTAGGGTTTCTAGCCAGGTTCTGCATTTTCCAGCGTTAGTTTTCCCTCCAGGGTCAAATGATAAGTTCTTCTAAGGTCAGAGACTACGTCATCATTTCCCTCTTCACCCCCAGCCCCCGAGAGCTGTGCACACAGCAGCTGCGTGATCTATGGAGTTGGCTGAGCAGTTTGGCGCGTTGGTCAGCAACTTCCTGCAGCTTCTCAGCCCACGCAGATCCTCAGGTCTGCAGTGCTGGGCTTGTGTATAATCCCACCCTGACACCTCCTGGAATGGGGAACTTGGCGGGGGGCAGTGAGCCAATGAGAAAGGGGTGTGTGTGCACGCACACACGGTGGGGGCAGAGAGTGAAGAGTTCTCGGAGACTCCACTGTGAGAGTCGGTGTGAATCCTGGCTTGGGAGTTGGAGCTGGCTCCGGTCTGTGCTCTCTCACTTTTGTGCTGCTTAACCTGGATAAGGCTTTCGCCCTCTCCGGTTGGGGTATTGATAGCCTTTGGTGACCTTGAAGACCATTTTCAGTTCTGAGGGTGATGGGTCTGTGGTTGGACTGGAACTCCAGGCCCACCCTGACACCTGAACGCTGAGGTTTTTGTCCAAGATTCCGGGGTCCCCTTTGTCCCTCTTTGGGGTGGGGGTGGGTGTGGGGAAGAGAGAGATCAGTGTCTCTTTCTATACGGACTGTGTCTATATAGAAAGAAGTAGACATGAGAGACTCCATTTTGTTCTGTACTAAGAAAAATTCTTCTGCCTTGAGATGCTGTTAATCTGTAACCCTACCCCAACCCTGTGCTCGCAGAAACATGCCCTGTGTCGACTCAAGGTTTAATGGATTTAGGGCTATGCAGGATGTGCTTTGTTAAACAAATGCTTGAAGGCAGCTAGCTTGTTAAAAGTCATCACCACTCCCTAATCTCAAGTACCCAGGGACACAAAACACTGCGGAAGGAAGGCCGCAGGGACCTCTGCCTAGGAAAGCCAGGTTTCTCCCCATGTGATAGTCTGAAATATGGCCTCATGGGAAGGGAAAAGACCTGACCGTCCCCCAGCCCGACACCCGTAAAGGGTCTGTGCTGAGGAGGATTAGTAAAAGAGGAAGGCCTCTTTGCAGTTGAGATAAGAGGAAGGCGTCTGTCTCCTGCTCATCCCTGAGCAATGGAATGTCTCGGTGTAAAACCCGATTGTATATTCCATCTACTGAGATAGGAGAAAACCGCCTTAGGGCTGGAGGTGAGACATGCTGGCGGTAACACTGCTTTTTAATGCACCGAGATGTTTATGTATGTGCACATCAAAGCACAGCACCTTTTCCTTAACATTGTTTATGACACAGAGACATTTGTTCACATTTTCCTGCTGGCCCTCTCCCCACTATTACCCTATTGTCCTGCCACATCCCCCTCTGGGAGATGGTAGAGATGGTAGAGATAATGATCAATAAATACTGAGGGAACTCGGAGACTGGGGCCAGCGTGGGTCCTCTGTATGCTGAGCGCCAGTCCCCTGGGCCCATTTTTCTTTCTCTGTACTTTGTCTCTGTGTCTCTTTCTTTTCTCAGTCTCTCATCCCACCCCACGAGAAACACCCACAGGTGTGGAGGGGCAGGCCACCCCTTCAGGTGGGGAGTGTCGGGTTCCCTCTCCCAGGTTTGGCTCTGAAGGCATGTGCATCCATTCTGCTCTTACCTCTGATCCCAGAGTGACCAGGGGAGATGTAGCAGCGACAAAACCCTGGTTCTGCTGAGACAAGGAATTGCCTGCCCCAGTGGAGCCCAGGCAGAGGCAGGCTGTCTCTGGGCTCCTCACCTCAACAGAGGCACTGCAGAGCAAGGCCAGTGGCCAGCACCAAGGGATGCCCCACGGCACCCTGAGGAGGCCCCGTCTTGGTGCCCAGATCCCTCCTCCTCCCTCCAGTCCTCGGTGCTGCACCAGCCTCTCAGGCCAAGGCCACGCCCACCCTGGGCAGACCTCATGCCAGTGATCGTGGGGAGGTGGGTGAGAGTTGGGTATACTGGCCCCGCCTGCAGGCATGGTGGGAGCCTGGAGAGGGCTGAGGTCTGGGTTCTAGTTGCAGCTCTGCAGCTTAAAGCAGAGTGACTTTGAGTGAATCTCCACCTGTCTCTGGTTACCCCTCTGTCCCCTCTGATCAAGAAAATGATATAAATTTGAGATGCACAGAGAGAGGGCTCAGGATGACAGAACAGGCTTAGGCAAGGAGAACAGGCAGGCAGGTTCACATCTCAGCTTCCAGTGCCTGGTGTCTTGGGAAGCCCACTTATCCTCCCTGAATCCCAGCTCCCTCACCTGAGGACTGGTGGCAGGAATAACGCCCCCGTCATCCCTGCTCACAGAACCGTACAACACACACCAGGCTCTCCATGAGTGCCTGAGTGGGCCCATGACCGGTGCTCTCCCCCAGCTCAGCTGGATGAATGGAGCTGCCAGGCCCAGCGTGGGATCTGTGGACACAGGAGAGAGAACTGCTGGGAACGGATCCCCAGCCAGTCCTGTTTCTACAGGGTAGGGGGGAACTCTGAGGCCCACGGCGGGGTCAGGGGTCACACCTGGCTGCAGTGGCAGGACGGGGCTCCCTCCCACCGGCCTGCAGGTGGGGTGCCTGTGATTAGGAGAGGGCGGTAGAGGAGTGGAGGAGCTAGGTGTGGGGCTGCGGTGTTCTTCAGCTGGGAGTGTGGGGGACGCAGGGCCCCGCGTAGCGGTTCGGGAGGGTGCCAGTGTGTAGAGGTGAGTGTGAGGAGCAGGTGGCTGGAGGGGGAGGATGAGGAGGATGAGGGGCAGGGCTGGCCCTTGGGGAAGGGCCGGTGGGGTCCTTCGCGCATGTTTCTTTGTGGCTAGTGGTGTGTCATCCCCTTTTACAGATGAGAAAACTGAGGACCAAGGGGCTGTAAGACCAGCCTGTGCTGTACAGCTGGTAAGGGCAGAGCAGGGACTCAGTGCCGCCTGTCTGGCTCCATGGCCAGTGCTGTTTGTATGGTGCACACACTTCTGGAGATCCCGGGGGCTCAAGGCAGCCTCCGGAACTGGAATTAGATCCAAGAGGGGAAAGAGAGTCATAGGATTTTTAGAACCAGAAGGGACTCTGCAATCACCCAGTCCAGCCTGGTCACCACTGAGGGGAAACAGGCCCAGAGGTGGGAGGTGGGGAGCCTCAGGCCACACAGCAAGCAGAGTGAAGACACGAACTCTGCCCCTGCCCAGAGTGGGACATGTAGGATCCCCGCAACTGCTCCCCAAGACAGCCCAGGATGGCATCACTGAGGTCTCTTTCAGCCAAGGCTGTCACTGTGGGGCAGGGAGTTCTTCTGAAGGGCTGACTCACTGCCTGGGGACACAGTTGCCACAAAGCCACCTGTGCCAAGGCCCCACTGGCCCCAAGGGCTCCAGGAACGGGAGCCTGATTCCCGGCCACCTAGCCTGAGTCACCACCGACTCACATTTGTGTGTTTTTCTCTCAGCTCCACACTCTCAAAGCTGGGTGGGAACTCTGAGCCAGCACACAGCGGAGTTGATCCTGGGCTGAATAATCCAGAGTGAGGAGTTGGACGGGACTGGGAGTGATGAAATCCAGAGGGGAACCTGGAGTCAGCAGTTAGGAGGGCCCCGCCTTCCCCAGGTGCATATAAAGGTCTCTGGGGTTGGAGGCAGCCACAGCATGCTCTTAGCCTTCCTGAGCACCTTCCCTTTTTTCAGCCAACTGCTCGCTCGCTCACCTCCCTCCTTGGCACGATGAGCACCTGCAGCCACCAGTTCACCTCCTCCAGATCCATGAAGGGCTCCTGCAGTATCGGGGGCAGCATCGGGGGCGGCTCCAGCCGCATCTCCTCTGTCCTGGCCGGAGGGTCCTGCCATGCCCCCAGCACCTACTGGGGGGCCTGTGTGTCTCCTTCTCTCGCTTCTCCTTTGGGGGAGCCTGCGGGCTGGGGGGCGGCTATGGCGGTGGCTTCGGCAGCAGCAGCAGCTTTGCTAGTGGCTTTGGGGGAGGATATGGTGGTGGCCTTGGTGCTGGCTTCGGTGGTGGCTTGGGTGCTGGCTTGGGTGGTGGCTTTGCTGGTGGTGATGGGCTTCTGGTGGGCAGTGAGAAGGTGACCATGCAGCACCTCGGTGACCGCCTGGCCTCCTACCTGGACAAGGTGCGTGCTCTGGAGGAGGCCAACGCCGACCTGGAAGTGAAGATCCGTGACTGGTACCAGAGGCAGCGGCCCAGTGAGATCAAAGACTACAGTCCCTACTTCAAGACCATCGAGGACCTGAGGCACAAGGTGGGTGACTTTGGTGTATGGAGCACTGAGAGAGGCTGGGGCTATAGTGTCCCTTGGGATACCTCTTTTTAGCAATTACACTTTACAAACAGGGAGACTGGGCACCTTTGGGGAGTGGCCAGGATCATCCAGGGAAGTGGTGGCAGAGGGTCCCTTTTCAGCATCTCTGTGCCCGGACTGGGGCTGTTACCCTGAATCTCTTATTTCCTGCAAGGGTTCAGCTGCAAGTTCCGCTTCCCTGCCTTGGGCCCAGGAAGGGGGTGATCGGGATGGAGTGCATCCCTGCATACCCTGAGCTGGTGGAGAAGGCATGCCAGCCCTGCCAGCCAGAAGACTTCCAGATTTGAGGAGGTTCCTTTTGCCCCTTTCTGCCTTTCACGCTCAAGTAGTAAGGTCCTTGCCTGACCAGGGCTCCTGTCCTCCATCCCCACTCCAGATCATTGCGGCCACCATTGAGAATGCGCAGCCCATTTTGCAGATTGACAATGCCAGGCTGGCAGCTGATGACTTCAGGACCAAGTGAGCAGCCAGCATGGTGGGCTGGGGGCAGAGGGCAAGGGACAAAGAGTGGAGCTGTCCACCCAGCAGGGCCAGCAGACCCCGAGCCTCAGAATCCTCAGGGCTGCAGCCTAAGGACCTGACCTCTGTCCTGCCAGTTAGGAGCACGAGCTGGCCCTGCGGCTGACTGTGGAGGCTGGCGTCAATGGCCTGTGCCGGGTGTTGGACGAGCTGACCCTGGCCAGGACTGACCTGGAGATGGAGATGGAAGGCCTGAAGGAGGAGCTGGCCTACCTGAGGAAGAACCACGAGGAGGTGTGGTTGCTGCTGGCTTCCGGGATGGGAGGCTGGTTTGGTGGGGTTGCCAGATGCACCCAGGGCCAGGAGAGGAGTCTGCTGAGCTGACCTCCTCCTGCCATCCCTTCCCAGGAGATGCTTGCTCTGCGAGGTCAGACCGGTGGAGAAGTGAACGTGGAGACGGATGCCGCACCTGGCGTGGACCTGAGCTGCATCCTGAATGAGATGCGCAACCAGTACGAGCAGATGGCAAAGCACAACCACAGAGATGCTGGGCCTGGTTCCTGAGCAAGGTGGGGCTCGGGCCCTCAGTGGGCCTGCAGCACTTCCCAGCTGGGGGCTTTGGGAGAGCCTCACCTTTCACTCTGCTTTCCTGTCTCAGACCAAGGAGCTCAACAAAAAAGTGGCCTCCAGCAGTGAACTGGTACAGAGCAGCCGCAGTGAGGTGACGGAGCTCCAGAGGGTGTTCCAGGGCCTGGAGATGGAGCTGCAGTCCCAGCTCAGCATAGTATGAAGGACCCGGCACAGCAGCAGCCCCCAAGTCACCAGTAATGGCCACCACCCCCTCAACAAGCCACAATTTAGTTCCACCTTTCTTTTCTCAGGATGGGACCAGAGGACTCATGGGACCTGTTATATAGATAGAGAAACTAGCCCTAGAATAGTGGGCTAGCATTTCTCTATATTGTCTGGCCCATCAGTACCCCAACTGGGATCAAAATCCAGGCACCTCTCAAAAAACATGCCCAGAGACCTGGAGGGACAGGAGTGACCACCTCCATTGACTCTTTTTCTCTCTCTCACTTGCAGAAAGCGTCCCTGGAGAACAGCCTGGAGGAAACCAAAGGCTGCCACTGCATGCAGCTGTCCCAGATCCAGGGACTGATTGGCAGTGTGGAGGAGCAGCTGGCCCAGCTACGCTGTGAGATGGAGCAGCAGAGCCGGGAGTACCAGATCTTGCTGGACATGAAGACACGGCTGGAGCAGGAGATCGCCACCTACCGCTGCCTGCTGGAGGGCGAGGACGCCCAGTGAGTCCCAGGCCCCTCAGTTCTGCCTCCCAGACCCTTTAGCCCCCCTGCTGCTCTCAGCACAACTGACTGCCCTGCCTTTTCTCACCCACAGCCTTTCCTCCCCACACGCATCTGGCCAATCCTGTTCTTCCCGAGTGGGTAAGGCTCCTGAGGCTCCCCGGCACTGCAGCCCCTCTGCCTGTTTCCATGGAGTGGGGGCCAGGCCCTTCTCCTCAGAGCTCCCAGCCCTCCCTTCTCCCTGCCCTGGAGTTGGCTTAGCTCTCAGACCCCTTCTCACCTCCTCTTCTCTCTCCCACAGTCTTCACCTCCTCTTCGTCCTCTTCGAGCCGTCAGACCTGGCCCATCCTCAAGGAGCAGGGCTCATCCAGCTTCAGCCAGGGCCAGTGCTCCTAGAACTGAGCTGCCTCTACCACAGCCTCCTGCCCACCAGCTGGCCTCACCTCCTGAAGGCCTGGGTCAGGACCCTGCTCTCCCAGTGCAGTTCCCAGCTGTCTCCCTGCTCCTCTACTGGTGATGGGCTAATAAAGCTGACTTTCTGGTTGATGCAAACCTGTGTGATCTCTGTTCTTGAACTGATGGGAGGGGAGTTGCAGGTGCTTTCCAGAAACCTCCTGGAGCCTCACAGCCTGAGAGATGTGGGAAATGGGACAAATCTCAGAAGATCTTGAAGGCTCTTCCTGGAAGACCTCCATGCTCTATGGAAGTGGGAGGTGGGACACAGGATGGGGGAGTGTCCACACGTGCTGACTGACACCATGGAGGCATTCTACAGAGGTTATTTTACGAGGTTGCCCTTGCAACCCTGTGAGGTGGGTGTGGTCAGGCCCATTTTGGAATTTGACAACCCCCAGAATTCAGAGTTTCAGTAACTTGCGTAAAATCATGCAGATAGTAAGTGGCACGGCTGGAGCTCAAACTCAGTTCTGTCTGTCTGCAAAGTCCATGCCTTTCTTTTAACACCACTCTACCTTTTCAGGTATTTTAACCCGAAGACTCCCACGCTTGAATCTTAACTCTACCCATGGGCTCCCCCACATCTGCACACAGTTTCTACATTGGAGGGTGGAAGGGAGTGGTATCTGCCTTGAGAACGATGTCCTCGTCAGACCTGAAATCCTCCTTCTCCCAGCCTGCTTCTCCTCACACCCCATCAACTCCTCCTTCCTCATTCCCCTCAGCTGGTGAATTGCGTGCTGATGAGCACCCTAGGAAACACCTGCTGCCCCATGGCCATTGCCATGTTCAGATCTTCTTCCTCTCTCCCTAGACCTGGGCACAGCCTAACTGGGTCCCCTTGAGAGTCAATCTCATCCACATTCAATTTCCACTGAATGATTTCCATCAGAATGTGGTCAGGATCAAGAACAAGGGTGAGATCAGGACTCCCCTGCTTAACAGCTGGCGATGGATCCCATTCCCCTCCAGCACTCAGCCTTCAGTCTCAACCCAGCTTGGTGTCCTCCTGTCCCTCCCAGCTCCAAACCCCTGAGTCACCCCTACCTGACTGAGATATGACCCATACCTCTCAGTTGCCATTCCTTCTTCCTGGATGCCTTCCATATTTTAAATATTTAAATTTAAAAAAGTTATGTATGTACAACATCATAAGCCTTTTTTTTTTTTTTTTTTTTTTTGGAGACAGTCTTGCTCTGTCGCCCAGCCTGGAGTGCAGTGACACGATATCAGTTCACTGCAAGCTCCACCTCCCGAGTTCACACCATTCTCCTGCCTCAGCCTCCCGAGTAGCTGGGACTACAGTCACCCACCACCATGCCCGGCTAATTTTCTTTTGTATTTTTAGTAGAGACAGGGTTTCACCGTATTAGCCAGGATGCTCTCGATCTTCTGACCTCGTGATCTGCCTGTCTTGGCCTCCCAAAGTGCTGGGATTATAGGCGTGAGCATGGCACCCGGCCAAGACTTTTTTTTTTTTTTTATGCTTTAAGTTATAGGGTACACGTGCACAACGTGCATGTTTGTTACATAGGTATACATGTGCCATGTTGGTTTGCTGCACCCATCAACTCATCACTTACATTAAGTATTTCTCCAAATGCTATCCCTCCCACAGTCCCCCACCCCCTGACAGGCCCCGATGTGTGATGTTCCCCGCCCTGTGCCCATGTGTTCTCATTGTTCAATTCCCACCTATGAGTGAGAACATATGGTGTTTGGTTTTCTGTCCTTGTGATAGTTTGCTTAGAATGATGGTTTCCAGCTTCATCCATGTCCCTGCAAAGGACATGAACTCATCCTTTTTTATGGTTGCATAGTATTCCAAGGTGCACATGTGCCACATTTTCTTAATCCAGTCTATCATTGATGGACATTTGGGTTGGTTCCAAGTCTTTGCTATTGTGAATAAGACTTTTTTTTTTTTTAATGAAAAAGCCATCCCTAGACTGGATACCAAAGCTCTGTTCCCGCCTCCCCTTTTCAACTTCAGCTGTTTCTTTTGGGATTTGTCTCCTTACTTCTAAATAACAGGCTTTACCTTGTTACTGTTTGGTTTTTCTGTTTCAGTTTTTAATCGCTTGACTTCTGGCTGTGAAGGATGAGGATGTAGATCTGTTATACAGCATTGCCCTTCCCCACTTCTTTTTAAAATATCTTCTTCCCACCTTCTCAATATATTCATATTTTTGTTAAATAAATGTTTACATTATCATGACTATTTAAATGTTATTCATAGTCAAATCATATATTATACTATATTACATTTTATACTATATTAAATTTCCTTGGAATAAATATCTCTTTTTCAATTTGCCTAAACTTTCTATGTATTGATGATTAATTTGTTTCCTGATTCACTGCTGGAAGCATAAATCTCCTCAGTATTTTAGAACCCTGGGTGTTCCTTCAATTTCATCCTCATGAAGATGTGTCTCCTAGGGCCTTCTGTCCTGCTCTTGTCTGTTCTGGGTGCTGTTTGGGTCTCCTGCTCAGCTGTGATCCTGGAATCTCTCTTCACCATCATCCTGAAATCCTTCTTTTTCCTGTGTTGCTTTCCTTGTTTTCTGGATCCAATGTCTTCCTCCTTCCTGTTTTCATTTTTCCCTTTGTTTTAGTGAAGCACATCCTCAAGTAGTTTCCTGGGAAGGGAGTTATCAGGGTTAAATTTTTTTAGACTTTTTGTGTCAAAAAGATCTTTAGTTGATCCTCACTCTTGCCTGATAGTTTGGCTGGGTATGGAATTCTAGCTTGGAAATCATTTGCACTCAGCATTTGAAGGTACGGTTTCAGTGTTTCTTGGATTCTGGTGTTGCTGTTGAGAAGTCTTATGCCATATTGATTCTAGATCACGTCTTATTATCCTATTCCCACACTCTTCCCTAGAAGCTTTTCAGTTCTTCTCTTTCTCTCCAGCAGGCTGAAATACCATGTGTTGAATTGATGCAGCTGTGACTTCATCCACTGGCTGGACACTAGCAGAAACTTCCAATGTGGGAGCTCATGTTGTTCAATTCTGGCAAATTTTCGTGTTTCATGATTTCCTCCCTCCATTTTCTCTCTTTCTGAAATGGCTCTTTTTCCTATGTATTCTGTTTTATTTTCCGTCTTGTCTTTTTTTCTTTGTTGCTGTTTTCTGAGAAATTTCTTTAACTTTGACCTCTAACTCCATTATTCAGAGTTTTAAAAAATCTGCTGTATTTGGCCGGGCACAGCATCTCATGCCTGTAATCCCAGCACTTTGGGAGGCCAAGGTGGGTGGATTGCTTGAGCCCAGGAGTTCAAGACCAGCCTGGGCAACATGGTAAGACCCTGCCTCTACAAAATATATAAAAATTAGCTGGATGTGGTGGCCTAGGCCTGTAGTCCCAGCTGCTAGGGAGGCTGAGGTGGGACGATCACTTGAGCCTGGGAAGTCAAGGCTGCAGTGAGCTGAGATCACACCATCGCATTCTAGCCTGGGCAACAGAGTGAGATCCTGTCTTAAAAACAACAATAATCTTTTATATTTTTCATCTCTCACAGCTCTGCATGTTTTTTCAACAGTCTCTTGTTCTTGTTTCAAGATGCAATGGTTTCTCTGATCTCTTTGAGCCTATTAGTCCTGGCTCCAGCAGTGCTTCTATTTCTGTCATCAGCTCAGTTTCCTCAGTTCCTTTCTTGCTGTTTGTCTTGCCTCCATCTTTCATGCCAGAGGCTTTTCTCAGATGTCTGGTGGTCCTTGGTAGTCGTTCATATTTAAGAGTAAGTCACTGAGAAACTGATTGGAATATGTGTATATGTGTGTGGATAGCATGGGAGCTTGCCACTGGTAGGTCTCAATATAGAGTAATCTGGTGGAGAATAAGCTGTTTCGTTGGGGGACAGTTATCTGTAGGACTTTTCTTGGGGAGGGTCTTCCTCAGAAGGAATACCTCTAATTCCCTGTCTGGATTGTAAAAGCTACCAGCTTTCTGGAAGCTGAGTGCAGGAAGGGGGCAGAGAAGGTCTCAGTCTCAGCTACTCTGCTACTAGTTGATTGCAGTTTACTGGCCCTGCTTGGTGTCTCAGGATTCAGAGTCCCTCTGGGGAAATTCTCAAGCATAAACATCTAGTTTCTCCTGGAGTAATCGTGGAGTGGTTGGGTTCAGACAAGGAAGGGAGAGAGGAGCTATAGGGGCCTCTCTGCTTTTTTTTTTTCTTTTCCCGAGATGGTGTCTCACTCTGTTGCCCAGGCTGGAGTGCAGTAGCACCATCTCGGCTCACTGCAAGCTCTGTCTCCCGGGTTCACACCATTCTCCTGCCTCAGCCTTCCGAATAGCTGGGACTACAGGCGCCCGCCACCACGCCTGGCTAATTTTTTTGTATGTTTAGTAGAGACGGGGTTTCACCGTGTTAGCCAAGACGGTCTCGATCTCCTGACCTCA
Source organism: Homo sapiens (assembly GCF_000001405.40). Taxonomy (NCBI): domain Eukaryota; kingdom Metazoa; phylum Chordata; class Mammalia; order Primates; family Hominidae; genus Homo; species Homo sapiens. The sequence continues at coordinate 20,497,202 of NC_000017.11, read as the reverse complement.
TGATCCACCCGCCTCGGTCTCCCAAAGTGCTGGGATTACAGGCATGAGCCACCGTGCCCGGCCACCTCTCTGCTTTTTATATAGATCTCTAGCTCACCCTCCCATTTCTAGTTCACTTGTTCCTCACTGTCAGAGGTACCTGGTGCCCCCTATTCCAGAGACTTTCCAGAGTTCTTAAAAATTCAGAGTTAAAAAGTTCCAGAGTGTAAATATGCTTTGCCTCTTGGCTTCTCTCTGGGCAAGCGCTGGGCTTTCTTTGTCTTTGTTTTCCAGATTCCAAAATTTGATTGCTATAATCTACTTTCCTGATCTCTTTGACCCCATGGATTTTATCCATTTACAATAATTTTAGCATTGGCACGGGGCTCCCCCATGTAGGGTGGTGCAGGGAGACTCACTAACCACAGGAGGTCCTGCCCGGGGCTCCTCCTTTACCCCCCTCCTTTTGGGGCAGGCTGGAGGGAGGGTCAGGTAATGCTGCTCACACAAAGCCTGCCTAGAAGTCCAGAGGTGGGGGGTACTCTGGGCCTCAGCTGTCAAGACTGGCAACCCTTTAACCCCTGATGACCCAGAAAATGCCCTCCCTTAAAATGTCTGAGTACCATGCTTCTTTGGCATCAGGGAGGGGACGGGAGTGTGGTGTCCTCTAAGTCTGCTCCCTGCTTGGCCGGGCTGTTTGCAGCTCCTTGGTCACTGAGTCCTTGACTGCAGGGGAAGAGAGGTTGGCCTCAGGCTCCAGGTTAGGCCACGGTTCTGAGAACGGGTATGGGGGATCAGGCTTATATTCCATGCTAGAGCTCCGGAGTAGGTGCGTGGGGTTGGGATGGGGCTGCAGAAGTGCCTTTTAAGATTATGTGCATGGACTGATCTGTCATTGGTTCCCTGCCATCTTTATCTTTTGGATTCCCCTCGGAGCAGTGGGAGGAAGGAGTTTCTTTTGGGTTCCATTGAATCAAATGAAAGGGAAAGTAAAGCTGTTCCTATGTCCTGGGCTCTGGAGCTTCTATTCCTGATCCCTGCAGAAGAAGGAGACGGTGGTGGTGGTGGGTGGGGGTGGCGGGGCACAGAGGAAGCCAGTACCGGGCCCTGCACCCCATTCCCACTCCCAGATCCCTCTGGACACAGCATTTTTCTCCAGTGAGCACAGCCTTCCCTTGCCCCACAGCCAACAGCAACATGGCTCCCAACAAAAGCATCTGCCCCTCAGCCAAAACCCCTGTTGCCTCTCTCTGGGGAAATTGTAGGACTGGGTCAGGGTGGGGGAACCATTCTCTGCAGGGAGATTAGGAGTGTCTGTCAGGGGTGGGTGGAGTGGGGTGGGGCCCTGGCTTACTCACATCCTCGAGAGTCCTTTGCTGGCAGATTTGGGGAGCCCACAGCACAGGTGTCTGTCTCAGTATTGTCTTCCAAGCTCCTAGGCCACAGTAGTGGGGGGCTCCCCTCTCTGGCTTTTTCTTTGGTGACAGTCAAGGTTGGGGGTGGGGTGAGAGAGGGTCCTGCTTTTCTTCTAGGAACAGTTGATCCCAGGAAGAGCAGTGGAGCCTCCAGCAGGGGCTGTTGGGGCCTGTCTGAGGAGATAGGACGCGTCAGGCAGCCCCAGACACGACCACATTCCTCCCAACATGCCTGCCGGGGTCTGTGGAGCCCAGGGGCTGAGGGGAGGGTGGGGTGGGGGCCGGAAGGGTTTGCTTTGGGAGGTTGTCTGGGAGATTGCTGAAGTTTTGATATACACACCTCCAAAGCAGGACCAAGTGGACTCCTAGAAATGTCCCCTGACCCTTGGGGCTTCAGGAGTCAGGGACCCTCGTGTCCACTTCAGCCTTGCCCTTGGCACAGCCTGGCACCACTCCAGCTTCTACTCCTCCCCAGAACAGCTCCTGGGCCAGTTCCACAAGGGGCTCAAACGAGGGCACCTGAGCCAGACTTCTGCCTACACTAGGGATGTTCTGGGGGTCTGAGAGGATATCTGGGGCTGGAAGAAAAAAAGGCCCCCCTAGGCCTGTTCCTGGATGCAGCTCCATCCACTTTGGGGCTAAGCCTGGGCTACAACAATGCCAACCAGGCTTCTTGCCATACTCGGTTTACAAAAGCCTTTCACATACGCTGTCGCATTGGCTTCTCACAGCTGACTGCAGTAGGCAGAGTAGATGGTATGACTCCCACTTTGCAGATGAGAACACTGAGGCTCAGAGAAGCGCCAAGCCCTGGGTCACGGGGGCGTAAATGGCAGAGCCAGGACCCACCTGACTCCAGGCTGTTTCCTGGCCTCCATGAGGCCACCCGCCCTATGGTGTGGTGGATGTCAGATCCTCACCGTAGGGAGGAAATTAGGGTCTGTGCCCGGGGCTGGGGAGAGCTGCCTAGATTTCTCTTTGATGGGGGTGTTGGGGTGGGAATCACCATACACCTGACTGGCTGAGTGTATTTCAGGGATGGGACAGGGTTCTCAGCACAGCATGGCAGGTCAGGCCTGGGAGGGCCCCCCAGACCTCCTTGTCTCTAACAGCGGGTCATGGTGAGGGAGGCCTCTCTGTGCCCAAGGTGACCTTGCCATGCCGGTGCTCTCCAGCTGGGTATCTGTCCCCTGCAGTGGTGGGCTTCCTCTAAGTGGATGGTAAAGGCCCATCCAGTTCATGGAGAGCTAGCAGGTCACCAGGTTTAAGGTGCAGAGGCCCTGCTCTCTGTCACCCTGGCTGAGCCCAGTGTGCGGGTTCCTGAGGGCTGGGACTCCCAGGGCCCCATGGGAAAGTGTAGCCTGCAGGCCCATACCTCCCCCTGTGAATCACGCCTGGCGGGACAAGAAAGCCCAAAATACCCCAAACAATGAGTTTCCAGTAAAATATGACAGACATGATGAGGCGGAGGAGAGGAGGGACCTGGCTGGGAGTTGGCGCTAGCCTGTGGGTGATGAAAGCCAAGGGGAATGGAAAGTGCCAGGCCCGCCTCCTACCCATGAGTATAAAGCACTCGCATCCCTTTCCAATTTACCTGAGCACCTTCTCTTCACTCAGCCAACTGCTCGCTCACTCACCTCCCTCCTCGGCACCATGAGCACCTGCAGCCGCCAGTTCACCTCCTCCAGCTCCATGAAGGGCTCCTGCGGCATCGGGGGCGGCATCGGGGGCGGCTCCAGCCGCATCTCCTCCGTCCTGGCCGGAGGGTCCTGCCGCGCCCCCAGCACCTACAGGGGTGGCCTGTCTGTCTCCTCCTCCTGCTTCTCCTCTGGGGGAGCCTACAGGCTGGGGGGCGGCTATGGCGGTAGCTTCAGCAGCAGCAGCAGCTTCAGTAGTGGCTTTGGGGGAGGATATGGTGGTGGCCTTGGTGCTGGCTTCGGTGGTGGCTTGGGTGGTGGCTTTGCTGGTGGTGATGGGCTTCTGGTGGGCAGTGAGAAGGTGACCATGCAGCACCTCAACGACAGCCTGGTCTCCTACCTGGACAAGGTGCGTGCCCTGGAGGAGGCCAACGCTGACCTGGAGGTGAAGATCCATGACTGGTACCAGTGGCAGCGGCCTGCTGAGATCAAAGACTACAGTCCCTACTTCAAGACCATCGAGGATCTGAGGAACAAGGTGGGTGAATGGGCAGCAGAAGGTGCCATTCCAGCTAGCTCCTTCTGGGAACAATAGATGCCCCAGGACACTGACACCTTAAGATTTCTCTATAGGACAGAGCCCACCCCAGATCCCTTCTTTCGAGGTCTTGGATGCCCTAAGAGCTGATCAGTGAGAGGATGCTCTCTCTTCCCCAGCCTGCTCATCCCCTTCTGATGTCAAATCCTCAGATCAAGTGAGATCAGTGAGTCCTGTCCTTACATTTTACAGAGGAAGCAGTTGAAGCTTTGAGAGGTGCTGTGACCAGCTGCAGGTCACATAGCAAATTAATGGCAGAGCCAAGGCTCGGGCCCTTGTGTCCTACCTTCCAGCACAGGGGAGGAGCGAGGCTCTAACGGGACCAGGCAAGACATCCAAACCGCTCATTAGCTCACTAGTCTGGGCTGTGGCTGCCGCCGCCCATAAGCCTTGGTACAGTCTGGTCCCTCCCCACAGCCAGGCAGGCATGGAGAGCCTGCAGAGACAATCAGTGTGGCCCCTTGACGTGCCCTGCACAAAGGGAGCCTGGCAGGCTTGTGCCCTGACTCCAGCCCCCTCCTCCCTGCTCCCACCGAAAATCCTTTGCTTGACTTAACCCACTGCCCTTTAGCCACACAGGACTCCTACCCTGGCAGTCACTTTGCTTGTTTCCACCTCAGGACATTTGCACATGCTGTATGCCCCTCCCCTTTTTCCTTCTCCTGGCTCACTTCTCCTCCCCCTTCACTCAAGTGTCTCTTTCTCAGGGAGAAGGTCACTGATGCCCCCAACCATGCCACACCCTTTATTATGTGCTCTCCATTCCCCCACCAACCATGCTCACCTCAGTTGTGAATTGCGTGTTTATTTCTGCAGGTCTATTTTATTCCGTAACTGTTCATCAAGATAAGGGCTTGCTCATTACTTTATCCCCAGCACTCAACCCAATGCCTGGCACATAGTAGGTGCTCAATAAAGGATGAATCTGAATTTACAGTGAGGAAACAGGTTCAGAGAGGGGAAGCAACTTTCCCCAAATAAGTGGAAGAATCCGGCTTTACACTATGACCTGCCTGGCTCCGAAGCCGGTGCTCTCAGCCTCCCTGCTAGGTGTGTCCCAGCAGACACAAGCCTGGGGTGCCTAGACTCAGGTGGAGGCACCTATGCGGGCCCACTCCATCCCCTCACTGTGGTCTGATAGGGTCTGGCTGGGCAGAGTGGTGGCAAGTGCCTGTTGTATGAGAAAGAATCAGTGTTGACAGACAGGTGCAGGTACCCACAGCCCTGCACCAGTGGGCAGTGCACACCTGCCTAGATGGCTCATGGAGGCTCCAGGGGAGGAGCCGTGACTCAGCGGGTGCTCCCTCTCCCAGCAGCCAGCCACATGCTGACTCAGGTCCCTCACTTGCCCCACCTGGGGATCAATGACAGACAGCAATGCGGAGTAAGTTGAAGGTGTGGGAAGCAAGAGGGCTCCCACGACCAGAGCAAAGCTGTCCTTGTGCTGCCTCCAGGTCCCCATGTCCCCCGTGGACGATACCTTTGCCTCTGGGGACACCTTGCAAGTAGGGTCTTTGGTTCCCTCTCTGTCCCTCTGTCTGCCTATCTGGGTCCTTGCAGCCCTTCTCTCCTACTCCATCCACTCCCCAAATGGAGGGCCTGCATTTGGGGAATATAAGTACTGAAGGCAAACTGCCTGGGTTTGAATTTTGTTCTGTCCCTTGCACCCTGCCTGGGTTCAAATCCTAGCTCTGCTTATTAAGTTCTTTTAAGGTGATGATCTTTGAGCAAATGTCTTAGCTTCTGTTTTCCCAAGTAAATGGACACAATAGTTGCTACCTTGTGAAAGATTCATGTAATTGACCAGTGTTTACCAAGTAGCATCAGTGTTCAGTTTCAGTCATTGGTGATTCTGCAGTTGGACTGTGATGGGGTGTTGGGGTAGGGGTGGTGTGTGTGTGTAGCACTTAATTGCACGCAGAAAGGAAAAGATACTTTTGATGACCCAGAGGCAGCTTTTCTCTGCTTTTGTGTCAAAAGGGAGGAATGGAGTTTGGAGAGGGAAACTAATTCTGTTCAATACTAAGCTCTCTTCCTCAAAATCAGAGGTACATAGAATGTGTAATAACTTACAAAATTTCTAGACTTCAACAATCTGAATTTTTTAAAATTCATTTTTATTTTTTCAGGTTGAGACTGAGCTGAAGTTAATCTGTGGCGACATTCTGAATGTACTGGACAAACACCTTATTCCAGCAGCTAACACTGGCAAGTCCAAGGTTTTCTATTATGAAATGTAGGTTCTATACTAAAAATTAACAAGTGTACTTCAATAATTTTAAACACGCTCAGGAATAATTGGCTTTGTTTCTTTTTTTCTTAGCTATTTCCTATTATTTTCCTTATTAAATATAACGAAAAATCCCACAGAAATTAACTGAGGAGCCTCTAAATATCAACAAAATTATCACTTGATAGACTAGAATTAAACAAGCAAGTGGTTCCAAGAAATGGCACAAATG